>NC_000012.12:103520734-103823764 GCF_000001405.40 Homo sapiens | reverse complement strand
AATGCCTATGCTTATTTTCACATTTCCAATCCATAGGTATACTTTTAAAAGAAATTTTGAAACCTTGATGTTTTCAATCTACACGTGAACTTTTAAAGGAGAATTTGAAGCCATGTTAAATAAATATGAAATCTTAAAGTATTTGGAATATCTGGGAGTATTCTTGAAGTATATGAATATTATGAAATATAAACAGAAGTTGAGATTTGGTCCAATTAGGGAAAAGCAAATTAAAAAACACCCAGAAAACAAACCAAAAAAATGCTCTGTTTTGTTGATTTAGGAACATAGAAATAGATATTTAAAATGTGACCTCGAGCTGTTAATTTCATCTTCATTTTCCTCTGTGAAATGGGTATAATAGTGTCTTGCATTAAGTGAGGTCGTGTACTTCTTAGTGCCTGGTATATAGTAAATGCACATAATTATTATCCACTAGATTAACTTTTTGGTTGACTGAGCACTGGGGAGATTCACGGAAAGCCTCGTGGTACATGGAGGGTAGTGGAGAATGGAGGCTTTTTCTGTTTTTTTTTTTTTGTAACTTCTAAAATTCTCCGGGAAATTTTTCACCTCTTCCATTTCTTCTTCAGGGACTCCTGATCTGTATATTCTTTTTTTCTAGAAAAACAGCTTGAAATCTAGGACATATACCAAAAATAAAAATCATAACTAAAGAAAAATGCCATCTTAGTGTCTCTGGGATTGTGATTTACTTTATCAATACAATTGAACTTTTAAGGATTTTCAAGTGTATCTCACCTTCTCTGATCATATTCTTGCTAACATAGTAGGGTTTCTGAGTTCAAATATCTGAGATGTACGTTTGGGCCTCCAAATGGAGCATGTTTTCCCCCAGTTTTTGCTTTATTAATATCAATGCAACAAAATGTTTGCATATAAATCTTTACCTATATCTCTATTTCCTTAGCATAGATTCCTGGAAAGGGAATTACTGGGTCAAAGGGTATGAATATTTTTAACAGACTCTTGATACATATTGCCAAGCTGTTTTCTAGAAAGCTTGTTCTGATTTATATTCTTAAACAGCAAGGAGTGAAGCTGCCCAGGTCCTGGCACCAGATTCCGTTATTACAGACAAAACAAGAATAGAACACCCCCAAAACAACACACACGGATAGCACTACCACTAGCAGCAGAAACACTGCTGCAATCTGACAAGAGGAAAATGACTTCTTACTTTATTTCTTAGCCAAATAACACATGCTTATTATAGAAAACCATGTAAATGAAATAAAGACAGTAGAGACATTTGCAATTCCACCTGTTGAGACATCTACTGTTAACTGTGTTTACTTGTTTTAATTCGCTTTTTTTGGTAATTCGAGTGGTTGAACATTTAGTTTACCAGCTATTTAATTTCCTTTTGTATGGATTTTTAAAATATTAAGAATACTAGACCATTGCTGTTTGTCTTTTCAATTTTTTGGTCTAATATACTCACCTCTTTCCCCAAATTGTTGTTTTCATATTTTTAGATGCATAGGTGTTAAAAAATCTTATGTTGCAAATCTGTCAATAGTTTTCTTCGTGATTTATTCTGTTGCTTTTTTTTTTTTAACATTTGGAAAGTTATGTTTTATTCAGAGATGAAATAAATGGTATATATTCTTGTTTTTAATGTTCAAAAATTTTAAACTCTGACTCGCATGTTTCTTTTTCTACCTTTTTAATGTTTAAAATTTTTAAACTCTGACTCACATGGTGTTTTGTTTTATAGCATAATTTGAAGGAAAGTCTTACTTGACATTCTTTTCACATAGCTGATTGGTGTTTATGCATAGACATTAGACAGAGACAGAATATTCCAGGCAGATGTAACTCTGGTCAGTATTCAGCTACAGCATATGTTGGAGAACACAGAGCAGTGGATGACCCATCTTGTTGAAAGTAGGGCATGGGAAGGAGAATTTAAGATTGGAGAAATGGATTAAAGTATACATAGGGAATGCCTTTGATACCAGGTTAAAAAGTTAAAAATTTATCGTCAGAAGTTTGAGTGGCTGAATTTTCTTAAAATAAACTTTTTTAGAATTCCTTTGGATGTAAGCAATAGAAAACTTAACTCTTTCCCGTTGACATCTTTTCCAGGTTCCTAGCAGTGGCCCCTCACATCTCCAGATTTATGTTCTCTTAAATCTACCTTTGGAAGAAAAGAGTGCCTCTTCCCTGAAATTCCCTTACAAATCCAGAAATTGACCTGATTGGACTTATTGGTTCACTTTGGCTGTAGAGAAAGTATGATGATTGGCTGGAGGGGATCCCATGTCTGCCTCAAACTAGTCAGCATTCTTAAGGGAATTCAGGTGCTCTGTTAGGCCAGGCCTGGGTTACATGCCCTCCTTCTGGAGTCAGGAATGGAACCCCATGAGACCATACAGTTTGAATGTTGGGGAGGAGAGGTTTCCCAACAAAATCATGGTATTGAAGGTTTATCAGTCAGGTTAGGCTAGGTTATGCTGCAGTGACAAGCAACACCAAAATCCCAGTGGCTTATTACAGACAGCTATAACAAATCCTATTTCTCACTCTTGCAGAGTCTACTGGGGGACCCCCACAACTCTGCAGGGCAGTCAGCTCCACGTGGTGGCTTAGCCTTCCAGCCTCCACTTCATGTTGTAGTGCCTGTATCATATCTCCATGATAGGCACGGTAGGAGAAGGGAGTGTGCCCAGCTCTAGAAGTGACACATGTCTCTTCTGCCTGTGATCTGTTGTGACCAGAGCTGGCCAGAGTCGGGGTGAGGAGTGGAGGGAGGATTATGATCCTCCCCATGTGTCTGGAAAGTGGAGCCAACTGGATGGGAGCAAGTATGAGATGGCACAGCCACACTGGAGGGGCCCAGACACCCAGTGCCCACAGCCATCGCTTACCACAGGCAGCCTTTGGGACCTCGGTTTGTCAGATCCATCCTTCGCACCCTCCTGTCTTTATCTGACTGGTTCCTGGGATAACGATGAGAGCAAGTAATGCATTTGGTAAACTTTTAGAGCTCTCCAGTACTGTGTGCCTAAGGCCTGAGTGACAGGCACATCATATTTTTTTAAAACATTAAGAATAAATATTCATTGACATCAATCAGGCCATGAATTTCTGCTTGGTGTTGTCTCCACACACTGCTCTGTGACAGCTCTGCCAAGCTCTAGGCCTGTACTAAGGGAGAGTCATTTAGCATTTCTGAGCATTAAAGAAGACAAAGTACTTGGCAAAAATTGTACTTTCCAAGCTCACATCTTTACACAGCTTAAAAATGTTTCCTTGAATAAGTGGAAAGTGTCTGACTTCTGTACCAGAATGAGGTTCTGCCTTCTTTCATATTCTCTCTCTGTCAACAGTAATGATAAAATTTAGACAAGAAATGGTATTTTTCTGTGATGGCCTTAAAAAAGCAAAACAAAATGGAGCAGCCACTATGGAAAACAGTAGGGCAGTTCCTAAAACAATGAAAAATAGGATTACCATATGATTCAAGAATTCCCCTTCTAGGTATGCACCCAAAAAGATTGGAAACGAGGATTTGAACAGATACTTGTATGTTCATAGCAGCATTATTCATAACAGCCAGAAGGTAGAAGCAACCCAATGGCCTGTTGATTGACAAATGGATAAACAAAAGGTGGTTTATGTCTACAATGGACTGTGCAGCCTTAGGAAGGAGAGGCTGACATATGCTACACCATGGATGAACCTTGAGGTCATTATGCAAAAAGACAAAGACCATATGACTCCACTTCTATGAGGTTCCTAGAATAGTCAGATTCATAGAGACAGAAAGTGGAGCGGTAGTTGCTGGGAAAGCTGGGGTGAATGAGGAGTTTTTTAATGGGTACAGAGTTTCAGTTTTGCAAGAAGAAAAGAATTCTGGAGCTGGATGGTGGTGATGGTTGCACAAGGTGAATGTGCTTAATACCACTGAATTGCACTCTTAGCAATGGTTAACATGGTAAACTTTATGTAATGTATATTTTGCCACAATAAAAAACACAAAAAACCAGAACCAAAACAGAAAGCTTACCAGTTTTTCCTATAGGTTGTTCACCACATTTCCCAGTGCTCTGTGGGATAAGCAGACGAAAAGCTGGAAGCTGCTGAAAACTGGAAGTGCCAGGGGCTTTCCAGCTTGCCACACTGTGTGCTGGAGGGTGCACAGCTCCCAGCTCAGAGTGGCTTGCATTGGAACTGAGTTTTGCTCAAGCTGTGGCCACAGCAACAGAGCTGTCTCTCCATTTCTTTGTACTGATTGTATAGTCTTGCTGTCATCATCCACTATGTACAAAGGAATTCACTTTCTAAATTGGTACCCACTCTTGTTTCTCCTTTGAGAAAGTGTGTAAGTGACTAGTCAAGAGGCATTCAGTTTATACTTTAGAGTCTAAAGTTTAGCCAGACTGTTTCTGTTTTTGTGAGTGGTTGGCGTTCTTTTTCTTTTGCTTTGTAATTATTCATGTTTGTTCTTAACTTTTCTTCCTAAAGTTTGCACGGGGTGCCAAGATCCCTTTAAGATGCTGCTCCTCGTGTTCGAGGATGACACTTTAAACATCCAGGCTTTCAGGTGATGGTGTCATGTGATGTACGTGTCTCAGGCTTTCACTCCCACAGGGGAATTCCCATGCAGCTTTTGGAGATGTGCTGACCAGTCACGATTTTTTATCATAGTAGTTTTTCCTTGAGGGCTTCACATAGTCTTCTGAGGTAGCAGGAAGGGAGGGAGACTTTCTTGCCAACACCATTTCTAAATATAAACTTCTAATTAAGCAGGCTGTTTGAACCTCCTTTGGAAAGGTCATTTGTGAAAGTGGAGCTTTTGCTCATTCTGTAAGCGATTCCCCTTCACTTGCATCATATGGACGATGCCACGTGGTCGTATTCAGAAAATATCATCAGCAATGGCCCATTGATTTATATAAGGCCAGAGGATCTTCAGTATTAGATATCAAAGAGCTTAGGTCTGCCAGCTTCTCCTCTTCCCTAGAACCAGTTCTTGTGAACTACCTGACTCTAAGTTTCTTAAATGTCTGTAACAGATATGTCTTATTGGCAAAATAAAAATGAAAGCCATGGTTGTTGTGGCTGGGTGCAGTGGCTCACGCTGGTAACCCCAGCACTTTGGGAGATGGAGGCAGGCGGATCACCTGAGGTCAGGAGTTTGAGACTAGCCTGGCCAACATGGTGAAACCCTGTCTCTACTAAAAATACAAAAATTAGCCAGGCGTGGTGGTGCACACCTGTAATCTCAGCTACTTGGGAGGCAGAGGCAGGAGAATTGCTTGAACTTGGAAGGTGGAGGTTGCAGTGAGCTGGCATTGTACCACTGCACTCTGGCCTGGGTGACAGAGCGAGACTTCATTAAAAAAAAAAAAAAGGCCATGGTCGTTATCTCATTGATTTTGATGAAAGAAAAACCAATAAAGA
The DNA here is from genome assembly GCF_000001405.40 of Homo sapiens. Taxonomy (NCBI): domain Eukaryota; kingdom Metazoa; phylum Chordata; class Mammalia; order Primates; family Hominidae; genus Homo; species Homo sapiens. The sequence goes on along the minus strand of NC_000012.12, from coordinate 103,818,331 downwards.
AATGGAACTGTCAGTGAATTGACTGTTTGGGTTTTCAGTAGGCTCAGTCACATCTAGATTGTCAGTGTGAGTGAAATTAATTTATTGGTTCATACATGTGCCTTCATAATGACCTGGAAATTCTGTGTAGGGATATAAAGGCTTGGTTTTAATAAACTAGGTGCAATGTGGGAACTTAATTGGGAGCCATGAATAGGCTTTAGGGGATGAATCCCATGAAATTTTCTGCAAAATCTGCACATGCATGGAGAGGATTCCGTAGCTTCTGTTAGGTTTTGAGAGGGATTCAGATCTCAAAGCTGTTAAGGAGCCTTGTGAAATGCTCAGAATACCTCACTGTGGCTGGGTTGGTCCCTGACTGGGGCCTCAGTGCCCTGACTGGAGCTGTTACTATGCAAGAGGAATGCTTCTTGAACGTTTCAGGTGGCTTTTTAGAGTGAATGAGTATATTATGTGCCATTCATAGTCAGAAAGAAGTGAGTAGAAAGGAAAGGGGAAGCTCAGAAATGATGGATTGACTTTCTTTTATTTTAGGAAAAAATGCACCTGAAAGGGAGTTAAGAACATAGATTCTGGAGCCAAACTTCCCAGGTTCAAATCCCAGCCCTGCCATTTGGTGCTGGTGTATCCTTAGCAAATAAAGTAATTTCCATGCATCTCTAGTGTCTTCGTTTGTGAAATGGGGATAAAGTAGTATTTGCTTCCTAAGGTTGTGGGAAGGATTAATGAGAGAATGTAAAGTCTTCTTGATAGCATGTGGTACATGGTAAGTGCTTAATAAATATTAGCTGTTATAATAGAGTCAGGTGGTTGTCCTTAGTAATGTGAAAAGTAGTAAAATATGGACAGTTCAGGTTTTATGTACATGTACCTATCTCCAAAAAGTCACCTGCCTTCAGCATTTGTCTGCCTGTGAGCCATTTCAAGAAAATTTTGGTGCATAAACATCATAAAAGGTGAAAAAAAAACTGTCATATATAATTTTAGCAAAATAGGATAGTCTGTGTTTTTGTCATAAAAAATTGGATGATTGTGTTTGTCCTGTTAAATGATTAATCTGATGAGAATATCACATTTTTTTGTCTTTTGAAATCTATTGCTCAGTCTTTGATCCTGAATTTCATCTAGGATATGGCCATGGAGGCCTCGTCGTCTGAGATGTCACCCTTATGATCAGTTTCTCCATCATCATTAGGCCTAGAGAACTGCTGTCTCTCTCTGCATTCACCTCCTGGCACATCTGATAACTGTGAGATGTCTTGCCCTGTTAGCTTTCTTTCTTTTTTTTTTCTTTTTGCTGTTATGGATGGAAAATGAAAAACTGATTTCTCAACAGTGTTCCATGAAAGCAAAAAAAAAAAAAAGAAAAAAGAAAAGACTGCCAAGATGTTATCTTCAGACTTCTTTTATACCTTCTTGAAAGTGATGCAGTTCTTTGCGCAGTGCCATGAGAACTGAAGGATGATGTCATAGTGATGACTTATTTCACTACTGCACTATCTTAAGTAATTTCTTATTCTCCTGCTTTCTTAATTTAGTCTTTTAAAAAATCATAGGTGGCAATAATTGAGAGGTAATGATGAAATAATTCTAATAATAAAGCATTTCAGCATACTGGAAAAATAAGATCACCAACATCCTCTATCACATCTTAGATTTTTTAAAAGCATCCAGTGGACTCATGGAAATTGTAAAGTAGAATGAATTTTTGAAAGGCTTCCAAGAAAAAAATAGAAATCATGAAGTAGCAGTCCTTACAAATAGTTAGAACTGCTCAAAAAAGAAACCCAAACCTAACATCCAGTGGACCCTGATGGTAGAAGGTAGTCACACGTCTACAAACCCATCTGAAGGAAATCATCTGAAAGGTGAAGATTAACACATGAAGGTGCTCATTGCAGTGTTATTTTTATTAAATAGGAAAAAACTTAAATGTGTAACATAGAGTACAGGTTGGACATACCTGATCTGAAAATCTAAAATCCACAATGCTCCAAAATCTCAAACTTTTGCATGCTGACATGATAGTCCAATCACTCATTGGAGCATTTTGAATTTCGGACTTTTTGATTAGGGAGCCACGATTGGTAGGTATAATGCAGATATTCCAAAATATGAAAAAATCCTATATCCAAAATGGTCCTGTTCCCAAACGTTTTGGATAAGGGATGCTCAACCTGTAGTAGGTTGATTATGGCACACCAATATATATGAAAGTCTCATGTAATAGTTTGTTCTCAAAAAGTGTAGGATCATGATTGAATATTAAATTTAGTGAGCTCAATGCAAACCTGTAAATATAGTGTGAGGTTAGCTATGTAAAATACATACATAGAAGAATGTTGGCAGCAAATACATAAAATGTCAGTAGTTTTTTTCTGGGTGGTGAGATGATGTATGATATTTAGATTTTGTTAACTATACTTTTACTTTCTAAAATCTGCAAATATATTTTTTAAACAAATCTTTTTTGTGATGTTGAAGCAAATGTTCTTTTCGGTAGCAAATGTTCTTTTATTGAGGAATAATTTATATACCATACAATTCACCCTTTTAAAGTCTCCCAGTGGTTTTTAGTACGTTCACAAGAGGTGTTCAACCATCACCATTGGCCAGGTACAGAGGTGCATGCCTGTAATCCCAGTACTTTGGGAGGCTGAGGTGGGTGGGTTGCTTGAGCCCAGGAGTTTGAGACCAGCCTTGGCAACACAGGGAGACCCTGTCTCTACAAAAATTACAAAAATTAGTAGGGTGTGATGGTGTGTGCCTGTAGTCCCAGCAACTCAGGAAGCTGAGTTGGGTGGATTGCTTGAGCCCTAGAGATTGAGGCTGCAGTGAGCTGTGATTGTGCCACTGCACTCCAGTCTGGTTAACAGAGCGAGACCTTATCTCAATCCCCCAAAACCATCACCACCATCAATTTTAGAACATTTTCATCACCACAAAAAGAAATTCTGTGCCCATTAGCAGTGAGCGGTCCTAGGCAACCATGAATCTCCTTTCTGTGCCTATGGATTTGTCATTTCTGGACATTTCATATGAATAGGATCATGCAACGTGTGGTCTTTTGTGGCTGGCTTCCTTCACCAGCATATTTTCAAGGTGAAGCAAATCTCTTTTATAGTCTAGTTTACTCATTTTTTTTCTTTAGGAATCATACTAACCCTTATTTATTATGTAGTATAATGTATTTTTTTTCTTTATTTCCAGAATTGGTTCCTTCCATTATGAGCAACTTGTTGAATCCAGATGCCATTTTCTCAAACAATGAAATGAGCCTGTCAGACATTGAAATCTATGGCTTCGATTATGATTACACCTTGGTGTTTTATTCAAAGCACCTCCACACGCTGATATTTAATGCTGCACGGGACCTTCTCATCAATGAACACCGGGTAAGATCACAGGGACATTTCAGGCTTCTCCCTCCCCTTTTCCTCTTAGAACAGCCTTGAGCTGACATGACCCCAAGTCTGCCACAGAGAAGTCATTTAATAAATTGTTGCTAAATGAATAAGTAGATTTTGTTCCCTTCCAAGTAACTCTTATCTGGAAGATGATAGTTTTTTTAAAAAAAGTCTTTAGATGTCTTTTGGCAAAAGACCTTCCCAAGATGTGCATTAGTGGAGATTTGGCTGTAGATATTTACACTCTCGTCTTTCACAGAATGACACGGTGTCTCCTGGAGCTTGATGAATTGGCAGCCTGCCTGTTGAATTCTGGTTAGGAGGAATTCCTCAAATGATAGGAGATGTTTTACCTTCAACACCAATTTGAATTGCTGAGTACAGCATATTTGAATGTCTTTCTTCTGATACGTAGTATTGTTGAGAGTTTTTAATGAGGAAGGAAAAAAAGAAAATATGCAACCCTATCATTTTTTTCTGTAGTCTGATTTGAGTACACATTTCAGGAAGCAGGAAAAGAAGTGTCCTCAGAAGTCTTGTGGGCCCGTACCCTTTGAGACCCCTCCCGGGAAGTACAGCTCAGCTCTCCATCTCAGACAGGTGCATGTTGACATAGGAGGTGGTTCTGATTTTTGGGAAGTTCTTCCATGGGTTGAACAATTTTGCCTTCATACAGCTGTTACCATTGACCTCTTTTCTTCCTTGATTTATTGCTTCACATGTTTCTTAAGCCTCCTTGTGCCAAGCCCTGCAATACAAGCTGGGAAGATAAAGATGAGTAGGAGACAGGCATTGCCCGTGGAGAACCAACAGCCCAGTGGGGTCGTCGGTCACGTGGGTAGATCAGTTATGCAGCCTCCTAGTGGAGGTCTCCTTAGACATTGAGTGTGTCTGACTGTGATGGTTAGAACAACTTTCTCTGCCTTAGGGAATTGGGGAAGCAAAGAAGAAGGTGATATTTCAGCCAAATCTTGAAGGAGTTGGCAGCAAAGGAGGGCTGAGGGTGGGTATGAGTAACTTCTAAACCCAAATTATGCAAACTACTATTTTATATTTAACCATTCGAGTACCAGACATATAATGGGCTAGTGTTGTATAGACCAGCCATTACGCCCTCTAAGACTTTTCCCAAGTTGATTGTTCTTAGCTCTTTTAACTGTTCTCATTTGTCCTCTTTTCTTTTCATCGTCCTAGTCATCTTCCTTTGTGTGTGCTCTGGTTTGTTTCTCTCAAATGTGAGGCCTTGAAGATGTTACCCCAGGTGGGGTCTGGCTAGAGTGGAATAGAAGGAGACCATCACCTCCCTGGTTCTGGATGCCGTACTTTTATTAATGCAGCCAAAGTTCTCCTTAGTTTTGGATCCTAACCATTAGATTCAGCATATTTTCTGATCCCCCTCAGCTCTTAGTTATCTGTGGATTTAAGCAGCTCATTTTGTCCATATCCAAAATGCAGTCATGGCATTTGCCAAAAAGAAGCTTCCCTTCTGCCACTATGCCAGCAGCCTGCTTTCTTTAGTTATGGCCACTTTACTAGATGTAAAACCACCTAGCCACTTGGCATCCAGCAGCAGGTCTCGTTTGTTCAAGGGACTACTCTCTTCCATCTAAACTGCGGTCCTTTGCCTGGATCATGAGATGAAAGCCAACTAAGAACGAGGTGGTTCTGACCTTGGTTCCTGCCTGCCACCCCATGCCATCTGTTCACTACCCCCTAAAAGGTGGATCCAAAGGGGTGTTATATTGGTGCTGGCATTTCAGTTCCAGGTCAGCTGCAGTGTTTTCTGTGACTTTGATGTCATTTATAAAAAGCAAGCCATGATCCCAGTGGCAGTGTTCATTGATTGTCCACTAGGTGCTGAAAGCACAGGTTCTAAGGCCTCACTGCTGGGGTTCAAATTCTGCCTTTATCACTTAGTTCCTACATAATCTTGATTGACTCACTCAATTCCTCTGGACCTCAGTTTTCTCCCCTGTAAAATGGGCGTAGTAACAGTGCTTTCCTCACAGTCACTGTGGTAAATGAATTAGTAAATGTAAAGTAGATGGCACATAGAAAACACTCAATAAAGGTTAGCTATTTATTAATACTAATACTATTGTTTCTAATCTGTACAACAACCCTGCACACACATGTTGTCTCTGTTTACAGCTGAGGAAACTGAGGTTCAAAAAATTAAGCTACTAGATCAAGGCCACAGGCCAGTAGGAGACAGAACCAGGATTTGAACTCAAGTCTGTCTGTTTCCAAAGGACTCTATTCTCTCCTCGACTCCATGTTGCATCTCTTATGGGGTTACTAACACCTTTCCATCCTATGGTTTTTTTTGTTCAGATGCAAATAAAATATTCATGAAAATAAAAAATTTGTGAACATAAAAAGTTTATGAAATTTGAGGGGAAGAGAGATGAAATAGATGGATAAAATAAAAGCTGCAATCACTATTATTTGAAAAGCCTCTAGATTTAAGATCATTGAAATTTCATTCTCATTATGTCTGTTTGTTGCTTTGATAAAACTATAGTTATAATACTAATTATATCAGGCATATTAGTAGAGTCAGTTATGCTTACGCAAATTTTTCTCTTCTGATTAAACAAAATAATTCTTCGAAGATGCACTGAGTTCAGGGCCATTTTTGCAGCCAAGACCGATGCACTTTGTGTAGTTGTAGAAATGGAAAGACATCGCTTTTGAGACGCACAGTCATAGAACAGTAAATTTGCAATTTAGTATCTCTCCAAAAAGCAAACATAAAAGCTTCCAGCTCCTTCGTAATTACCCTTTTTAAAAAATAAGCAATTTTTACAAAAATGGAAATTTTTTTAAAAATTGAGTAATAACTGTCTATATTTTGATTTTATTTGTCCACCGAGGAATAGAAAGGGAGGGGTAGAGAGCTCTTGATTTCATCTCCCAGCTTCACACCTTAGTCAGCATTTCTTCTCTTTAGTTGGCACCATTGATCACCTGATTGTTCATATCCAAAGCATTGGCTGTGACCGCTCGCACTCCGTGTCCATGTCTGATCTCTCAGCAAATGCTATGCTCTCTTTTTCCTTTAAATAAACTTTTAGGATAGTTTTAGGCTTACGGAAAGGTTGCAAATACTGAGTTCCTGTATGTATACACCCAATGCCCAGTTTCCTCCAGTGTTAACACTTGACTAAGGTACATTTGTTACAACTAAAGAACCAATCTTGATACATTATTATTCACTGAAGTCCATACTTCCTTCACATATTTTTGGTTTTTATCGAATGTCCATTTCCTGCTCCAGGATCCCCTGCAGGACACCACATTGCAGTTAGTTGTCATGTCTCTCAGGCGCCTCTTGGCTTTGACAGCTTCTCTGACTTTCCTTGCTTTTTTAAATGACCCTGACAGTTTCGAAGCATGCCAGTTAGGTGCTATGTGCGTTTTCCTTATGATTAGCCTGGGTTATGGGTTTGGGGGAGGAAGACCACGAGGTGAAGTGTGGTTTTCATCCCATCATAGTGAGGGCCTCCCCAGCCTCCTCCAGCCGTCTCCTCTCCTCCCCTCCTGCTCCTTGAACCTCCAAACCCTTTCCTACTTCTGCCTTGGAGCACTCTTTCTTCCCCCAGATGAGGCTTGCTCCCGGCTTGCTTCCCCGCCCCCGCCCACCCGCAGATTTGTGAATGCTTGTATTGCATTTTCTTTTAGAACATACACTCCAAGGCGTTATATTCTGTGTGTGTATTTGTGTATGGTCTACCCCCCCAGGTAGAATGGGAACTTTGCAGGGGCAGACACTTTTGTCAGTTCTGTTCATTGCTGTATTCCCAGGCCCTGGCACAAAGTAGGTACTCAGTAAACATTTGACATCTGCATCCGTGAGTTCTGCAGGTAAGGGAGAGAGTTGTGCTTCATGTGGGGCCAGCGTCCTGATGAGGTCATTTTACTCTAGCATAGTGTTTTGTGTGGATTTCAGAGAGCTTAGTTTTTGTTCCCTTCTGCGTTGCCTCTAATTAGATGCGTAATTTAGGCTACTTTAAATATTAAACTGAGACCTCTGGAAAGCAGGTATGTTTATAGGCCTCTGGACCTCAGGAACCCACAGCAGTGTTGTAACGTAGAGGTTACTAGCTGTATCTGAGACCTGTAATTACCCAGGACTGTAGGAAATAGGCACACATGGAGAAGTCCTGGGTTCGCTGCTGCATTTTGGTATTAACTTTGCTTGAAGCTATAGGGACGTTTCTGTAGCATTTTCAGGGGGACACTTTGCTCTTTATCAGCACACAGGAATTTGCCCAGATTTTAACTGGGATTAGAACAAAGTCAAGGTACTAAAGGAAACCAGACTGGGCCTAAATTAGAATTTTAATAAAAACCCTAAGTCAAGGGCTTTATCTTTTATATTTCTGACTGCTTTTAGGGATACCAGTTATCTCCATAATACTTCACCTTGGGTGAGTCTTTTTATTTTTTCCCCCTTGGGTGGTGAAAAGTTTCTAAACTACGAAAAGTCCTGAAAATCTAGCTGAGACCGTTGGAGAGGACTGTAACCAACTGGCTGCTGTGAGCAGCTCTGGTTCTTGGGCTGGATGTCACTGTTAACAGGTGTTCTACTGATGCTGTGTGTGTGTGTGTTGGAAATGGGCCAATCACGAGGATGTTTTTGACTAGGCTGGTTGTATGGGGAGATTACAATTTAGGGGCAGGAGTAGAGCACAGAAATCACCCTAGTCAAAATGGTTCGACTAGAAGAGGCCTTGGAGAAGACTTACCTAAAGTCATACAGGAGAGTAGCAGGGGCTAGTAGGGTGGACCTAAAACCCCAGGCCGCCAGTTCTCAATCCAGCGAAGCCACTCAATTTTATTGAGCACTTCCCATGTGCCAGGCACTGCCCTGACTTGCCACACGCATTTTTGGGCTGAATCCTTTGCAATTCCAAAAGGATAGGATTCTTGTTATCTTTTCTTTGTAGATGAGAAAACCAAGGCTTAGAGGGACAGACGACCTTGCCCAGGGTCACCCAGCTAGCACATAGCAGGACCAGGATTTGATGCCTGGTCTCTCAGCCCCGGAACCTGTATTCTTCATTATGACATCGTCCTGTTGGCGCTTTTCCAGCTGCGTCTGTCAGTTTTCAAGATCATTGATATGGTTTGGCTGTGTCCCCACCCAAATCTCATCTTGAATTGTAGCTCCCATAATCCCCACGTGTCATGGGAGGGACCTGGTGGGAGGCAATTGAATCATGGGGGTGGGTTTTTCCTGTGCTGTTCTCACAATAGTGAATAAGTCCCAAGAAATCTAATGGTGTTATAAAGCCGAGTTCTCCTGCACAAGCTCTCTTGCCTGCTGCCATGTAAGATGTGACTTTCCTCCATGATTGTGAGGTCTCCCCAGCCATGTGGAACACTGAGTCCATTAAACCTCTTTCCTTTATAAATTACCCAGTTTCAGGTATGTGTTTATCAGCAGCGTGAGAACGGACTCATATAGTCACTCACTGTGGTCTTTGGACCAGATAAACATTGTGTATTTCTCAGGAGTGGCTCCCCAAGAATAACATTGAGAGTGAGAGGCAAGCGGAATGTGAGTGTGTGGAGGGCATGTCCTGCTGGGGAGCCCAGATAAGCCTCATTCAAAGAAAGAACCACCAGACTTTTCAGCAGTAAACACTCTCTTATTTAAGTGCCAGCAATCAACTAAAATAGTTGGTGCTCCACTCGTAACTGCAAATGCTTTCAGCAAACTTGTTGAACCCCTCTGAGGTGGCAGGTGCTGCTGTCACAGGGAGGCGATGAGTGTCCAGTATATAGTGGCTCAGAGTTGGTTCAGAATTGATTATGTGGTGGTTAGGGGTGGACTTGGGTGTGACACAGACCTGGGTTCAAATACTGGCTCAACCACTATCTAGCTGTGTGACCTTGGGCAAATTCCTTGCCCCTGATCTTCAGATTATTCAATAGTAAAATAGGCTTGAGATGCCTGCTTCCTTCATGCTGATGTAGTGAGGGATAAAGATAAAGAAAGTCATGGAAAGTGTCTAGTGTGTGGCACATAGCATATGCTCAGTGAAGGCACCGCTCTCAGTGACATATTAAAATATTTCTCTTCTGTCTGCCCTCTTATTATCCATCAGTCATGAGTTTAACAGGAGATTGCAGAGCTGCTGAAGTCCCTTGGCCCCTCTTCAGTAAGCAGATCCAGGGTGCCAAGCGTTGGGTTCTGTGTCAGCTTGTCAATTATGTCTGCAAAAATGCAGGACCATACACAGGGTTCTCAATTCTTGGAAACGCCCATGAATGGAAATGTCAGTTTGGTGATTTCTTGGCACACATGGCAGGTAGTGGATAAATGATCCCAAATGTGACATTTGAGTTAGTGCTTTGTGCAGCTTGACTTGAAAAATTGCCACATGCGGGTCAGCCTGCTGGTCCCAGGAAATGTTTTTGTACAAATGGAACCCTGGCTATGAAATATTAGCCGCTCAGCCATGGAAGGAGGTTTCCTGGGCACTTAATAGTTGTCTGGGTTTTAACTTAAGCAACTTGCATCACAGTTGGAAGGTCCTAGTGATGTTGCCTCTCTAGACTCAGGAATAGATGTTCTGTCCTGCAGGTCTATGCTCCGAGGGCAGAGGGGCAGTGGGGAGAGCAGGGGAGAAGGCCCCAGCCTGATTCTCTGCCCACCATACCCTAGTTTGTTTCATTCAGAACCTCTGATGTCCCTCTGAATAAAATGGGGATGGTAGGGCCTGCCGTGTAGTAGCAGCAGAAATGGTGCCCACAGATCAGTGCCATCCACAGGGTAGCTTGTGTCCTAATTCTGAGATTTAGGGAGAGAAGTAAGGACTTGGATACCTGGTGCAGTAGATAAGGAGGAGCCAGCAATTTTGCATAGTGTGAGGAATGGCTTGATAATAGGAAATACCCGGGGAACTGGGCTGCTGTATTAGTTTCGTTTTCATGCTGCTGATAAAGACATACCCAAGGCCGGGTAATTTATAGAGAAAAAGAGGTTTAATGGACTCACAGTTCCATGTGTCTGGGGAGCCCTCACAATCATGACAGAAGGTGAAAGGCACATCTTACATTGGCAGCAGGCAAGAGAGAGAATGAGAACCAAGTGAATATAAAACCATCAGATCTCGTGAGTATGGGGGAAGCCGCCCCCATCATTCAGTTGTCTCCCACCAGGTTCCTCCCACAACACGTGGGAATTATGGGAACTACAATTCAAGATGAGACTTGGCTGGGGACATAGAGCCAAACCATATCTGCTGCCTTCACAACTGTTCTGAGACAGAGTGCTGGATAGTAACCGTAATCCATGTGCCAAGGAAGGGCCTCCCTAGGCCTAGTGTGGGGAATGCTGTGTCTGACAGCCGTGGGGTTGCCCAGCTGGAGGGTGGGCAGTGGCCAGCTATCCAGATGAGAGAAGCAATGAAAGCTCTATGGAGAGGCTCCACTCTGAGAAGTTTTCACCTTAAGGCTCTCCGTGAAACCTGGTAATGGGGCCGTCCAGGGGCCTGCCACATCAAGGTGCTCACATATGAGTTGAATGGATGGTTGACAATGAGTTTGGGTAAAGCTGTGCTTCCAGTATTAGGGGGAACATTCCTTTTATCTGCAGCAGCCTTGAAGATAAAAGGAGGGAGTGATGGGTGGAGATTGAAGCCGATGTGTTCCTGGGGTCTTAGGGATCTGGGAGTCTAGGGACACAGGTAGGGGAGGGAAAGAGAGGAGAGAGTTGAGAGAAGTTGGCAGGGGAGAGAATGAGGCCCAGCCTGTGCTTGGGCAGATGGACAGGGTACAGGGCAGGATGGAAGGCTCTGGCCAGCGTGCTTGCTAGGAGGCGCTTGGATTGGAAGCAGAGGGACAAGCTGTGGTCTGCCCCTTCTGACCCCAACCTCCCACTGGTGTATCAACTACCTCAGCCTTTGTACAAGGGCCAGATCTGGACAGGATCCTGCACTTGGCACATTGTTGGCTAAAACCAGTTCCTTTCTTCTTTCTTAGTATCCAGCAGAAATCAGGAAGTATGAGTATGACCCAAATTTTGCAATTCGTGGACTTCATTATGATGTACAGCGGGTAGGTTTACTTCTCCTGTTTTTCTATGGTTTAATGATGTTTGGAAATGAAATGTACTGTTGGTACTTTTCTTTACTGAACGGGCAAATTAGTTTTAAATTATGTTATTTGGGACTGCAGAACCAAATTTATTCACATATATTTGGATAGAATCTTCTGGAAGAGACTATGTATTAGAAAAGCATAAATGCATTTAGCTATTTAGGAGGTACTGTTTATTTCTAGTAGTCATTTTGGTGTTTGGAGGAGGAACCAGTTGCCATATCTATTTTTTTCCCCTGTCTTTTGCAGATAGGCCATTTCTTTAAAGAGCTGTACAGCACATTAATTAACAAGCAACCCTTTCAGGAATATACAGTGTGCTTCCTTGTTAGGGCAGCCTAATGTTGATAGGATATATGATGACACCTGGATGGCTCATGTAATATGCAAATAGTCATACATTATTTACATGTGCATATGTTTATGTTTTTAAAGGCAGTATTAATGAAGATCGATGCTTTTCATTATATCCAGCTGGGAACTGTCTACAGGTAAGAGTAAGAGGAGATACATTTAATTTACGTGAAGTAACCAGGTGCTTTGGGTTTCAGGACCCTCTGACTGTTTAATGATGAAGAGGGCTGCAGTGTGAATATGATTCATTCATTCACTCACTTACTCAAGAGCATTTGTTGAGGCCTGCTACCATGCCAGGTGCTAAGGGCTTGGTGTGCCTTGATGTCCTCAAGGAGCTCAGAGTGTGGGTGGGAAGTCATGTAAGTAAACTTGACTGCAGTTCAGAGTGACAGAGGTGATGATAGAAATGTGCTCAGAGGTCGGGAGCAGTCTGGAGGACTGGAGGAAGGACTGGTTTTCCAGAGATGCTGGCTGGCAAGCTGAGGGAGGGTCCTGATGAGGAGACTTGGAGCAGGAGGGCTATGGGGGTGAGGGTATAGGGTTCTCCTTCCCACCATGGTATTTGGGTGGTTTGGATATTGAGACTTTTTTTTTTTTTTTTTTTTTTTTTGAGGTGGAGTCTCGCTGTGATGCCCAGGCTGCAGTGCAATGGCACAATCTAGGCTCACTGCAGCCTCTGCCTCCCAGATTCAAGTGATTCTCCTGCCTCAGCCTCCCGATTAGCTGGGACTACAGGCACATGCCACCATGCCTGGCTAATTTTTATATTTTTAGTAGAGACAGGGTTTCACCATATTAGCCAGGCTGGTCTTGAACTCCTGACCTCAAGTGATCTGCCTGCCTCAGGCTTCCAAAGTGCTGGGATTACAGGCATGAGTCACCACGCCCGGGCGTCTTTGTAACTTTTAAAATGGAGAACTTGGCCTTTTTTTATTCTCCAATTTGGGAGGGGATTTAGGAGTGTGATTTGTATTTAGGTGCACAGCTTATACTTAAAAGTATGTCTTAGCTTACATTCTTCTCTCACAAACTTTGTTAAAATTAATGCTTGTTTATTTTTAAAATCAAAGTGAAACATGGATAGAGTCACACAGTCAAACAGGATTAAAGATGTCACAGGGGTCAGCAGTAATCTTCTGTGCTCCCCTCTGCCCCTAAAACCTTTAAAGTCTTTAGATTTTTTAAGTAATGTGCTCATTCTTCTATTTCCTAATTTATTAATTCTGGATATTGTCCCTGCTGTGGTAGATAAGGACTTAGCTTTCTGGCACCTCCTCCCACTTCTCCAGTCTCATTCCTCTCATCTCATTCAGATCTCAGTTTTTGGTGGTTGTACTGGTCACTGTTTACATTATGACTCAGAAGGTCTTGCCTGGTTCACTCTTTTTTTTTTTTTTTGTTATTGAGATGGAGTCTCCCTCTTGTTGCCCAGGCTGGAGTGCAGTGGCGAGATCTCGGCTCACTGCAACCTCTGCCTCCCAGGTTCAAGTGATTCTCCTGCTTTAGCCTCCCAAAGAGCTGGGATTACAGGCATGTGCCGCCACGCCCGGCTAGTTTTGTATTTTTAAAAGAGACAGGGTTTCACCATGTTGGCCAGGCTGGTCTTGAACTCCTGATTTCAGGTGATCTGCCCGCCTCAGTCTCCCAAAGTGCTGGGATTATAGGCGTGAGCCACTGCATCCAGCTGGGTCACTCTTAAGCCAGGTAGTGCCGTGCGATTATTTTCTTTCTTGTACAATATTTTGTTTTTCTTAGATTTTAACAATAATCTCAGTTTTTGTTTGCCTAGTTTTCTGTGTAGGTATCTCTGATTTTTTCCAAATAGTCCATTACAAATGTTAGGCATGTATTTATTTTCCAATAATTCAAATGTTTTCAATAATTTGTCACTTTTTAAAAAAAAAATTGACTCTCCCCTCCTGGTCTGATCTGGTTTGGTTGCTTGTCTTGGGACTTCCCTTTGCTACTTTCCCTGTTTCAAATTCCCTTCTCTTCCTCTCTCTGGCTTTACTCCCTCACTTTGCTTGAGTATATCCTCCAGTAGCCTCCTGGTGCCTCCTTGTGCTGAGCCTTTCTGCAGCTTGTGGTGGGGAATCAGTTCTTGTCATGGGTATACCCCTTGCAGGCCTCTGTTATCAGTGTTAAGTCAAGATACCTTCTTTGCATCCAGTGTTTGTCTTCCAGTGTCTTGTGGAAATGTCTTGTCTATTGATGTCTTTGCTCTCATTTCCTTTGACTGTTTTTACTGTCACTTTAATAGTGTTTCAGGATGGAGAGGAGGTGGTGGTGATGATGGTAATAATATTACTAATAGCGACTAGCAAATATTGAGTCTTGCTATGGGACAGGCACTGTTATAAGGGTTTTGTTTAACTCATTCAATCCTCAAAATAACTATATGAAGTAGGTACTATTATTAGTGCCAGAGGTGTTAAGTAACTTGCCCAAGGTCACACAGCAAATAATTGCCTGGGCTAGAATTCAGACCCAGGCAGCCTGGGTCCAGAGTCTGTGCTCTTGGCCACCATGCTGTGTGGCCTTTCTTAAGGTACAAGGGATAGTTGGAGTCCCTCAACACATTTTTTTGGGGGGGGGGTGGTAATGAATGAATCTATTTTAGTATGGACAATTACAAATAATCTTTCCAGCAAGATCACATCTTGCTGTGAAACATGGATGGAGCTGGAGGCCATTATCCTTAGCAAGCTAACGCAGGAACAGGAAGCCAAATACTGCATGTTCTCACAAGTGGAAGCTAAATGATGGGGACTCATGGACATATAGAGGTGAACAATAGACTCTGGGATCTACTGGAGGGTGGAGGGTGGGAGAAGGGAGAGGATCAGGAAAAATAACTAATGGATAGGGTACTAGGGCTTAGTACATGGGTAATGAAATATCTACAACAAACCCCCATGACATGAATTTACCTATATAACAAACCTGCACATGTACCCCTGAACCTAAAAGTTAAAACAAAAAACTTTTCATGTATTTTGTAAGTAACATGTATATTAAATATAATTAATACATTTTTGTGCACATGTCTCATTTTCTTAGGATAAGTGAAATTGCCAGGTGAATGTTGTTCATTCATTTTAAGGCTTTTGAAATGGCTCAGTTTACCTCCAGATTGTACCATTCCCAACAGACTTACTTTTAACTTATATTTTAAAGTTGTTGCTACATTTAACATATTACAATTTTTAGTTTTTCTTTCTCTAAACCTCTTAAATGAGCATTCATTTGTTCCCCTACTCATAGCTCCTAATGTTTTCCCAGAATTATTGTTGCAGTGGTGAGGGTGGGGGAGAGAACGAAGAAGGCAAGGTTATGCATGTTTATGAGAATCCTCACCAGGTCTCTCTATTCTGTCTCTCCATCTCTGTTTCTGCTGTTGGCCCCCTCCATAGACACTTACCCCTTCTCTCCTGGGTTCTTGGGGTTTGCTGCAGGGCACTCCATCCTGGACATTCTTGCCAGACTGATTCCCTAAATCATTACTCCCAATAATCCCCTCCTCTGAATGCCTGGATGGCTCCCTGCTCTCTACAGAATAAAGGCTAAGCCATATGCTTAGGCTTAGGTTTGAGATTTTTATCAACCTGCTTTAAACTCTTCGCTTCCTCTTCTTCCATACACAGCTCCTTGACTTACTAGATTGGTCAAGACTCTTGGTTGAAAGTGACTGAAACTCAAACTGGCTCAGAAACTAATGGTACAGTCCACAGACAGAGTGAGCTTGCAGGTGTGGCTGGCTCCAGGGGCCAAATTGCTATTGTCAGAACTCTTTCCAGCTCTTGGCCTTCCTCTCTGGCTTGGCTCACTCTCAGGCAAGCCCCTCCTTGGTGACCCCTGGCACTACCAAGCCCACATCCCCCCAGCTCCAGGTCAAGAAGAACAGAGGAGCTTTGTTTCTCCACATTCCACTGGAGTCTCAGGACTGAATCTCATCAGAATGACTTGAGTCATGTGTTTGGTCTTGAACCATTATGATGAAGAGAGACAGGATTCCGGGCAGGCAAAGACAGCACAGGGATTCTTTTCCCTTGACATCTTCTTTCTTGCCACCTGGCATTTGCTCCTGCTGGTGTTCTGCCAGCGTGCAGTTTTCCTTCCTCTCTGCTTCTTGAAATCCTACCCACCCTCCATGGCCAACTTGTGGTGAGTCCTCTGCTCACCCTCTCAGCCTGAAATGCTTTCTCCTCTTTCTTCTCCTGGGGTTCACAGGAGAAGAATTGCCTTGTTTCTTGTATATACACTGTCCATTGTGTCAAGGAGTATGGACAGTGTATGAGGCATTCAGGGAGAAGGAGCGTTCAGAATGAGGCTGTAGGGAAGTTCACTGTTGCATCGCTGCTGAGAAGGGTGTTGAGGTGAGCTGGACTCTGGAGGGAGTGTGTGGACTCGAGTCACTCACGCTTCCTGGGTGCGAACCCCAGCTCCATGGCTCACACGTGTGTGGTCTTGAGCAATCTCTGGACCCTCTGAAAGCCTTGGTTTCCTCCTGTAAAGCAGGCATGATTCCAGTGCCTGCCTAAGGGGCAGCTGGTGAAGATGAAGCATACCTGCACAGGGCCCAGAATATAGGGTGGTGCTGCTGGGCTTCGTGCCTCACATCACGGGGTTTAGTCCACTGAGCCTTGCGTGTGGCCATTTCCATTCTTAGCACCACTCAGAGAAGAGTATTACAGGGCAGGAGGATGTCTGATGGAGACAAAAACAGCCTTTCTCTGCCCTAATGTGTTAAATACATTTAAAAAAAATGCCAGCCTGTCTGGGCACTGTGGCTCGTGCCTGTAATCCCAGCACTTTGGGAGGCTGAGGCAGGTAGATCACGAGGTCAGGAGATCAAGACCATCCTGGCTAACATGGTGAAACCCCGTCTCTCCTAAAAATGCAAAAATTAGCCGGGCGTGGTGGTGGGTGCCTGTAGTCCCAGCTACTCGGGAGGCTGAGGCAGGAGAATGGCGTGAACCTGGGAGGTGGAGCTTGCAGTGAGCTGAGATCGTGACACTGCACTCCAGCCTGGGCGACAGAGCAAGACTCCGTCTCAAAAAAAAAAAAAAAAAAAAAAAAAAAAGCCCACCCCAAAGCAAGTCATTAGGAAGTCTTGTACCTTAGTGGTTTAATTAAGATCCTGGGCATGCAGAAATGTCACTTTTCTTCTCTTTCACACCAGAAGGGGCCATGAATGAGAGAAGGTGGGAAGAAAGTGTCCCTTTCTAAGGGACGCTTTGTTTCTAAGCAAAGTGTCTCAGCCTAGTTTGTTTCTAAGCCCTGATGCAGGTCCCCAGTCCCTACACCAGGGTGAATTTTATGATGTTTGGCCCACAGGAGTGAGTGCTGCCAGCTGGGGAAGTGGAGGGGGGTTCCGTACTGCAGCCTCATTTTTGTACCTATAGTTTAAGTTTTTACTAGGAACCTTGTGAAAAGCTGGGGTGGTTCCTTTCACAGCCACACTAGTGAAGCCTCTCTATAGTGCTTACATAGACCAACTGTTCTATACGTGGTAGCTCCTGTGATCTTCTCAGTGACATCAGGAAATAGGCACTTTTATAGTTCTCTGCTTTAAGAATGAAGACTTTGAGACCCAAAAGGGATAAATTACTTATCAAGGTAATATCCCTAGTGATGAAGGGAGCGGGAATTGGAAGCCCTGGCAGACTCATTCAGATCTGTGCTCCTAACCTCGTGTTTCTCATGCAGAGCTGGGGAAAAGGAGCTTCCACTTCGATTTCAACGCTGGTTGAGGCTGCATTCAGATGTGGCCGGGCAATCTGCCCATGCCTGCTGCAGTTGTGTTTGGCTCTTCATTCGATGCAGCTGCTTCTTGGGGAATTCAGCTGGCAGATTTCACTGCGTCTTCTGAGCCGCCATTTGGTTGCTTGGCTCTTGTGGATGCAGCCTGGGTGGCTGTGCCTGTGCCTTAGAGGCAGCAGTGGCTTCCAAAGGGCAGGGAAATAACTCTGACCCGGCTGAATCACTTGACTTTTTATATTTTCTCTCCAGTGTTAGAGCCTTAGCAGTGTGGACACATGACTGCTGCTACTCAGCAAGGGCTGATTTCCAAGGTCACTGCCTCGAATGATCTGGCTTAGTGCCAGTGTCTTATCTTATTTCTGGAGCAAAGATAAAGGGAGTCCGGTGTTTCTGTTTTTTCAAAGGCCAGTAGTTGTAACAGGTTAATCAAGATGAGAGGCAAAATATTAATGAATCCACTCAGATAACTTTTTAAAGTAATGTGGGTGATGGAGACGGGAGGAAAGAGGTTGAAGTGATCTTTTTGTTAACGTTACATATCAAAACATAAATGATATCGTACATAGGTTTTACTGTGGACCATGTGGTTTTGTATGCTAAGCAACCTGTTGTGTTAGTAACTGAAATTCTTCTTGAATTATTTATACTCCTGTTGTAGCACAGCGTGACATTTCCTGTACTATTCAGTCTGTTGTTTCGTAATCATTGGTGTCTATTTCTCAAGCACTTTCTCCTCCACAGGAGGGGTGGAGGAGCAGGTGTTTCCCCTCCTGACGCTTGAGAGTGGATGAGTCCAGGTGAATAGGTGAAGGCACCTGCTGTAGTCACTGGTGGCAGAAGCAGGAGTGAAATCCTGGCCACTGACTTCACAAATCTTTTTTTTTTTTTGGTATGTGGAGGAGGTGGATTCATTTGCAGATTCCAGAGGCAGGCAGATGGTAGATGAGGAAACTGGCCTTCAGTGTCACAAAGCATTCAGGGTCATTTCCTCTCCAAGGTGGTGGTGCCACAGGGCTTCCTGCCTCATGTCACGGGGTTTAGTCCACTGAGCGTTGGGTGTGGCAATTCCCATTCTCAGCACCTGTATTAGTCTGTTCTCACATACCCGAGACTGGGTAATTTATAAAGAAAAAGAGGCTTAATGGACTCATAGTTCCACATAGCGGGGGAGGCCTCACAATCATGGCAGAAGGCGAAAGGCATGCTTTACATGGTGGCAGGCAAGAGAGTATGAGAGCCAAGTGAAAGGGGAAACTCCTAATAAAATCATCAGATTTCGTGAGACTTATTCACTGCCATGAGAATAGCATGGGGGAAACAGCTCCGGTGATTCAGTGTTCTCCCACCAGGTCCCTCCCACAATCTGGGAATTATAGGAGCTACAATTCAAGATGAGATTTAGGTGGGGACGCAGCCAAACCAAGTCAGCCCCTATCTCAGGCTAGAGTATTGGAGGGCAGGAGGATGTCTGATGGAGACAAAAACAATCTTTCTCTGCCCTAATGTATTAAATACATTAAAACAAAAGCCAGCCCACCCCAAAGCAAGTCATTAGGAAGCCTTGTGCTTTAGTGGTGTGAGAGCCTGGACCATAGAGCCAGAAAGCCTGGGTTCTAATCTTGACCTACCACTTCCTACTTTGGTGTGCTTGAACAGGTACATGACCTTTCTTTGCTTCAGTTACCTCAGCTGGAAATGGGAAGAATAATGGTGCCTCCCTCCTAGGATTGTTGAGAATTACAGGAATGACTAGGTGTAATTCATATCTGGCCTATAGTACATGCCATGTAATATTAACTATTATTATTCCTGCTCTTGTTACCAATAGAACAGTAGTAGTAGTAAACATAGTAGCATCTTACCTGATATTTGTGGCATTTACTTGTGGCACATTTTGCCTCGTCATGATGACAGTGCCTTGCACCTCAATTGAAAAATCCCAGCACTGCACAGGGGTGTGAAAATCATTGGTTTCTCTAGTTGAGCTCTTTAACTGCACCATCTGGTTTTTCCAGAGGCCTCAGTGTTGTCCCTGATGAAGAAGTCATTGAAATGTACGAGGGGTCCCACGTGCCCTTGGAGCAGATGAGTGACTTTTACGGAAAGGTAATGAGAAGCACTTTATTCATTTAAAGCAGCCTTTTTCCTTCTTGAAACATGGCCTTGTCGAACTTACCTACTGCTTATATGGAATTGACAGGGAAATTTGAGATTGTGTGTTGAGAGAGACTAGCGTTTGAAGGGGACACCCCCAGATTCTTTCATGATTCTCCTTTCTGAAGCACTTCCTCCCCACCTGATGAAGGCTCTTTTCACCTCCCACATACCTACCCCATTTGCCACCCCATCTCCAGGAATGTCCCTAGTTTCTGGAGTGGGGCTCCAGAACAGATTGGGGCTGTCGGTGTGACAGCTACTGCTTCCCCTGACGAATGGCTGTGAAATGCCAGAGTTGATGGCTACACAGCCACCCTTTTTACCTTCAGGGAAACCTCTGCTTTTCTATCTTTTGTGGTTCTCTTTCCACTCAGAATTTTTGCTTCTTGTCTTACTAGATGCACTCACTTACTTGCTTTGTCAAAATGAAATGGACGATGCTCGGTCAGCTAGTAAACTTAGTACAGACAGCCCCTGACTTACAATGATTCTACTTAGAATTTTTTGACTTTACAATGGTGTAAAACCATCGCAATTTCAACATAAATTACAGTATTCAATAAATTATATGAGACACTCAACACCTTATTATAAAACAGGCTTTGCATAGGCTAATATAAATGTTCTGAGAATGCTTAAGATAGGCTAGGCTGAGCCATGATGTTTGGTAGGTTAGATGTATAAATGCATCTTTTACAGTGGGTTTATCAGAATGTAACCCCATCATAAGTTGAGAATCTATAGTGTAAATCGCAAGTATTCAGAGAAGGGCTCTTTTTTAAGCTCAAATGTGGGCCGTGAGGTTCGTGCTCCAGTTCAGGAGAATTACATGAGTTTTAATGTCATTATGGGCAATAATTTGTTTGCTGGCTTTCCTCTGTGTTTCCTGAGTGTGAACCGGAAATGGGAGTGAGCACAGGAGAAATTGGGAGGGGAAGGGTGATTAGACTCTGGGGGAAATCAGGGCATTTCTTTTGATATCCTAGTTATACTTAGAGTGAGACATCAGCTCTGCTGTGAATGATAAGGAACAAGGGGAACATTTTACTTTTTTTTTTTTTTTTTAAGGCAGAGTTTTGCTCTTGTTGTCCAGGCTGGTGTGCAGTGGCGCCATCTCCGCTCATTGCAACCTCCACCTCTTGGGTTCAAGCGATTCTCCTGCCTCAGCCTCCTGAGTAGCTGGGATTCAGGCACCCACCACCATGCCCAGCAAATTTTTGTATTTTTTAGTAGAGACGGGGTTTCACGATGTTGTCCAGGCTGATCTTGAACTCCTGACCTCAGCTGATCCACCTGCCTTGGCCTCCCAAAGTGCTGGGATTACAGGCTTGAGCCACCACGCTCAGCCCATTGTCCTTTTTTATTATTAGAACTTTCCTTTTTTGTGTTGATGATGGGATCTCGTTTAGTCACGGAAAAGGCTTCCTGCTGTTCCTGGTGCTTCGTGGCTCTGTCCCTTGCGTGGGCCCCTGTTTCTAAAGCATTCCTTCCACCCTGTCTGCAGAGCTCTCATGGAAACACGATGAAGCAGTTCATGGACATCTTCTCCCTGCCCGAGATGACCCTCCTGTCCTGCGTGAATGAATACTTCCTCAAGAACAACATCGACTATGAGCCTGTGCATCTGTACAAAGATGTCAAGGTTGTATCCACAGTGAGAGATTACAGTGCTGAGTCTGTTTCAGCCTTTTCAGTGGGAGTCACAGAGTCTTGAACCTCCTTTCTAGGTTAGGTGTTTTAAATAGTCTCTTAGCTGGGAACTCTTATATGTGGTTTAACCTTGAACATTACAAGAAAGATGTTGTTACATCAGGAGAATTGGAAATCAGTCAAAAGTTTTGTTAAAACGAGATGGTGCTGACACTGTTATCTCAATTTTTGATCCTTTCTGACCAGAAGGCCAAGGCCAGGGCCGGTGCACTTGGCCAAAGGGATGATGGGGATGGAAGTCCAGCCTGTACCTACTCACCCATGAGTCTGCCCGAGCAAGGGTGCCTCTTCTTTTTTTTTTGAACAGAGTCTTGCTCTGTCACTCAGGCTGGAGTGCAGTGGCGTGATCTTGGCTCACTGCAACCTCTGCCTCCCGGGCCTCCCGGGTTCAAGTGATTCTCCTGCCTCAGCCTCCCAAGTAGCTGGGATTACAGGCGCCTGCCACCACGCCTGGCTAATTTTTGTATTTTTAATAGAGACGAGGTTTCACCATGTTGGCCAGGCTAGTCTCCAACTCCTAACCTCAAGTGATCCTCCCACCTCAGCCTCCCAAAGTACTGGGATTAAAGGCTTGAGCCACCACGCCCGGCCAGGGTGCCTCTTCGTCACATGGGTTACATTCAAGCTCCTGGCTGGGGGGCCTGTGCCACTGTAGTTGCCCAGAAGGGATGCCTTTTTCCTTTGCCTACAAAGGTTCCATGTGGCTCTCTAAAGTCCTGCAAAAGTCATGCAAGAATCCAGTTGGGGGACGGGGGATGTAGACAAATGTAAATGTTTACGTGAGCATATACAAAGTCCTCACTTACTGTTGCCCATAGGATCTTGGCATCCGTGACTTTAAGTGAAACCGTGTGCAACAGGTCCTTGAATAACGCCAATTTATTCGATGTCATTTTAGTTTTGACAAGGAAAAAAATTGATTTTGCTTTATGTCGTTTCACATAGAGTTGCAGTTTCTAAGAACCTACTGAAGATGTTAAGGACTTACTGTACAAATCATTTGTATTTATAAATTTATGTATTTTATGGTCACATGTTTATATATTTATATATGTTCTTTAAGCTGTATGAACTTTTTAGTACTAAAAAAGTTTATATTATTTTGTATGTATTTACATAGTTATAACATATTTATAAAAATATGTGTTTATTTAAATATATTTTTTAAAGATACATATTTACACATTAAAATATTTTTGTTATATATTTATAAGTAAATGTAAGTTTTGGCAGCGTGAATCCTGGGTTTTAGGAAGATAGAGGATAAATTATAGTTTCTCAATATCAGTGTGGTATTATCCAAATTGAATTTAGGTATTTAGTTTCTGTTCTCTTTTTTGTGTATACACTTTGTCTTTAAAAATCTGTAAGAATCACTTGTAGCAGCCTTGTGCATTCATAAGGCGAGATGTTGATTTGAAAGCTCAGTTTTTACTGCAAGTGTTGCTACCACCAAGAGCAAATACTTGTGTAGAGCTTAGTAGGTCCTAGGCACTGTTCTTATGAGTGCTTTAGGCATGTTAACTTACTAAATCTTCATAATAATATAAGGTAGGCACTATTCTTACCATTTTACAAATAAGGACATCGAGGCACAGTGAGGTTGAGTTGCTTGCCCAAGGTCACACAGCTGGTAAATAGCAGAGCCTTGATTTTAAGCCAGGCAGTCTGACTTGCATTTAACTGCTGCCTTCTGCTGCTGGTGTGAAATTGAATCAGGCTTGTGCTGAAAGGTAATTGAGGTTGAGATTGCAGTCCAGAAGTGCTCACTCTTAACAGAAATCTCCCAGCAACAGTCTAAGGCTTAGACACAATTTTGCCTGCAGCCCTGTCTCCTGCTACTGGCTCTAGAAAGTTTCCATAGGCCTCTAGGAATGTCACCACGTAGAGGCCCTGTGCAGTGTCACCTGCCAGTGGGACCCTGTTTTGACACCTGCCAGCTATCATGCTGCCATACTCCTGAACCCACAAAGGGTTTAACCACCTCCTCTTCCTCTCCCTGGACCACATCTCTGCCTGAGCTACAATCTCATTGCCAGTTCGTTGCCCTGCTGGTGGTACCAAAGAGAGAAGGAGGAACTTGTAAGCTATTTGTCTCTGCCTCTCATTCTGTGTTATAGAATTTGCCGTTGGGGTCTAGGGACAGAAAGGGCACAAAGATAAAAGAGCAATAACTCCCTTTGTCCAGATGGCCAGGGATCATTTGTTCACAGTACTGGATATAAATTACTGTCTATCATGTGGGACTTTATTCAGAATTATTCACAGAAATTACCTCTTCCAAGCACTCTTTTGAAAATTGCATTGGAAATTGCCACCATCACCATGGAAACTTTGGCTTTCACAAGGGGCTGCCTATGAAAATGGACCAGAATTGGCTGGGTGTGGTGGCTCATGCCTGCAATCCCAGCACTTTGGGCGGCTGAGGCAGGTGGATTACTTGAGGCCAGGAGTTGGAGACCAGCCTGGCCAACATGGTGAAACCCTGTCTCTATTAAAAACACAAAAATTAGCCTGATGTGCTGGCGGGCGCCTGTAATCCCAACTACTCTGGAGGCTGAGGCAGAAGAATCACTTGAACCCAGGAGGCAGAGGCTGCATTGAGCTGAGATGGGACCACTGCACTTCAGCCTGGGTGATATAACAAGACTCTGTCTCAAAAAAAAAAAAAAAAGAAGAAGAAAATGGACCAGAATTTAGATTTTGTGTAGGGCCTGGATTGTCAGACTTTCTAGGGACAGAAGTTACCATGACTGCCATTTCACTTGTACTGTTACTCAGGCTATCTCAGTTGTATTTTCGCTGATTAAAAATGTATCTTTTGGCAGGATTCAATTCGAGACGTCCACATCAAAGGAATAATGTACAGAGCAATTGAAGCAGACATTGGTATGTGCTCAGCAGTATCACGAAGAGAGTTTCAGCCTTTCTGTTTCTTTTGCAACCATGCCGGCATTTTACTTTGCATTCCAGGTGCTAAGCAGAGGCTGCATGAGTGCTCTGTAAGGACCTGGCATCCTGGCATGTTAGCCGTCTCCTCTTTGTCCTGGAACTTGACATAATTCTGACTTAAAAGGAGAGGCACTGGCAGCTATAGCCACTTAGTTGTTTCCACTTAGACCGAGGAGGCAGGGTCTTTGTGAATGATGCACCAGATGTACCCGTGTTCCACCGGACAAAGCTTCTTCCTTAGGGCCTTTATTCCCTTTCCTGTGCCTAGGACAGTGCTGGACCCAAACCCCCATTTAGAAAGTACTTGCAGATTGACAAATATCATGCTGAATCTGTGTGTGAATTTTTCTCTTGCTCTTAGAAAAGTACATCTGCTATGCTGAGCAGACCCGCGCAGTGTTGGCCAAACTGGCTGATCATGGCAAGAAGATGTTTCTCATCACCAATAGCCCCAGTAGCTTTGTGTAAGTTGCTCTGTGTTTCATTGCTAGCTTCTGGCACACTCCTTGTATCCCATTTGTTTTAGCAGCTGGAAATTGGAAAGAAAAAGTTACAGACACAGTTAATCTCTTTAATGTTAGACTAACCTGGCTGACTTGTTGCCCTAGGGACAAAGGGATGAGTTATATCGTTGGGAAAGACTGGAGGGACCTGTTCGATGTGGTCATTGTTCAGGCTGAGAAGCCAAACTTCTTTAATGATAAGCGGAGGTGAGTGTTTATTTTTCTAGGGGACTAGATTTTATTCCTTTGCTGCTGTGAATATATAGATGGTGTGTCTTGGTAAAATCCAGTTGCAAAATCATAAGCATGTGAGATTATAGCTTTTGAATTTTAACCCTTCTAGCAAGTAATCATGAGGAGAGTGACATGAGCACGTAACAGACAGTTTGCATGCATTGAAAGGGTTCTCAGTTCAACTTGAGCTACTTCAGACCCATGAGGTAGGCTTGAAGAAAATGATTGGCAGTGATGAGAAAGCCAAACTTATTATCACGTAGTAAATTAGATCTTTAGATGCAGACACATTGTGAAGCATCAGAAAACAACAGCAGCAACAAAACTGCCTGTTGGGTAGCTCTGTAAATAGAGCTCTCATTAGTGTGTTTAAAATTGCAGTTGGATTTTGCAGAGCTGCTCTGCAACACAGGTTTTGCATCACGTGCAGTAAATCTCTATTACGTCTTAATATCTTCCTGCCACTGTAGCCGTGGGAATGGGGAAGCAGGTAAGTTTTAGGTTGTGACAGGGACAGAGTGTGCTGTTAGTATTTAGTGGGTAGGGATCAGGGAACGCTAAAATATCTTTTAACTTGTGGGACAGGCCTGTTCACCAAGAGCTGTTCTCCACAAATTCCCACAGTGTTGAGAATCACTGCACTAGGGTTCTAAAAAAATTACTTGTATTTGTATAATAATGGGCAAGTTTTGAAACACTTTTACCCCCATGTTTATTCTGCAGCTGGTAAGCAGGTAGTCTGTTCCTCTCTGTTAGGTGATTTGAAGCATCAGGGTGTGGTGCCCTGCAGTTAATGCTTTAAATTCCTCTTGTCCCAGTTTTCCACGTGTCACAGTGACTCCAGGAAGAAGAGGCAAACCAAGAACCATGTGCAGGGACTCAAAAATGCTTGGTGGGACTCAAGAAAATGAGTGTGATGAAAAACAGCTATAAACTGTGGCTTGCTGCTTTGTTACTATTTTGTCCCACTGACTGGCGGCTGGAGTCATCCCAAAGACAGTGGCAAGGGAGTTCCTACATGGGAGAGCCGCAAACCGTCCCATGATGGGGCTGGTTGGGATTCCAAAGAAAGAAGCACTAAACTCTGGGGTGATCAGTGCAAAGCGCTTATTAGAGGAACCGACTTACAGAGTGGGCTGCTGTGCATCCTATGGCACAGGGTCCCCAACCTTTTTGGCACCAGGGGCCGGTTTCATGGACGACAATTTTTCCAGCAGGTTTGTGGGGGTAGGGTGATGGTGTCAGGATGAAACTGTTCTACCTGAGATCATCAGGCATTAGATTCTCATAAGGAGCACACAACTTAGATCCCTTGCTTGTGCAGCTCACGATAGGGTTCCGCTCCTTTGAGAATCTAATGCCACCACTGATTTGCCAGGAGTTGGAGCTCAGGCGGTAATGCTCTCTCACCCACTGGACGCTCGCCTCCTGCTGTGCGGCCCGGTTCCTAACAGACCTTGGACTGGTTTTGGTCTGTGGTCCGCGGCCCAGGGTTTGGGGACCCCTGCTCTGGCAGACAGGAGAGAAAGGGATGTTCTACCTAGGTGTGTCCACCAGGAGTGGGTCAGGATGTGGAGTTTATTGAGGGTTTAAGGAATTTGGCTCCAGGCCAGGGCTGGTTTCTTCCAGTGTCTTGGGGAGTATCATAAAAACCTTTATCGGTGTCTGGGAGTTTTGAAGCATGCAGAGGAAAACATGCACCTAGCTGGGTCAGAGTGGTCAAAGGCACTCCTGTCCTAGAGGAAGAAGTGGGGGAGGTTGGGGGCCCTACAGTAGCTGATATGATGCCCTCACCATTTTCTTAGTGGATTCTGGGGTGTGGTCAGGAGAAGGGCCCTGTCTCTCTTTTCACCAGAGAGCTCCTCTGCTTTGTTATGTTTATAAAAAGTGAGGGGGCAGGGTCCTGGACTCGTTTCCCTGGATGGCGCAGGCAGGGTGTCTCAGCCCTCTCCCCCAAACATCTATTTTGTCTTTGTTCTTGAAGCCTAGGGTAAGAGCTGAATAATTCTCCATCTGTATTCATCCTTGTGTTATTCATAATAATGAGAGGTCAGAAACAACCTAACAGCCCTACAGTAGGAGATGCCTAGTTAAATTTGGAATAGCCATGTGAGGGGGTATTATGCAGTCATTAAAAATGATGTACTTGGCCGGGTGCGGTGGCTCACGCCTATAATCCCAGCACTTTGGGAGGCTGAGGCGGGCGGATCACAAGGTCAGGAGATGGAGACCATCCTGGCTAACATGGTGAAACCCCCTCTCTACTAAAAATACAAAAAATTAGCCCGGCATGGTGGTGGGCGCTTGTAGTCCCAGCTACTCGGGAGGGTGAGGCAGGAGAATGGCGTGAACCTGGGAGGCAGAGCCGAGGTCATGCCACTGCACTCCAGCCTGGGCGACAGAGTGAGACTCCATCTCAAAAAAAAAAAAAAAAAAAAAAAAGATGTACTTGGGCCGGGGTGCCGTGGCTCACACCTATAATCCCAGCACTTTGGGAGGCTGAAGCCAGAGGATTGCTTGAGCCCAGGAGTTTGAGACCACCCTGGGCTACATAGGGAGACTGTCTCTACAAATAATTAAAAAATTAGTTGGTCACACCTGTAGTCCCAGCACTTTGGGAGACTGAGGTGGGCAGATCACCTGAGGTCAGGAGTTCAACATGGTGAAATCCCATTTCTACTAAAAATACAAAAATTAGCCAGTCATGGTGGCATGCAACTGTAATCCCAGCTACTCAGTAGGCTGAGGCAGGAGAGTCACTTGAACCCAGGAGGCAGAGCTTGCAGTGAGCCAAGGTTGCACCACTGCACTCCAGCCTGGGCGACAGAGTGGGACTCTCTCTCAAAAAAATAAAATAAAATAAAATAAACTAGGTATGGCAGTGCATGCTTGCAGTCCCAGCTATTTGAGAGACTGAGGTGGGAGTGTCACCTGAACCCAGGAGGTCAAGACTGTAGTGAGCCGCGATTGTGCCATTGCACTTCATCCTGGGGAACAGAGTGAGACCCTTTCTCCAAAAAAACCAAAAATGTATTTGGGAAAAAAAAAAGATGATGTTGTATTACTGTAAAACATGATGTATTTAAGAAGATGTAATCACTTGGGAAATTGCTCGCAATATTAGAGAAAAAGGATATAAATTAGTGTACACAAAGTGATCCTCATTTTATAGTCATGAAAGAAAGATAAATTTCATAAAAAGACTGAAACACGAACTGAAATGTTAAGTGTACATGGTGGGTCTAGAATTCTGGGTTGCGTACCTTTTTTTCATAGTATTTTTCTGTATTACAATTAGGTAAAAAAATTATTTTTTTAGGGTGACACTTATTTTTACCTTAAGGCAAACAAACTGTGAGTCCTTTGGGCTAACACTGCCAGGGTGAGGCATGAGGCATTATCCTTACTTCCCAATTTCCACCATAAACTAGTGCTTCTGGTCTTCTGATTTGTTTTTTATCTGGAGTGGCTTAATTTCAGGTACAAAGCCAGAAAAATATACTAAGGCAGTATTTCCATAAACTTTTCTTCATAAACAGGTTTTCTGCCTGGTCAAGTAAATCCGGGAAATCTGGGTGAAAGAAAGTTGATTACAGCAGGGCTTTTCAGAGCCATCAATAGCTTTTTAAGAGGGACATGTTTAGTGCATGGTGTTTTCCAAATTTATATGACCCTGGAATTCTTTTTTTTGTTTGTTTTTGTTTTTGTTTTTGAGATGGAGTTTCTCTCTTGTTGCCCAGGCTGAAGTGCAGTGGCACAATCTCCACTCACTGCAAGCTCTGCCTCCTGGGTTCAAGCGATTCTCCTGCCTCAGCCTGTTGAGTAGCTGGGATTACAGGTGCCCGCCACCATGCTCAGCTAATTTTTGTATTTTTAGTAGAGATGGGGTTTCATCATGTTGGCCAGGCTGATCTCGAACTCCTGACCTCAGGTGATTCACCTGCCTTGGCTTCCCAAAGTGCTGGGCTTACAAGAGTGAGCTACTGCGCCCAGCCCCCTGGAATTCTTTTTTTTCGTGGAACACCTTTGGATACTGGGCTTCACACAATTTGGGACGCATTGAATTAGGCCAGGGAATATGATGGTGGAGTTTTGGTTTCGGGTTTTTTTTAGGTTTTTGCAGGGAGCTACTTCCTGTGATAGTGAATAACTGGTATTTCATAGAGCAGACAGCCTGTACTACTCCATGTCATAATGTTTCCCATTTCTGTTGTTAGGCCTTTCCGAAAGATGAATGAGAAAGGTGTCTTACTCTGGGATAAAATCCATAAGTTGCAGAAAGGCCAGATATACAAGCAGGTATCTCATGACCAGCTGATCCTTTTTGTTGCTTTGCTTTGTGGTCGGTAATAATGCTAATAGCTGATGTTCATTGTGGCTTACTGTATGCCTGGCACAGTTCTGAGTGATTCCCATGAACTGATTGATTATAACTTGGTGGTAAACTTAGGTTTAAATCAATATATTTTCAATATATTGCTAGTATCTAACTCAAAATTGAATGTTTTTTTAAAAACAAAATTTAAGGCATGACTTTCATAGTGTGTAACATATAAGATGCCAGTAGTAAACCTTGGAAATTTCTCTTTAAGGAACACTTACTCATGGCATATTATTCACTCAAATTACTAATTATTTTCTGACAATACATGTTTTGTACACAATTTTGTGAGTTTAAAAAAAAATTTATTAAGACAAGGTCTTGCCCTGTTGTCCAGGCTGGAGTGCAGTGGCATGAACATGATTCACTATAGCCTCAACCTCCTGAGTTGAAGTGATCCTTCCATCTCAGCCTCCCAGGTGGCTGGGATCATAGGCATGCACCACCACACCCAGCTAATTTTTAATTTTTATTTTTTGTAGAGACAGGGTCTTGCCATTTTGCCCAAGCTGGTCTTGAACTCTTGGGCTCAAGCAGTCCTCCCACCTTGGCCTCCCAAAGTGCTGGGATTACAGGCATAACCATCACACCTAGCCTGTGCACAGTTCTAATATATTTTGGTGTCATATGAGGCTTTCAAATATTTGAATGAATTATTGCATCGGTGACCATTATTATGTTACTAAAGTTCATTTTTTAAAAATATGAATACATTCTTGGTGGGTATATAACAATCTGATGGATTTGGCAATAAGTGTATTTTCTAGGCCTTGAAAAATTAGCTTTGATAAAGCCATTCTACTTCTAGGAAGTTAGCCTAAGAAAATTATGAAGATAATAGCTAATACAACTTGGCTATGAGAATGTTTATCATGAAGTTGCTTATAAAATAGATAATGTCAGCTGTCCAACATCAGGGAATTGGCGAAAGGAATCATGGTACTTCCCAGCTGCTATCATTACATGGTAGACTATTGACATGGGAAGATGGCCACAGCATGTTAAGTGTGGAAAGATAGTTACAGTGAGGTGTATATAATATAAATCCTTCTTGAACAGTGCATTTGACATAGAAGAAAGATTTCCCATGAAGGTGCTTTTATCTTTATATTTTGATATTTAAAATAAGTTATAAAAACAACAATTTTTAAAAGTTTTATATTTTGTACTGTGGGTTAGACAGATCTCTATCTGTAATAATAATAACTATAGTTTTCTCTGATTACAGGGTAATTTATATGAATTTTTGAAGCTTACTGGATGGAGAGGATCCAGAGTGTTGTATTTTGGTGACCATATATACAGTGACCTGGCGGTGAGGGGCCCTTTTTTCCTTTGTTGGGGGACAGATGTGTTAGTCTCACTTACTAAAGAATGTATCTTTTATTTAAGGATGTACCTTTTATTTAAGAATATATCTTTTATTTAAGGTCATCTTTATGCTTTCATAAAACCTAAAAGTAGGCTGCATTTTTTTAATGTCTTTTTTTTTTTTTTAACAGAACAGGATGGATCAGAGTTGTGAAAAAGATAAATATTTTTTGGAAATGATGGAAATAAGTTCACTCAGAGTTTATCAGAATAATCTTTCCATTTAAATAATAAGAAATAAATGCCATTGTTCTTTTTCCTTTCATCGATGCATCAAAAAACATAAAATCCACCTTTGAAAGTTTGCCACCGTTGGGAATATTTAAAAGAATGTGCTGTAGGTTTTCATGTATTATTAGGAGGAAGAGAAATATTCAAAGGCTTCAAGAAACTGAACCAGTGGGCTGGGCATGGTGGCTCACACCTGTAGTCCTAGCACTTTGGGAGGCCGAGGTGGGTGGATTACTTAAGCTCAGGAGTTTGAGATCAACCTGGGCAGCGTTGTGAAA
The DNA here is from genome assembly GCF_000001405.40 of Homo sapiens. Taxonomy (NCBI): domain Eukaryota; kingdom Metazoa; phylum Chordata; class Mammalia; order Primates; family Hominidae; genus Homo; species Homo sapiens. Next base: position 103,786,875 of record NC_000012.12, on the reverse strand, counting down.
CCCTGTCTCTACTAAAAATACAAAAATTATCTGGGCGTGGTAGCACACGCCTGTAATCCCAGCTACTGGGGAGGCTGAGGCAGGAGAATTGCTTGAACCTGGGAGGTGGAAACTGCAGTGAGCTGAGATCATGCCATTGCACTCTAGCCTAGGCGACAGAGTGAGACCCTGCCTCAAAAAAAAAAAAAAAAAAATCAAACCAGTGAGGAAGGTGGGCATCCTAAGCCCTCTTAGACTCTTGCATAGGACTTAGGATTCTGGCTTTAGCTGAGTAGCCAGACTGAACCTTTAAAACTATAAATCAGCTACCACTTCTTTTAAAACCTGAAAGCCTTTCTTTCTCTCTGAGTAAAAGCCTGAGTTCCTATGGTTGCCCACTGGATTTCCCCTTCCCCAGCCCACCTCTGAAGACATCCTCTGCCTCTGCCCCCTGTTTTGTCTCTTCTAGGTTCCCTGACTTGTTGCTTCTTAACATGCCACCCTCCAGCATGTTCCTGCCCCAGGGCCTTTGCACTTGCTGTTCTTCAGCCAGAATCTTTCTGTTTCCACATATTTTCATACTTTCCCCCACCTTGTCCTTGTATTAGCCTGGTCTTCCTAACTACCCTGTATAAAATGGAAACCTCCTTGCTTCCTCTCCTTATCCTGTTATTCTGCTTGATTTTTGTCCCTTGTACTTATCCCCACCTGCCATTGTGTATTTTACTTATTTATTGTCTGTATTTTCCACGAGGGCTGGGATTTCTCAGTTTTTTTGTGCATTGTTTTATCCTCAGTATTTAGGGCCTGGCAAATAGTAGTGCTTGATAAATATTTGCCAAATAAGAAAATGCACATTTAGTATGATGACTATATGTCTTAGATTTTCCAGGACATAGCTGATACTAGATATTCTGGCCTGTTGTCAAATATGGGGTGACAGCATTTGGAATGGAAAATGTGATCATGCATGCTTATGTTGTATGTGATCATTCCAAATCTGAGATTCCATGGTTCTCCATAACCCAGAGGGCCTGGCACACACAGGTCTGTGGATGAATTGAATGAAGACCTTTGGTAGCATTTAGGTCAAGCCCCTTTCTGCCCCTGACCTCATTTTTTTTTTTTTTTTTTTTTTTTTTTTTACAGACCATGGTTAATGATTCCAGACCTAGTGTTTCTGCAGGGGTTGTGACTCACGGCAATTATTTCCAGAACTGAAACTTTCTTGGAATGAAATGATCAAAGGCTGGGGCCAAATAGGTTTTAATTAAATGTAATTCATTGAATTCAGCTTGGTGAATAACTAACCATTACCATCAAAAAGTAATTAAATGAATGCCTCTCATGTCTGGGAAAATAATGACATAGTTTAGATTCTGTTGAGACTGACGTTGACTTTTCGTGATCTTTGTGATCAGGATTTGACCCTAAAGCATGGCTGGAGGACTGGTGCAATCATCCCAGAGTTGAGATCTGAGCTCAAAATCATGAACACGGAGCAATACATTCAAACCATGACCTGGCTGCAGACCTTGACTGGCTTATTGGAACAGATGCAGGTTTGGATATATTATTTTTCTCTCTCACTTTTTCTTTAAGCCTGAGGTTAGAAAGTTACTTCAGGTATTTTCTGCTTAATTGTTATAAAATATGAGGCTTAAGTTGTTTTCAGTAGACTGTAGAATAACGATTGGGGTTCTTTTGCCTAGACAGTGTTTGTGGGGCCTTTGTTAATGCAGGTGTTTGCTCACATTCCTCTGTCAGTGAAGATCCAGTGTCCTCACTTCCACACTGAAGCCTGCTAGGAGCTCTCCTGTGGGATGCTGGGATTCAGGAAGCCCTGCCAGTGCTTGAGTCTGTGCTGGTTCTGTCTGCACCTGCTACGGTGGGACTTCTCCATTCTGGGCCTCAGTTTCCCCATCTGTGAAATAAAGGGGCCGCTGGAACGAAAACTTCAGTCTAGGCACCATGGCTTACTGGAAAGAGTCTCAAAGCAAGAGTCAAGATCCCTGGGTCCAGCCTCAGTTGATTCTGAGGATAATACCTGCAGTTTGCTGGCTTACTGGAGTTCCCTGGCAGTTACTTCCTTAAGTTAAGTTAGGCAGCCAGTTTTGGCTGGTAAGTGAGGAATGGCAGTTTTATCAGTCGTTTCCTGGCCCATGGAAGCTGCCTCTCTTTTGTAGCTGTATCCCCTTAATTCTCCATGTGCCCCTTTCCTTTCCAGTTCCATGAGGCACCTTGCTTTCTCCCTGGCTCCAGCTTGCCTGGGCTACAGCCGTCTCAGCATGGGTGCTGACATTTTTAGGATCTGGGCACAGGTGCTTGCTCTCTTGGCTAACACACCTGCAACCTGTGGCCACAGCCTATTGCCCATGCCTGCCCTCTGGCTTTGGAAATGGGCAGGGAATTGCCTTGCCTGCCCCAGCTGGCACTCTGCTTGGGAGTGGCTGAGCAGTGAGATCAGGCAGGGCCATGAGTGGCAGGCCAGATTCTGGCTCCAGGTGCATGCATTCCAGAGCATGGGGCCCTGCACGTCCCCCTGGGCCTTGTTTCCAGGATGCACTGGGCTCCATTAGTTCTTGGCTCTTCTCTGATGAGAATCCTCTGATGAGGATTTATTCTGTTTCCCTCGCTATGCTTGTCTGTGAGATGATTTACTAAAAATATACAGTGTCAATTCTGAGTTAGTGTAGTTTAGAGTCTGTGCATGTCATACACTACTAATAGTTACTTTTTATGTGCTGGACACTGTGCTGAGTGCTGGCTCTATACACTTTGCTCATTTAATAGTCACAGCTGTCCCTTGCAGGTAGGTACAATTTTCCCATTTTAGAATAAGGAAACAGTTTTTGAGAGGTTAGGTATCATTCATGTCTGAGGTCATAAAATGGCAGGGCAGGGCTTGAACCAAGTCCCCAAGTCCATGCTTCAGAGCACTGCTCTAATGTGCCTTCCTGTTTAGAGGATTCGGGTATAGGCAAGGCTTGACTCACCCTCAGTGAAATCTCTGTGACCCTGGCAGCTGGTCATAGGTACAAACACAACTGCACGTAGATGGTATCAGTATATTTTAGCTTTGGAAAGAGGTTTTTTTTTTTTTTGGTTTTATTTTGTTTTCCTTTTTCTGACCTGTGTAAAAAGTTGACTACTAAGGAATGTGTGTTTTAGAGAATGGAAGTGCTGAAAATATTTCTGTGGTTTGTAAAATTAATTATATGAGGTGTGGGGTAAGGGAAGGAAGAAAAGGGAGTTGAGGTTTACATAGCTGCCCCCATTTTGCAGGAGAGAAAACTGAGACAGCGAGATAGGTGACTTTTCTAGAATCACAGTTCTCGGTTGGCAGAATCAGGCTATGTAGAAATGTCGTAAGAACTTACCGTGTTCTGGACACTGAGACCTTTAAGTTCATTTCATCTTCACAGAAACTCTTTGAAGTAGTTCTGAAACATCACTGCCATTTTACTGATGAAGACCCTGAGGCGCAGAGGAGATATAACTTGCTCTAGTGAGGGGTGATGCTGGTGTTTACACACAGGCCGACCGACTCTAGACCCTTAACCTCTGTGCACCTATATTGATTGCCTTGGGTTCTGGCACTTTGTACAGAGTTCTGTCAGGTTGGATTCACTAGGATATAGAGGTGTATAGCTGCTAACTAAAAAAACATCCAAATCAGTGTCCTATCTCACTGTCACCCTCTTCCTCAGTGTTCCCTTAGAAAGTTATAAGTTATTCCACTGAGCCTGTGGTAGATGTTTCTAGAACTCCCCCTTGGGGATTATTTTCAGAGCATGTAGCACATTATTTGGACAGTTTTCTGAGGAGAAAAATTGGTCCTCTGAGATTGGGTTTGATTTTTTCAGAGCCAGTAGAGTGTCATTTTTTTGTTTGTTTGTTTGTTTGTTTTTGAGATGGAGTCTTGCTCTGTCGCCCAGGCTGGAGTGCAGTGGCGCGATCTTGGCTCACTGCAGCCTTCACCTCCCAGGTTCAAGCAGTTCTCCTCTCTCAGCCTCCCAAGTAGCTGGGACTACAGGCTTGTGCCACCACGCCCAGCTAATTTTGTATTTTTAGTAGAGATGGGGTTTCACCATGTTAGCCAGGCTGGTCTCAAACTCCTGACCTCACAGAGTGTCATTTGGAGCCGAGTCTCATGAATGAAATAGAAGTATATAAATTTTGGTTGTAATTTCATTAGTTAGCCTTGAAGTGCATTCCAAAATGGCTGTGGTTCATGGTGGTGGTGCTGGCATTGGTAGCCGCTTCTCAGGTAACCAACCAGTCAGAGGCCACATTTAGACCACAGGTCAGCAAGCTTCTGCAAAGGGCCACATGGTAAATATTTTAGGCTGTGCAGGCTGTAGGCTCTGTTGCAGCTACCCACCTCTGCACTTGTAGCACAAAAGCAGCCGTGGACAGTATGTGAATGAATGGTTGTAGCTGTGTCCCAATAAACTTTATTGGTGGACACTGAAATTTGACTTTCATGTAATTTTTACATGTTAGGAAATTCTTCTCTTTTTTTTCTTTTGAGGCAGTCTCACTCTGTTGCCCAGGCTGGAGTGCAGTGGCATGATCTCAGCTCACTGCAGCCTCTGCCTCCCAGGCTCAAGTGATTCTCATGCCTACCCTCCTGAGTAGCTAGGATTACAGGTGTGCACCAGCATGCCCAGCTAATTTTTGTATTTTTGAAGAGACTGGGTTTCACCATGTTGGCCGGGCTGGTCTCGAACTCCTGGCCTCAAGTGATCCACCTGCCTTGGCCTCCCAAAATGCTGGGATTATAGGCGTGAGCTACCACGCCCAGCCTGTCATGAAATTATTCTTCTTTTGAGTTTTTTTTCCCCCAACCATTGAAAAAGAAAAACCCATTTGTAAGCTTATAGGCTGATAGAAAAATGGGCCGGTGGCTGGACTGATGTAGGCTATTGCACTGGCTAGATTGTAATATCTTTCTCAAACAAGGGCAAAGATATGTAGCCAATCTGTTTTGCCCCTAAAGAGCTGATTATGCCCATGAACAACCACTGGAGATGGAGATGGCTGAAGTGCCTGTAGGATCAGTTCTCTGTGGGGCTTCGGTTAGTCTTTTCCAATGTTAAGTACCCACTCTAGAGTGCATGGTTTCACTTGAAAGATTAATGATAGCTAATGAACACACACTGTCTTTGAAATATTTTAAAGTGGATTTCAGAACCAGAGGCTCTTGTTTTATGGAGTTTGGCCTTGTAGGGGGACAGAGCTGGAGAAAGGGGGTTGGGCACCAGGAGAAATCTTCTTTTTTCAATGGGAGAGACTTGAGCATGTTTAATGGCTGATGGGAAGGATGCAGGCGAGAGGGCTGTTCCTATGAGAGAGATGATAAATGGTGGGAAAGGTTCATGGCAGGGCAGCCAGCAGGGCGCCCCAGCCAGCTGCTGGGTGCTTCGTGGGAGGTAAGGCCCGAAGGGTGGCCGAGTGAAGGCGCAGAGCTCAGGGTCCCCCTCTGGGCATGCGTCCCTGGCCTCTGATTCCTGGGGTCTTTCTCCTTTACATGTCCCTTCAACAGCCTCAGGGTTCAGAGTCAAGCTGTTGAACTGGGCAGATGTGATAAACAGAAGGTTCTTGGCTCCCATGTCAAAAGCAGATGGTTTGCCCGCTTGGTGTTTTCCTCCAGGTTCTAAGGTTACCCCTGTGGTCATGAATTGCAGGGAGCTGGCCTGTTCCCTGCGATCATGTGCACCTTGGATTCTGGCCTCAGTGTTTCTGTTTAGCCATAAGAACCTTGGAGAGGGACTTGTGAGATTCCATTTGTTAGATCATGGGCAATTGGCATTTTCTTTTTGCCTTTCGCCCATATTTTGGCCCACCAGAAAATGCTCTGCTCTTCCTTCTCATTGAGGTGATTTGCCTTCTTGCCTTTTGCAAAAAAATAATTGTTTTTTTAAATTAAACACTTAATATAATATTAAATTAAAAGGTTTATTTATAATTCTACTACCCCTGTACAAATTAAAACAAATTTTTATGTTAATTTCCAAATGTAAGCACATACTTTGACATGCTTGCAATTGGTGGGTATATACGCCATTTCTACTTAACTATAACGTTTGTACACATGTATATAATATGTATAATAGGTAGCATGTACTAAGTATTTGTACATTATAGTTTGTACACATGTATATAATATATGTGTAATGGATGTATCATGTGCATAATGGATATATCACATACATGTGTTATACATACATGGATACACATGCATTATGTTTATATGTAATCTTTACTGATAGGTTAATAACTTCATAATACATCTTAATTTGTTAAACCACATTTCTAATGTTGGACATTTAAAACAATTTTTTATTCATGAAGAAGGCAGGGTTTCAACTGGAAGGTCTGAAAAATGTATTATTTCATTCAGGTGCCAGCCTCTGAGATGTAAGGGAATAAAATTTCTCCTAGAAAAACTGCTCATTAAAAAATTCTCATTACGTAATGAGCTTATTTGAAATCAAAACAGTTGTAATAATTGACTTGTGTCCTACAGGTTCACAGAGATGCTGAGTCACAGCTGGTTTTGCAGGAGTGGAAAAAGGAAAGGAAGGAGATGCGGTAAGAGAGGCCTGTATTGAATGTGCGCGTCCACCACCCTGTTCTGGCTGTGCTCAGCCCACATGTGTTCCCCAGGGCCAGCCTGAGGCATAATGTTGAAACATCCTATTTTAGCTCCCAGGTATGTCTGCCTCCCCCAGGATCCAGAATCAGCTACCTGCTGTTGGTAACATGTGACAAATTTCCTTGAGGCCAGCCATCACCCCTGTCATTCCTCCGCCCTTGCCATCGAAGGCCTTTGGAGAACGGAGCCTTCCCATCTCATTCCTCCTTCCTGCCTGCCTGACCTTCCCATCTGGGCAGCTGGTGGGCCAGTTGTTAATAATGCTGGCAGCACCATGTGGCTACTGGGCAGCACTGGATTTGGGCTCTGAACCCTCAATGAATTCTTAGGGCTCCTACGACCCTGGTGCTTATTTGTAACCACAGCTATTTCAAGAATGTGCAATCAGTAAGCAGGATGTTAACTGATAAAGAAAGCCTGCCTGCCATAAGAAAAGTTTGGTGGGTGTCTGTCTTAAGGGAACCCATACTGACAATCATGCTTCCCTAGAAGGATGCTTTATACCACTTGCATGAACTTTTCTGACTTTGTGCATGGCTTTCTTCAGCCGCTGGGTATAGCCGTCTCTGAGCTTTGGAAACAGTGGTTACTGTGGGATTCTGGCCTCTCAGCAGTGGGCAGCCTGACTCCAGGGTTCATGTGGTGGTGTGCGTGGGTGGGTGGATGGGGCATGGAGAGGGGGCAGTGAGTCCATTCCTCAGATTCTGCAGAAGCCAAAGCTGTATTGCATTTAGTTTGTCCTCCTCCCTCTCAGAGTGTTGGCTGTCTGAGTCTTATTCTAACTGCTACCAACTAACTAGTGGCTTTTATCACACAGCTGTGTAAATGATTATATTTTTTGCTGTGTTTGTAAATGACTTATTAGCAGTCAAATAGAATTCATTCATTTTAATGGAATACTCTGTGTGTAGGGTCCCAGCCATCAGAGAGAGTGCACATCCTGTGTTTGTATGATAGGGATGTTGATATAGATATACATGCCCGTAAGGATGACTGCAGGGGGTTATGGGGCTTGGATGGGGTGAACAGCCTCACTTCCGAGGAGGCTGGGAGGCATTGAAGTATGTAATGGTTGGGGGAGATTTACATCACATAAAACAATCTTTAATTCCTCCATCTGAGCACTTGAGAGTTTACAACATGCTTTTATTTTGCTTACCTTACTCAGTTCTCACAATAACCTTGTAAAACGGGGTCTTGATCCTTTCGGTAAGGGAAGTGGAGCCTCCTGAGAGCATTCCGTATTCCTCTGTGTACCATCGGGAGCAGCTGTTGCATCCTGTGTTTAGGTTTGGGAGATGGGGCGTGTGTATTTAGAGAAGCTTGCAAAAGAATCTGGAGCCTTGAGACAGTTAAGGGGGAAATGTGACCAGAGTCGTTTTGATGGATGGATAGGCAGGCTGTTTTCTTTTCTTTTCTTTTCTTTTTTTGAGATAGGGTCTCATTCTGTCACCCAGGCTGGAGTGCAGTGGCACAGTCACAGCTCACTGCAGCCTCAACCACCCAGGCTCAAGTGATTCTCCGACTTCAGCCTCCTGAGTAGCTGGAACTACAGACATATGCCACCATGCCTGGTCAAATTTTTTGCATTTTTGTAGAGACAAGGTCTCACTATGTTGCCCATGCTGGTGGGCCAGGGCGCAAGTGATCCACCTGCCATGCCCAGGCCAGACTGTTTTTTTTGTTTGTTTGTTTTTGTTTTTGTGAGACGGAGTTTCGCTCTGTTGCCCAGGCTGGAGTGCAGTGGCATGATCTCTGCTTACTGCACCCTCTGCCTCCCTGGTTCAAATGATTCTTGTGCCTCAGCCTCCTGTGTAGCTGGGATTACAGGTGTGCGCCACCACGCCTGGCCAATTTTTGTATTTTTAATAGAGACGGGGTTTCACCATGTTGGCCAGGCTGGTCTCGAACTCCTGGCCTCAAGTGATCTGCCTGCCTTGGCCTCCCCAAGTGCTGGGATTACAGATGTGAGCCACCACACCTGGCTCTAGGCTGTTTTCTTAATTAATATTTGGGGCTGCTCTAGGCTAACATGTTTCTCAAATGAGTCCTATTTTTTTTTTTTAAAAAAAGAAGTGATTTTGATTTCAGTAGTTTAAAAACAAGGATTTTTGAATCATTCTCTGTTGCTTTGCTTTTTTATTGCCTCTTCAGAGAAATGACCAAGAGTTTCTTCAATGCCCAGTTTGGAAGCCTGTTCCGCACAGACCAGAACCCAACCTACTTCCTAAGGCGCCTGTCGCGCTTCGCTGACATCTACATGGCGTCTCTGAGCTGCCTCCTGAACTATGACGTCAGCCACACTTTCTACCCCCGGAGGACTCCACTGCAGCACGAACTGCCCGCCTGGTCAGAAAGGCCCCCCACCTTCGGAACCCCTCTCCTGCAGGAGGCCCAGGCCAAGTAGCCAAGGGCAAAAACTAGAAACTGTAACTGCCCCTGATTGGGCAGGCATGATGGGGTTGACTTCATGTGGGTCTGAGTGTTGCTTTTGGAAAAGATACAGATAAGCCTTTTGATATTTATTTTGTACCTTACGGAGAATAATTCTCCCAATGGTTAAGACAGGAGCTAGCAGCCCACCCCTCCAGCCTTTCCCCCCATGCAGGGCTGAAAGGCAAGCTTCACATTGGAACTCTGATTTTGCCTTTTTGTTTACTGAGGTCCTGGAACATCAGGTTTCCTGGGATAGGTGAGACCACTTGATGCCATGTCTGTATTCTAGCAGGTCAAGCTTGAAACGGTTCTTGACTCCTCCATGGAACATTTCCTGAACATTTACGGGCTATGCATTGGGAACTGCAGGGGCACAGTGATGGGCAAAGATTAGCTGCTTCCAGAAGGCTGATTTCGTGGGCTCCACAATGGTAAAACGCTGCTGTGAGTGGCAGAGAGGTTCCCCAGGTGATGGCCAGTTCCCAAATCATTTGGTACTAAGGCTTTGACATTCTGGCACATCACATCAAATAGAACACAGCCTCCCTGGAAGGACTTAAGTGAGAAAGAACAAGAGAAGCTGCAACTCCTGGACCCTTTTGTCCTCAGTGTGTGGTTCCTGCGTCCTTCCCCAGCATGGAGGAGGGCAGGAGAGAGGAGATGAGAGCTCTGGTCAAAACCTGCCAGCTAGTGGAACAGCCTTCTGTAGAGCCTTCTGCAAGAAACGAGTGGGTTTGAAGAACCAAAACATTTGTGGTAGGTCTCCCAGGAGCTTGTTAAACCTGGAAACACCACCTGAGTTGGTTTCATCTGCTCATTGGAAGAAAGAAAATGAACCAGGAAAAAGCATCTTTGTCATGAAATGCTATGCCATGCCACCCACCCAGTTGAATTGGAATCCTGTTAAAACATGAGATTTACCAGAAACAGTCCTTTGTCTAGATGGAAACAAACAAGATCCTGGCTTCTCTCTAATGAGTTACCAACTGAGAGGTGCTTGGATTGGCCAGGGGAGGAGGAAGATGGCCACCACAACTTAGCCATGTCCAGCCTTCTCTTAGATTTCACTCCTGTGATGTTTGTGCGACTATTTGGGAGTTTGTGTAGTTTGTTTTTTTTTTTTTTGTTTTGTTTTGTTTTTTTTTAGATGTCTAAGATGGGAAAGGGCGAAGGACATTGAAGCTAAGGAATAGATATGACCTAGCTAACCAAGCTTTTCTCATTTCCTTCTGTTTTGTTTTGTTGAGATGGAGTTTTGCTCTTATTGCCCAGGCTGGAGTGCAGTGGCACAATCTCAGCTCACTGCAACCTCTGCCTCCCGGGTTCAAGCGATTCTCCTGCCTCAGCCTCCCAAGTAGCTGGGATTACAGGCATGCACTACCACACCCAGCTAATTTTGTATTTCTAGTAGAGATGGGGTTTCTCCATGTTGGTCAGGCTGGTCTCGAACTCCCGACCTCAGATAATCTGCCCGCCTTGGCCTCCCAAATTGCTGGGATTACAGGTGTGAGCCACCGCACCTGGCCTGCTTTTTTCATTTCTTTCTAGGGGCAATGCAAGTGGCATGTATTCCTTTTGTTGGAGGGAAGAATCCTTAATTGCACCTGCATTTGTAGTATCCTTCAATGTAAAGTGCATATTTACTGCACTCTCTGAGTGCTATGGGAATGTCTGCTGTTATTAGTTATGGGGCTGCTAATACTGTTTTAATTGCATATGCTATATCAATACTTCTGTTCAGATTAGCCTAATCTAGTATTGCTAAAACTCATTTTAAGCTTTTGCGGTAACTTGTATATATTCTTAAATCTAAAGGATGGCAGGAACATGAGGGGAGCTTGTGGAGAGTGCTTGCTTATTCAACATTTTTATTGTGATAAATGTATGTAACCATCTATTGATGAAATCCAAGTCTGGCATTCCATGGGCTCCTTGCCAGATGGCAGAAACTTAATGAGTTATATAGCATCCTTTGTAATGCTGCTTGTTATAGTTGGAATGTACTTGTGATATTTGGCTGTATTTAACTATAATGGTGAAGGTGACCCTTTAGATCCAATAAGGCTTCTCCCCATCTTCTACATTTTGTTATGAACACAGTAAGGCACAGTAGTATGTTCTTTTTTTGGAACAGGGTAGGCATTTTGTTTATTGTTTGCTTGCTTCTAGGTGTTTTCGCCATCAGGGTGTATTGGAGGCTGACACTTAATGGGTGTGTGTTGCGCCCAGAACTGCTCGGTGTCGGGGTTCTAAAAGAATGCGCTGGTGTTCTTGGCTTCAAGTTTCTGCTTTGGAGAAGCAGATTCAGGAAGTAGGTGTTGCTTAAAAATAATTCTTGGTTTTTATCTAATCAGATATTCATTGATTACCTACCAGGTGCCAGTTATAGGGTGTTTTGTTTACTCAAGAATGAAGTAGAACTATTTTTAAAACCTGTTTCCATGAGTGTTCACGTTAGGTGACCTAAGCTTTGAAGGAGAAAAACATTTTTGGGTATGAATAATGAGTTTTGTAATCAATTCCCAGTTAGAAGAATTTCAGTCTCTGGGCCATTGAGCTTGGCAGTGTTGAGATCTCCCATGTGACAGAAGCCTGACATCTGGGCCACCAAGGCTCACTGACTGTGTACCTTGCAGACTGTAGACCCATGTCGTGGCGGTAACGGGGCCGAACACAGTCATTCCCATGTGAACGATGGAGGCACATCCCACTTTATTATTAATCCTTGTATATACTCAGTCAGGACAGATTTTAACTTGTCGCTGTCATGACTTTTTTTTTTTTTTTTTGAGGCAAGGTCTCGCTCTGTTGCCCATTCTGGAGTGCAGTGGTGTGATCTCGGCTCACTGCAACCTCTTGCCTCCCAGGTTCAAGCAATTTTCGTGCCTCAGCCTCCCGAGTAGCTGGGACTACTGGTACATGCCACCAGGCCTGGCCAAGTTTTGTAGTTTTAATAGAGATGGGGTTTCACCATGTTGGCCAGGCTGGTCTCAAACTCCTAGCCTCAAGTGTTCTGCCCACCTCAGCCTTCCAAAGTGCTGGGATTCTGGGTGTGAGCCACTGTCATGCCTGGCCTCGTCATGACTCTTTTCTCTTTTTTTTTTTTTTTTTTTTTGAGATTTAGTTTTGCTCTTTTTGCCCAGGCCGGAGTGCAATGGCACGATCTTGGCTCACTCCAACCTCCGCCTCCTGGGTTCAAGTGATTCTCCTGCCTCAGCCTCCCGAGTAGCTGGGATTACAGGTGCCCACCACCACATCCAGCTAATTTTTTTGTATTTTTAGTAGAGACGGGGTTTCACCATGTTGGCCAGGCTGGTCTCGAACTCCTGACCTTGGGTAATCCACCTGCCTTGGCCTCCCAAGGTGCTGGGATTACAGGCATGAGCCACCGTGCCCAGCCTATCATGACTCAACTGGGATCTGGCACACTGCACTGGGTGTTTTGTTCTCTGATGTGCACATTGATGAATGCATATTGGTACAAGGGAAATGAATCTGTTTTCAGCCATTTAAAAAATTGTGTTGTAAAGCAAACAAAAATAGCTTGAACATTTAAAAATTACTGTTTAATATTGTTTGACTGATTTTCTAAGAATTATGTGAACAATGATGAGTCCAGGGCAGCAGCCATCACAAATATGACAGTCCAGCAAGGCCCATGGAGGTCCCTTTGGAAGGGACTTGCACAGCTGATTTTCTTTTTCCAGTGTTGTTTTTACGGGTGAAACGTGGCTTTTGAAATACTTTAGTTGTTTGGCTTAGAGCTCCCACTTTCCCCCTAACATAGTGCCTGTCTGTTTTTTAAAACATTTTACCCTTCGGCACTATTTTCTGCTATTCCCATTAATATTATGTAACATAAACCACTTGCTACTGATTTGGGCATATTACAGACTACAATTACTAGTTGCTTTGAATGCATTGGCACTCTTAATTATTGCAAAGGAGAATTGAAAAGTAGTCTTGTGGTCCTAGTTAATTTAGCTTTGGGCAAACTAAGTGGCTTTTCTTCTGTCCTCTTCTCAAAAGGCCTTTTAAGCAGCAGAGACTGGGCTAAATACTGGAACTGAATTCCACTTTTCTGCCTGCTCATTTGCTGCCAAAGACCACTTGGGGCTCCTTGTCTAGAATGCTCTAAGACGAAATTTGGCCAGACACAGGGTTCCTTGATTGTTCTGTTCAACTAATAGAGAACCTACATTTTGCCTTCTTAATATCGACTTTCTTTTGTACCAGGTTTTTCTTTCTTTCTTTTTTGCCTTAGGAGCTTAGCTCAAAGTTCAGCTAACCTTTGACACTACTAGTGTCATTTAGTAACAGTAATCTTTGACACTACTAGTGTCATTTAGGAGCTTAGCTCAAAGTTCAGCTAACCTTTGACACTGCTAGTGCGTTCAAGAAAGGGTAGGGAATGAAGTACCCTTAATGCAGGGTCAGCAAACTTTTCCTGTAAAAGGCCAGATAGGAAGTATTTTTGGCTTTTTGGGCTGTTTGCTTTTGCTACTACTACTGTGGGAATGACCATGGTCATGGCTGTGTTCCAGCACAACTTGATTTACCAAGACAAGCTGTGGGCTGTATTTGGTCCTCAGGCTGTGGCTTGCTAGCCCCTGCTCTAATGGATTGTGTTGGCGGCAATGGCAAGATTCCCTTGCTGAGAACATGCAGATGAATAACCTTATAGCTGGGATGCAGAGAGGAGAAAGTTCTGTAGGTAATAAGTGCACTGTATTCCCTCTGAGCTACTTCCTGGGCATAGTTACATGTATGGCCAGTGTGTGTACTTGAGCCATCAGGCTCAGACACTTGTTGAATATACCTCTCATTGCATTAGTTTGTAATTGTGCTAGTGCTGGGTGCTGAGCTCAGCTGCCCGGATGACCTTTCCAGACTGAAGGACATACTCCCCTAACAGCTGGGAGTGCTGCTGGCTGGCCATTTACTTCCAGCCCTTATGAGGAGTTTCCCCTGCTGAAGAGCCCTGCCTGCCCCAGATCATACCCCCTTCCTGCCTGTAACCCTTACCGGCTCCATATGGGGTACAAAGGGCTGGCCTCCTCACCCCAACTTGGGAAACCCTCTGGGGCCATCCCAGCTCCAGAGCCCCTTGTGGGGTCAGTGAGACCTCATTGTGGCCACATTACAGCCCAGTGCCTCTCCCTGACAAGCCTGTACCCAGCCGGCTCAGCCCACAGCACTGTCCTATGAACCTTCCTGCACGCCATTCTCCACCTCAGTATCTGCTTTCGGGGAACCCAACCTGCGACAGTGCTTCTGTGTGTTTTCAGTCCTGCAGGTTTGAACTCTGACTTTGGAGACTTTTCCAGTTATCTCGTGGAATGACAGATTGTGCCTGTATGATATCAGGCACAATTAATGCAAATTAGGCAGACCTATTTATTCTAGATGTGAATTTGCTATTTATTTTAAATGTTGATTTTATGTGTTATGTGACTCTGAACTTATTGCCAAATAAAAGTTTGAATTGTATCATCTGGTTTATTGTCAGTCACCTATTTTGTGTGCTTAAGTCTGCCACGTTAAATTCTGATGAATCCACAGTATCGTTTTCTAAAAAGGCATTTTTTTCCAGGACTTGAGGTTATTTCTACAAAAATAGATAAAGGAGATCTTGGATTAAAAAAAATTCTAAGGGACTTCAAAAAGTTTATCCCTGAGAGAAGGGATAACCTTTTTTGGGGAAAGCTCAAAGGTTTCTTCTCACTACCCCCATCTCCCCCCACCCACAGCAAGCACACCCACTTGTTTTCAGAGCTTGAAGACTGTCATTCCTCCCATGGATATCTTTTTTTTCCTCCCTTCGATCACCTGCCTTTGTGTACCTGTGATGGTGGGTGTTGGTGGACTCACTAGCAAATCTGTCCCATATTGATTTTTTGGGGGCGATTTTCTGGAAACTTGGCATGTCATCTAAGAGGAAATGACAGCCTGCTCCTCTGCCTGAAATATGGGCTGCTTCTCTTTCCTGGAGTTGTGAATGAGCTTATAAGACACTTGGGGCTTCCAGAACTTTGGGCTTGGCTCAGCAGAAATCCCGACGATGTGGAATGCAGTTATTTGGGCAGTGAAGGCAGCAGAGAGGAGAGCCTGAGCTCAGCTCAACCCAGCCTTTCCCTCCGTCCCCAGTGGTGATTCCCAACCTTGGCCAGCAGTGCCCCCTGGGGACAATTTGGAGATGTGGGGAGAGGTGGGTTGCAGGGTGCTTGGGTTTTGCAGTGATGGGGAGGGGATGTCTAGTATTTTGAGGGCAGGGACCAGGCATGTTAGACCCCCTGCATTGTAAGGGAGAGCCCAGTACACTGAAGCATGGTCCCCTGTCTACACATAAATCTACGTGATACAATTCATGTAGGTGGAAACATGTTTATAATTTTCTAAGCCTAGAAACTCTTTTATAGGTAACCACAAAAAATTTTTGTGACATAATTTTAACATACTGAATTTTCCAGGAATGCAGCTATATGTAAACCAAAGGAAGATTTTGACTTCATCTTATTCAGAGCTTTATAAGGAATTGTTCGTCATTTCAGAAGAGCACATCCTCCACAGGAGGCCACTCCTGGTATTTGAGTCGTGAATCACACCCGTGTCAGTCTGCATTTCTACTGGTCATTTCCATGAAGATTATATAGACACACGTATGTAAGACTGTACTTACTGTCTGAGTCCATTCATGCTGCTATAACAAAATACCATATGCTGATTTAGCTTATAAACAACAGAAATTTACTTCTCACTGCCCAGGAGGCTGGCAAGTCCAAGATCAAGGTGCCGGCAGATTTGGTGTCTGGTGAGGCCTGTTTCCTGGTTCACAGATGGTGACTTCTACATGGTAGATAGGTTGAGGGAGCTCTCTGAGGCCTCTATTATAAGGGCACTAATCCCTTTCAGGATGCCCCTCCCCCTTAATCACCTCCCAAAGGCTTACAGGCTCACTTACCACCCTCCTAGTGTTATCACCTTGGGGGTAAAGATTTCAACACAGGAATTTTGGGGGTCACAAACATTCAGACCATAGCACTTAACCTTTATTTTAAAATGTCAGCCAGGTGCAGTGGCTCATGCTTGTAATCCTAGCACTTAGGGAGGCCAAGGTGGGAGGATTGCTTGAGCTCAGGAATTTGAGACCAGCCTGGGTAACATAGTGAAACCCCATCTCTACAAAAAATAAACCACATTAGTTGGGTTTGGTGATGGGTGCCTATAGCAGCAGCTACTTGGGAGGCTGAGGCTGGAGGATCACTTGAGCCCAGAAGGTTGAGGCTTCAGTGAGCCATGATTGAGCTACTGCAATCCAGTCTGGGTGACAGAGTGAGACCCTGTCTCAAAAAAAAAAAAAGTCAATTATTTAAAAACTCATTAGTCAAATATTTTCTAAGATCCAAATTTGTTTTAAGCAATTATAATTGTCTTCATTGTGTCTTCTATTGGAATTGTAGCTGAGATTTTACCAAGTATGTATTTTATTGTAAGTTACTTTGTCTTTCTGTTATAGAACATTATATATACATTTCTAATTCTTCACTCATTTATTTTTTAATGACAGGTTTACATGTATAGCTTTAAAAGGCAAATCTAAGCATACTTCCTTAAAGATGCATTATAAACTGTTTTCTTTCAGTGAATGGAAGTGTAGAATATTACACTGATTAAAAAAAATCGTGTGAGGATAGGCCATGTTTTCTATGAATTACTTTTCATGTCGCCAAGGAGCAGGTGCTCTGGGTCAAGAACTGCAGATTTAGAGAAACTGCCTCGTGGCTGCACATCCATGCAGGCCCCTCCAGGAAGTCCTGCCGAGAGGCTGAGCCTGCCTGCCCCAATCCTTCGCATTACTTTCCTCCTCAGCAAAAATATCAGGTATGGGAAGTTGAGGCAAATTGTCATCCCTGGTCACTCCTCTCACATGCCTTTTCTTCTAAGGTAATTCTAGCAATTAACAAGCTAACACATTTGTCGTTAAAAATGTTTCAGAATTTCTTTGTAAGTAGTTGGGTGAGGTGATCTTTTCCTCCCTGCTCGTAAGACAAGAAGAGATGTTGGGTAGAGGCTCAGTCCATATATCTTTCTGAATAGCTGCGCCTCTGGCGTTAGTGGCAGTCAGCTGGGGTGGCCAACAGCTGTAGCCTCCCACCCTGCATCCTGGGTCCACCAGCTGGGCAGTAACAAGGAGCCTGGACCATGAGAGGGGCAGTTGTCTGCATGGGTCCCACTGACCCGGCACTCCTCCAAGCTCCATTTGCCTAGGGCCTGCTCTGTGCCCTGCGCTGTTCTGGAACTGGACATAGCAAAGACCCTGCTCCATGCAGGGCACGTGTGTTGGGGACGGAGTTTTCCGCTGGTGTTTGCCTCAGGGCTCAGGAGTGGGGAACCAAGTTGTCAAGAGGTGGGAAGGGGAAGTAATTCAACACTAGTGCACTGCACCCCATGCTGAGGGCCTGCTGGGGATTGGCTCATATTACCTCATGTGACAGGCTACAGTGCAAAATAATTTGTGCCCCAGGAGTTTCAGGAACACTAACAAGGGCACACAGTTATTGCGAGAAGTTGGTTGGGTGGGCCTGAGTAGGCTAAGCCCATCTGGGTGATCCCCCATCCCCTTTGCCTGTGCCAGTGGAATGTGGCATCTTCAGACTCTAGGGCAAGTTTGTGTGTGTGTGTTGGGGGGAAGGGCATTTCTAGGAAAGAAAGTTCCTCACTGTTCTGAGCCAGCTCCTATGAGAGGCTCTCTCCTGAGTGTAACACTCTATGGAACTGACAAAGCCACTTTATCCCCTCGAGGAAATCTGCTGTAGGTGCACTCAGAGGGCAGCGTGGGAAGACACTGGGTCTTCGATGATGTCTTCGAGGCTCTGAGTGGAATCAACCCTGAGGCTGCCCTCTTCTGGGTCTTCCAGTAACAGCTAACAGTAAACCTGCCGTGCTGTCTAAGCTAATGTGGAGTTGTGTTTTCGGGTCCTCAGTCTGCTACGGTAAGGCCTGCATACAGTTGATACTTCATCCTCAACAAACTTGTGATGTTGAAGTTTTTCCCTTAACTATTAAGTAAGGGAGCCTACAGTTGAACCTGTTTCTTCTGGTTGTAAATCTCAGGTGTTTCTACAGAAGGTATTCTCTCTCTTTCCCTCTCTCTCTCTCTCTCTCACTCCCTCTCCCTCTCTCTCCCTCTCTCCCCCTTTCCCTCTCCCTCCCTCCCCCTCCCCCTCCCTCTCTCTCCCTCCGCCTCCCTCCCTCTCCCCCTCTCCCTCTCTCTCCCATCTCTCCATCTTTCCCTCCCCCTCCCTACCCCAAGTTTGTATGAAACCCTGCTTGTGATAACACAATTTTTTCAAACTTTCTTTTTTTGGATGGAGTCTTACTCTGTCACCCAGGCTGGAGTGCAGTGGCAGGATCTTGGCTCACTGCAACCTCCGCCTCTCAGGTTCAAGCGATTCTCCTGCCTCAGCCTCCTGAGTAGCTGGAACTACAGGTGTGCACCACCACGCCAGGCTAATTTTTGTAGTTTTAGTAGAGACAGGGTTTCACCATGTCGGCCAGGCTGGTCTTGAACTCCTGATCTCAGGTGATTCACCTGCCTGGGCCTCCCAGAGTGCTGGGATTATAGGCATGAGCCACTGCACCTGGCCATTTTCAAACTTTTTAATGGGCTGTAGTATCCCAAGTGTTAAATTTTTTTTTTTTTTTTTTTTTTGAGAAGGAGTCTTGCTCTGTTGCCCAGGCTGGAGTGCAGTGGTGTGATCTCAGCTCACTGCAACCTCTGCCTCCTGGGTTCAAGCTATTCTCTTGCCTCAGCCTTGTGAGTAGCTGGAATTACAGGTCCGTGCTACCATGCCCAGCTATTATTTTTTTTTTGTATTTTTAGTAGAGACGGGGTTTCACCATGTTAGTCAGGCTGGTCTCGAACTCCTGACCTCGTGATCCGTCCATCTCAGCCTCCCAAAGTGCTGGGATTACAGGCATGAGCCACCATGCCCGACCTCAAGTGTTAATTTTAACTGTGCCTAACACCTGGCTAATACCCAGGCCAAGGTTTCCCTTTGCCTTCTGAAGGAAGGGGTCTCGGTGCAAATCAATCACTCTTGCAGTGTGTCCAAATGGGAGGGGCATCTTCAACATTCTTTGGCAGGTTAATTGTATTTAAAAGACCCCAAAGCCAGCTCACCTGTAATATTTGGAAAGATGATGTATTATTTAGTTATCATGTCTTCTTTGAGATATAACTAACAAACAGCATACCATGAAATTCACTGTTTTAAAGTGTACAATTTCGTGTTTCTTAGTATATTCATAAGGTAGTACGACCGTCACTGCTATCGAATTCCTCATCATCCAAAAAAGAAACCCCATACCCATTAGCAGTCACTCCTCATTCCCCTGGCAATCAACCTACTTTCTGTCTCTATCAATCATCAATTTGCCTATTTTAGCCATTTCATATAAATGGAATCATATGATATGTGGTCCTTTGTGACTGGCTTCTTAATGTTTTCAAGGTTCATCTGAACTATTGCATGTATCAGTACTTCATTTTTTAGGGCTAAATGTTTTATTGTTTGGAATACCACAGCTTCATTTATTTTTCAGCTGATGGACATTCGAGTTGTTTCCATTTTTTTGGCTTTTATGAATAATGCTACTGTGAAGATGCATGTACAAGTTTTTGTACGGACATATCTTGATTTCTGTCTCTTGGATATATACCTAGGGGTGGCATTTTTGGGTCATATGGTAACTCTGTGTTTAACTTATTTTTTTGCCAAACTGTTTTCTACAGTGGCTGTACTATTTTGGATTCCCACCAGCAATGTATGAGGGTTCTATTTTCTCCACATCCTTTCCAATACGTGTTACTGTTTTGATTCTAGCCATCCTCGTGGGTGTGAAGTGACATCTCATTATGATTATCATGTCTTCTTAAAGAAGCAAACACAACCAAATTCAGAAGAATTTATAAGGCTGGTGTCTGATTGATTGAAAAGGCCCCAGGAAGTGGATTTTGCCTTCAGAGTTCAACTCCTCCTCTGGTGCAGTCCCAAAACACTAGGTTTGTTCTGTTGACTTTGTTTCTGTTCCATAAACCTTTATTGTGCACAGTTCCTGTGTCAGGCACTGGGCTAGGGGCTGGGATACAAAGACGGAGGCTTACAATCTAACAGGGAAGAAAGATCACAGTTACCCATCATGTAGGGCAGAATGGAGCAGGTGCCAGCTGAAGAGTACAAAGGAAGAAGAGCCAAAGGGTCAGAGGAGGAAGCTGTACTGGGTGGGCACAGCAACACATCTCTCACCCACAGAAACAACCCCCAGATCAGCCAGAGAGATGAGGTATGGCTTCTGAGTGCTTAAAGGACTTTACGTTCCTAAAAGGCAACTGGTGCTGAGAATTCACAGTTGATGGCCCAGGTGGCAGTGAGTGATGGCTGGCATCTCCCGTCCAGGCCCTCACAGTGTCCTCAAGGGGTCATTGCCCTCAAGCTGCCGTTCTTCAGAGTCCTGGAAAAGAGAGGGTTGTAAGGGGGCAGGGCATTCTGTGTGTTGAGTCCTAGTTGAATCTTTCTGGTGGCCACTGGTCTGAGGCATGACTCTCCCTGAGCACTGTGAACACGTATGTGCTGGGCGTGTTTGTTTGTGCTGCTGCCTTGTGTTGGGAGGCAGGATGGGCTGGGGGTAGGGCCACCTGTTTTAGTCTCTCCTGCTTGAAGCTGGGTGGCCCAAGACAAATCATCCCAACTCGGCTGCAGTTTCTTCATCTACAAAGGGTCATAATATACCTCACAGGGAGGTAGGAGGATTAAATTAGAGCCTACATTTAGCAAGGTATAAGCACCTCACAAAAGGTGGCTAATAATATTATAAAAACTCCTTTCGGTTTGAAAATTCATCTTGAACCAGTGGTGGCTCTTGAGTGCCTGAGAGAGTGTAATAGAAACCCCGCTCAGCCGGGCATGGTGGCTCGCGCCTGTAATCCCAGCACTTCGGGAGGCTGAGGCAGGCGGATCACTTGAGCTCAGGAGTTCGAGATCAGCCTGAGCAACACGGTGAAACCTTATCTCTACAAAAAATACAAAAATTAGGTGGCACATGCCTGTAGGCCCAGCTACTCGGGAGGCTGAGGTGGGAGGATCACCTGAGGCTTGCAGTGAGCCCTGATGGTGCCGCTGCACTCCAGCCTGCGTGACACACCAGGACCCTGCCTAAAAAAGGCCACACTCTAGAGGTGGCCATGCCAAGCCTTCTGCTGACTTTAGCTCTGACTGGCACCCAGGCTTTGTCAATTAGCATAATAGATGCTAGAAATGGCTTTTCATGGGTAAAACTAGTGGTGGTAAATGTGTCTGGAGTCACTAAAAATAGTGTCAAAGGCGTGAGAATGTAGCACGTCACTTTGTAAGCTGGTACCTTATGCTTAGGATTCTGGAATGTTTTTGCCATGTAGTCTGAATAGTAGGTTTAGCTGAATCCTGCATTTAGGCTACTTTCTCACCTGCCTCAGGTAAATCTTTCATGCATGGTGCTGATAGAGCCCTCAGAAGGGGACAGACAACAGGGAAGGCATGGGGTGCATTGGAGAGGATGTATGCATTTGTTTCTGCTTTTTAAATGAAGGTGATTTCAGCATAACAGTACTTAGTTAACAAATGTAATTTAGCTGAACTTACCACCTCCCTTTTTTTTTTTTTTTTTTTTTTTTTGAGACAGAGTCTTGCTCTGCTGCCCAAGCTGGAGTGCAGTGGTGCAATCTCTGCTCACTGCAACCTCCGCCTCCCAGTTCAAGCGATTCTGTTGCCTCAGCCTCCCGTGTAGCTGGGATTACAGGCAGGCACCACCGCTCCTGCCTAATTTAGTAGACATGGGATTTCACCATGTTGGCCAGGCTGGTCTTGAACTCTTGACCTCAGGTGATCCACCTGCCTTGGCCTCCGAAAGTGCTGGGATTACACGCATGAGCCACTGCACCCGGCCCGAACTTACCCTTGAAATGTGAACCAGAAGCCTTTACATGGGTTTGATTAAAAAAATATGATTTGCAATCTGGTTATTTTTCAGTCTATTGCATTTATATTAAATCTGTTACCACAGGCATGAAGAACCACAAGATATTTACCTTGATTTACTTTGGAAAAATAATATCTGTTACACTATACAAACTTCAACATGGTGGAAGAAAACATTTCTCTCCTTTTATAAAAAGAAAAATTAAGTTCTATTCCTATGTATTTTTTTCAGTCGAGAACTGGTATTAAACTACAGGCAGGATGTACTTCCACATGTGTTATGTATGGGGTACCCTGCCAAGGGGTCCCCCTGGATTGATGTCAGTGGAGGCCCCAGCTAAGCTAAAGCATCACTGACTCTAGAGATAAATGGTCCCCTTCTGAAAGACCAGAGCAGAACACCCACCCATATATACTATAAGGCCTCATCAAAGAAAAGTAGCTCCAAAAGCAAGAAAGCAGCAGCTCTGACAACAAGCAGTAAAATCTTGGACAACAATGTCAGTGTAAGTAAGTTTAAAGGACATCTAAGGCCAGATGCAGTGGCTCACGCCTGTAATCCCAGCACTTTGGGAGGCCGAGGTGGGCGTATCACCTGAGGTTGGGAGTTCGAGACCAGCCTGACCAACATGGAGAAACCCTGTCTGTATTAACAATACAAAGTTAGCTGGGCATGGTGGTATGCGCCTGTAATCCCAGCTACTCGGGAGGCAGAGGTTGCAATGAGCCGAGATCGTGCCACTGCACTCCAGCCTGGGTGACAGAGTGAGACTCCATCTCAAAGAAAAAAAAAAAAGGACATCTAAAGGAAAAATCCTTTTTCCATCTTGTTTTGCACCTGCTACCTCATAAATGATTGCAGCAGAATTCAGCCCAAGACTTTTTTTCACTGTGGCATCTCACCTGGTCATGAGATTGGGCTTGGATAACAACCTCTTGTTCTCGCCTGTCTCTGTTTGTTCAAGGATTCTGCTGTCTACCCAAGAGAACCCAGGAACTCTGAGCAACCACACTGGCTTCAGTCAGCTTGCAAAACTGGCTTTTAGGCTTGTTACCTGACATACATTCTAGAAATGAACCTTCTTTGGTACAAAGATCTCCACTGAAATTTCCTAAAAGACATCATTCCCCTGTACCCCAAGGGAACCTATTCCTAGATAAGAATGCAAACTCACCGTGAAGGGGTCGTAGGAAGGTTCTGGGGGAGCTGAGGTTGTGCTCTCATACAAGGGGTTCGAGATATTCTCAGGCTGCTGCTTGCCAAGAGCTGCAACATTAATGTCCTCTTCCGACTGTTTGGAAAGACAAGCATGAAAGCCAGGAGCATCCCCAAAGCAGGAGCGTCTCAGCCAAGTTGGCAGGTAAAGCAAGCCACCCTTTGCCTCTGGGAGCTTTTCCTTTTTTAACAGTACTTTGTTGAGAGATGATTCACATATAATAAAATTTACCAACCTTTAGATTCAGCTCAGTGACATCTTACCGATGTCTGCCCATTTGTGATCACCACCAAATCGGCACATAGGGCATTTCCATACCCCAGGATGTGTTCACATGCTCTTAGCCTGCTGGTGCCTGCCACCCAGGGTAACTGCTGTTCTGACTCCCATCACCCTGAAGTGGTGTTGCCTATCCTTTAACTTAATATAAATGCAGTCATACAGCCTATACACTTTTGCTAAAAATGGGGATTTTGAGATTTTCCCTGGAGCTTATAAATATACAAGCTGTCTGCCAGAAGGCAGCAAACTGCTGCTTGGGGGCTCTGCACCACAGCCTTTACCAGGAGTGTTTTGAGGAGAGGGTGGGCCAGAGAGGAGGACAAAGTCCATAAGGAAAGATGCTCAACCGCTGTGCTGCTGCCCCGGCCATATTCTTACACAGCCAGTCAAGAGCTGGCTGCTGATTGGGATGTGGACTCAACTGTTCAAATAGAAATGAGTGTCACTGGCTGCAGCATAAAGCCTCTGGCTGTGTAGGGTCCCTAGCCCTGTCCCCCAGTTCTCAGAGCCGGTCTTGAAGCCCAAGCTAGGTCATGGGGTGTGCTTGTGCAGTGAATCCTCCAAGGTAAACAAGACTCCTAGGTCCTAGTGAATGTGCCTCCAGGCCAAACCCCTGGCACAGAGGCTCAGGGTGGGTTCTCTCCTTGCCAAGCCCTGTCTCAGCCAGAAGGAGGGGCTTGGAACCACCACTGCTGTTCCTCTTAAGAGCAGGGACCCCATCCAAGCAGCAGTAAGCGTGGGGTGGGTGGCCGCCCCTGCTACTGTGTGACACACTGCTTCTGGGTGAGGACTCTGGCGCAGCCACCGACTGAAGCAGCCCAGGTCCAGGGACTGGGTTTTTGGAGAGGACCCCATCATCATGTTCCCATTTTTCTCTCTTACCTCAAAATGCTGGAAGCCGATTGTTCTCCGGTTTATCCGAAAGTAGGAGTAAGCAGCCAAGGCAACAGCCCCAGTCACCAGGATGATGGCAAAGAAGATCCCTGCTCCCAAGCCAGTGTGGGTCAAGGTCTGAACACAAAGAAAGGAAAGGGGCCCATTCTTAAAACTTCTGACTCCCCAAAAGGGGAACCCTTGGTGGCCCGAGGCATTCTGGAGCCAGTGGGGATAAAAATACTGACATGTTAACATGTATCTGGCCCTTATTACTGCCAGGGTCTAATACCCTTCTGTGAAATAACCCATTGAAGTGTGATAATAACCCAAAGAGATAGGGAGAGTTATTATTGTGGGAGAACTGGGGCACAGAGAGGTGAAGCACTTGCCCGATATCACACAGCCAGTCAGTGGTGGAAGTGGGCTTTGAACCCAGTCTGGCTTTGGAGCTTCTGTGCTTAACCACTATGCTGTGGAACTCTCCAGCAGCTCACCTCTCCCCTCATGCTTTTGCAAAAAAGAATACTAACAACCACCATCACCAACTTTTATATAGCATGTACTGTGTGTCAGGGGCTGTTCTAAGTGTTTTCCATTTCTAACTTACAATCCTTCCCAAAACCCAGGAGGGAGGCATTATGAGCCCCATTTTGCAGATGAGAAAATTGGGACTCAGAGATGCTACGAAGTGGAGGGGCCAAACCATAGCTTAGGATTTCTCACTCCCCTTCCAGCGCTTCCTTTGGTGGCCCATCCTCCCCCTTTCATTCAACAGATATTAATGGTGACTGGTGCTGTGTTGCTAATGCTTGGGAGTGGGGATGGCAGGAAGCAGGGTTGGGCGGTCCTGGCCAGCTACCTTGGAGGTTGGAGGCTGGAGGCTCCTCCAGTCTCTGGAGGAAGAGGGAGGAGGACAGGGCTTCTGGTAATGGTTTGCCTGTTGGTGAGTGGGCACCGGGGCTCCTCCTGGCCCGTTATCAGGGACCCTAGATACTCACCACGGGGGCAGGGGGTGCTTTTAAAGGCCTGGAAATGACATGAATGATCCCATTGGAGGCAAAGATGTCCCACTGCAGAATGGCTCTTCCATCAACAAACCTGGTCTCCGTCTAGGGAAATGAGAAGAGGGTTGATGGCTTTTACTCTCCGAGTGGGCAGCCCTCCATGGAGGGAAGTTGTTCAATTTTCCCAAGGCCCCTGAGCCCATGTTTCAGGTTTGTCTCCACTGATAGGCAGCCCAGGACTTCTCCTCACCCTCTGGACAGCCCAGAACACATTAATTGTCCTGTGCCAACAAGCTGATCTGAGGGCTGCAGAGAACCTTATGGGTCATTTGTCCAACCCACTTGTCTGACAGATGAGTGATCAGAAGGAAAGTGGCCTGACCCAGATCACCCAGGAAGTAGCAAACCCCATGCCTGTGGACGCTGCGTCCATGCACTGAACATCGCACCACACTGTTAGAAAAGCTGTATTTTAAGTGATGTCCCAGTGTGATTTCCTGGCTTGTGTGGGCAGAAGCTGAGGCCCTGTGCCTTCTCCCCTGCTGAATCACGTCTTCATTTTAACAAATCTCCAGCAGATTCAAATGCACATTAAATTTTGAGAGACACTAGTCTAAACTGCTCTTAAATAGAAATCATTTAATGAGATAAATATTTAAAACCAATATTTATTAAGCACTTGCTACCTGTCAGGCACTACTCTCTGCATGTCTCAGAACCTGAATCCGACATCATGGTTATCACCACCTCCACCGCTACCCCCACGGTCATCTCCATCAGTATCATCACCATCATCCACACTGAAGGGGCTTAGGACATGTCACCCCAAAATAACACCATTTTGGGCTGGGCATGGTAGCTCACCCCTGTGATCCTAGCACTTTGGAAGGCCGAGGCAGGCATGTCACTTGAAGCCAGGAGTTCAAGACCAGCCTGGCCAACATGGCAAAACCCCATCTCTATTAAAAATACAAAAATCAGCTGAGTGTGGTGGCGGGCACCTGTAGTCCCAGCTACGCGGGAGGCTGAGGCAGGAGGATCGCTTGAATCCAGGAGGGGGAGGTTGCAGTGAACCGAGATTGTGCCACTGTGCTCCAGCCTGGGTGACAGAGCGAGAGACTGTCTAAAAAACAACAAAAAACCACCCCCCACACACCATTGTGGCATTATTAGTTATTTTGAGCAGAAGTCACTTGAGAAACGGCAGTTGCAGGAAGGGTTCCCTGACCTGCTGTCTCCCTAAAAGCAGGTAATACAATTTCCCATGAGAAAGTGCCCCTTCTGTTCCAGAAGAGAAGAACATCCTTACTGGAGACTGGGAGTAGATGACGAAATGGATCTGTACAAACAAATCTACTGAAATACTCCTTATCTTCCACTCATATCCACCATCTATTTCTTAGTCATGCCACAATTTACTGCCCTTAGCCTAAAGCTCTTTATTTGATCAATTTTCCACAAATGTATCATTTCTTTAAAAAGTAAATAAGCTCTTGATCCCAACTGTTCTTTGGGTCTCTATTCTCCATATGAGGGTTCCCTTGATTCACATAAAAGATTAAATAAAATGTGTATGCTTCTCTCCTATTTATCGTATGTCTATTTAATTCTCAGGCCCAGCCACAGACCCTAAGAGGGTAGAATAAGTTTTCCCTCCCTTGTATCACAATCATGAAAATAATGACCTGTATCATCATCACCACCATCACCATCATCCTGATTTTTCAGATGGGGAAATTGAGACACAGGGAAGCTGGATAACTTGTTTAAGTCCTTACAGTTAGCAAGTGGCAGAACTGGGATTCATACTGGGGTCATTTGACTTTGGAGCTCATGTTAATGCCTGGAATAGTCTGACAAGCTGACCAAAATGAAGGCGGAGAATCAGCTTTAAAATGGGTTCATTATCCTTCCCCATAACCAGCTTCTGAGGCTGCCCTATTTCCCAAGGGGTAGGGGCTGCCCAATTGTCAGTGTGGTATGCTGTAGTGGGCAGTTAACACCGTCCCCTATCTGCAGGTTTAGAGTTTATGTTTGCATAATAGTTGCCATCTATTAAGCACCTACTGTATGCCAGGAACTTTGCATGCATTATCTCCCGTTCCCCCAAGAAGCCCAGAAGACTTTGTACCGGTTGGAGTGGGTCCTGGCTGGCAGTGATGAGCAGCTTGCTTCCCAGCCTCGTTTGCAGGGTGGTGCCATTGACAAGGTCATTGTAGAAAAACATGCTGACATTGGCGAGGTGGTGCTCGATGTCCCGCCCAGACAAGGTCTGAGAAAAAAGGAGAAACACAGAATGCTCTTCAAAGGCCAAGCAATATTTTGTCTTTTTAATGATGGGGATGACGAAGAAAATTGCTTCTCATGGCCTAGGCTTTCCTGCCTCCATGTGGAGATCAGGAAATGTCAAGGTTTTCTTAGGCTTCTGGTTGTCTGGGCTCTGCCAGAGGCCACCTATAGCTAGGATGGGGGATTGAATGTCATTTGTATTGTCTAGAGCAGAGCTTTCCAGCGGTGTCTTGAGGTAGGCAGAGGTATTGCTTTCCTCAGCCCTCAGGTGGCTGGTGGGGCTGTCGGAGCCTCAGGTCAGCCACCTGTGCGTGAATTGAATAAATACCGCCAATCCTCTGTGTGCCGTGATATGAAGAAGGTTGGTGTGGAACACAGATTGCATCAGTGGCCCTGGTTCTTCCCCACTCCCTGCACCCCTGGCCCTTTGCCCCCCATGCTGACTTTGGGCTCAGTCATGTGACCTATCAGGCCAGGGGCACATTAGCAAATGTGACCAAACAGAGGCTTGAGAAAGCACTGTTGGGACAGGGCCTACTCTCGCCTCTCTCACTCCCTGCCATTGCCCTGAGAACTCGCCTGGGCTAGCCTGTTGGACGATGAGAGTTCCATGGAGCAGAGCCATTGATGGCCCAGCTAGAGCAGCTGACAGCTGGTCTCAGACCCGAGTGTGCCAAGACCAAGGGAGTGGCCAACTGATCTGCAGATGATCTGTGAGCTAAATAAATGTGTAGCCACTGAGTTTTCAGGTAATTTGTGACACAGCATTGTTGTGGTGATAGATAACATGCTAGTCTAAAGCAAAGGCACCAGGGACTCAACTCACCTCATTCTCCCCCAGCCCACTGTTCTGTGGCACAAAGAGGGTGCCGCGGATGGACAGGTCAGTCAGGTGTTCTAGAAATGCACGGCCTCGAGCTGAGCTGTTGGAATAGGCCAGCACTTCCTGGGGAGAAGAAGGAAGTCATCAGAGGGGCCAGCCCTGGTGTGCAGGGACCTGGGTGGCTGAAGAAGGTCCCAGGGCATCACCCATCTGTGAATATTCATGGTGTGAGCCAACTCAGCCTGCTGCTCCTTTGCTGTGTCTTCTGCCTGCGCCGTGGGAGAGTTTGAGGACTTTTCCTTTCCTCAGTGAATCCTATGGTTTAAGACACAGCCACGTCACAGCCCATCCTCCACGTGGCTGCTTGAGCAGCCCTTTGAAAGGTGCATCAAATCTCGAGTCTTCTCAAAATCCTGCAGTGGCCCCCCACTTCACTCAGAGGAACAGTCCAAGTCTTCATAACAGCTCACGAGGCCCAAAGCATGTGGCTGCTGTTGCATCTCTGACCCCAGGCCTAGCTTGTCCTCTCTTGCTCACTCTGTTCCAGCCATATGGGGCCTCCCTGCTCTTCCTCAGACTTGCCTGGCACGCTCCTGCTGCTCATCCTTTGTTGGACTGTTCCTTCTGCCTGGAATGTTCTTCCCCTAAGTCTGCATGGCTCACTCCCTCTCCCCTGTTTACACTTTGCTTACATGTCACTTTCTCCCCAAAGCCTTCCCCCATCACTTCAGACAGAAGGGGGACCCTGGGGTGCCCCCCAAGCCCTGCTCCACTTTTTCCATAGGATCTGGATCTATCATCTTCTAGCACTCAATACTATTGACGTGTTTGTTCCATTTATTGTTTGCTTGCTTGTTCACTGATATATCTCAAGCACATGGTAAGTGCTAAATATTCACTGATCAGGCTGGGTGTGGTGGCTCACACCTATAATCCCAGCACTTTGGGAGGCTGAGGTGAGAGAGCAGCTTGAGCACAGGAGTTTGAGACCAGCCTGGGCAACATAGTAAGAGTCCATCTCTACAAAAAGTTAAAAAATTAGCCAGTGTGGTGGTGTGTGCCTGTAGTCCCAGCTGCTCTGGAGGCTGGGGTGGGAGGAGCCCTTGAGCCCAGGAGGTTGAGGCTGCCATGAGCCGAGATCATGCCACTGTACTCCAGCCTGGGCAACACAACAAGACTCTCTTAAGAAAACAAACAAACAAAATATATATAAATATATAATTTTTAAAATATATATTTACATACTTTAATATATATATTTTATATATATATATATATATATATATATATATATATTTTCCCTCCTTCTGGGCTACTGAGGCCCAGAGAAGGTAGGTAATTTGCTGAAAATGTTTTGTTCTGACACCGTCTTTTCTTTGAAATGCTGTTGTAAGCCAGGCTCCCACACAGCAGAAAGATTAGTGTGGGTGTTCATCTCTAGTGTATTTAATGGTGGTCCTGATTTTTACACCAGTGAGATGGATATCTTTGGTCTGTGGACAGAGACTCCATTTTGGGGTCCTTGGTCTAACTTCCACATGGATCCTACAAGCCCTATACTCATGCTCAGTGCCCTTTCCTCCTGCGGTCACTGACTGTAGATTCTACTCGGAACAGTGGCCCAGGCTGTCCTTGTTCCGTACTCGAAAGCATGAGGGGGAGGCTGGAACCAGGCAGTCTGAGATTGAGCCCAGCTCTGATGAGTTAGGCTGTGTCCTTGGCCTTGCTAAGCCTCAGTTTCTTCATCTAAAACGTGGATATAGAAGTGGCCTTATACAGTTGCAGGAGGATTTAGTCCTTCTAACAAGTATTTATGGAGCACCTGTCATGTGCCACCTGCTATCTGAGGGTTTGGGGAGACAATGGTGGTCAAGGCAAAGAAAATCCTTTCCCTTATGGAACTTACATTCTATGGCTTGAATGAAATGTCCTCTTAAATGCTCAAGAAATGTTAGCTGTTATTACTGTTGTTGTCATTATTACTGTTAGGTCAGTTCTTTGATCAGTCAGCACCAAACCTTTCTCCAGATGAGGCTTTCTCTTCGCTGGATATGACTTGTAGAATATTGACGTGACTTTAAGTGCAGTGCAAGACGCAAATTGACTCCATGTTAATTTGGCTCACTGGGTGATCACCAGGCAGGCTTAGCTAACTACATCCATGAAGAGGATTAAAGAGTGTCTCATTTGTGTAGACCATGCTCTTAAACTGTTCCACATACAAACAGAGATGATAATACCAGCTCACAAGAACATAGAATTTTCCATGTACAGACCACAGGTCTAAATGCTTCACAACTATTAACTCATTTAATGATCACAATGACCCTACATGGTTGATGCTACTACCATCTCCATTTTATAGATGAGGAAATTGAGTCCCAGAGAGGAAAGTAACTTCTTTAAGGTTTTACAAGTGAGTGGCAAAACTAGGCTTTAGATTCAGGCAAGGTGGTCCAGCACCCATGCTCTTAACTGTGACTGTGGCCTTCAGCTTAAGGCCTCACCCCTCTAATACCTGCTTTGAGGCAACCCCTCCCTGCCTGAGGCAAACCAAGCAGACATGGTACATACCGTCAGGAAGTTTGTGAGTGAGGGGAAGGACATCAGGACCTGCAGCAGGTTCCCACTGCATGAGAAGCCATCTCCCACATAGCCCACCTTGCAGGTGCAGTTCACATCTGGAGGGCAGAGGCACACAGGGTCCCACACAAGTAAGGCAGGGGCCAGGGCTGCACTGCTTCTGCTTGGGGAGTGACTGGCCAGGCTGAGGATTGCTCAGCAGCTGTGTGGCCCAGAACCTGAAGTGTAGCTGGGGCGGTTACCTTTCATCCGATAGCAGAAGACATCCCACATTTCACTCTTGTTGGGTCTAGGTCCATAGTCCACTATCCCAACCACACCAGAGCCACAGTTCTGGGAGGCGAAGGCTGTGGGGTAGGCAACCCGCCCGGTCTCCAGCCAGCCTGCTGAGCACAGGTGGTACTTGGCCTGCAGGGATACAGACAGGGCCATGGGTCAGCTGCAAGTTCATGTGTTGTGGCATCACTTGGTTAATGTCTGATTCCCCTATTAGGCCATAAAACCCATAAAGTCTCACTTTGCCTATTGCACCTCTGTGCCTGGCACACAGTAGGTGGTCATTAGATGTTGACTGATTGATTGAGCCACTGGGTGAACAAAAGTGTCCTCTCTTTCTTGTAGGTGCCCAGGTCTTTCATACTCATTTCTCTTCTCTCTGCTCTTGAGAAAGAATTTGCTGTCATCCATTGATACTAGGTGCAAATTTTTCTGCTAATGGGTTGGTAGAACTCTGATGATAGAACTCAAATTTTTTTTTTTTTTTTGAGGTGGAGTCTTGCTCTGTCACCCAGGCTAAAGGGCAGTGGCATGATCTTGGCTCATTGCAACCTCCATTTCCCAAGTTTAAGCAATTCTCCTGTCTCAACCTCCTGGGTAGCTAGGATTACAGGTGTGCACCACCATGTGCAGCTAATTTTTGTATTTTAGTAGAGATTGGGTTTCTCCATGATCAGGCTGGTCTTAAACTCCTGACCTCAAGTGATCCACCCGCCTCTGGCTCCCAAAGTGCTGGGATTACAGGCGTGAGTCACCACGCCTGGCCTAGAACTCTAATTCTTCATCATAATATCATCATTGCTCTCATCGTTATTATAATTATTGTCATCCTCCCCATCATCACCACCACCATTATCATAATCACCACAACCACCATCATCATCATAAGACTTATTGGGAGCTTATCTGGGGTCAGGTTCTCTTGCAAGAGTTTTTCATGTGTCAACACCTTTAACTCTCAATCAACCCTATGAGGTGGGAACGTTTTAAATCCTTATACAATTGAGAAAATTGAGGCAAAGAGAAGTAACTTGCTCAAAGTCACACAGCTGGCAACTGGCATTCAAACCCAGGTGGTCTACTATTCCAGATCTTTTAATAATCTTAAAAATTGAGTTCCTACTGTGTGCCATATTACATTTAGTCCTTCCACAAACATTCCAGGTAAGTCAGAGATTTTAGTGGCTTGATATCAAGGCCACATGACCAGCAAGCAGGAGAGCAGAGATTCAGATTCTCCTTGAGTCTGGGTCCTGGCATCAAAGGCTTTATTCCTTGGTAAAGGAATACCAGGTCTGAAAAAGTAGAGATTTGTTAGTGATGGAGGTTGGAGAAGGGGCTTTAAAATCATACGTACTAGGCATTCATCTCCTCTGCTCCCAGTGATAAACCACCAGCCTGGAACTCCAACCTGCTAGCTTTTCCAAATGGGTAGGACTTCTAGTTTTAGAGGTTAAGAGAGCAGCACCTGATCAAAGAGCTCCGTTTCCTTCCTGCCATATCTGAAAGCTTGTGCAGTCTCTTTTTTCTTTTCACAGTCCCTCCAGCCAGAGAGAGCCCCAGCTATTCCAGGGAAACTCCACTGTTTTGTGGGTTCGGGGAGATCCACCCTAGGCTCGTGGGTATTGCTGTCTTTCTGGTTTCCAGCTGTGAGGGATGCACTTCCAGTCTCCACTTCTGCCTTGGCAGTTGAATGTCATGGTTGAAATAGACTTTTAAGAGTCAGGTCTACCCTTAAATATTGGATCTGCCACCTCTTGGCTGGGTGACATCAGGCACTGTACTTAAACTTTCTAAGCCTCAGTTTCCCTATCTGTAAAATGGGAATAGTAAGTAACACCTGCTCTGCCTTCAGAGATGTTGTAAGGATGAACAATAATATCCACGAAGTACCCTGCACAGTCCCTGACACATAATAGATGCCCAATAAATGGACATGGTGACTGTTAGCATTGTTCCAGGAGCTACCTGCACTCCCTTGCTTGAAGGCAACAGCTCAAGTCTTCCCCATCTTAAGAAAGGGCTGCACTTCCGCCCCTGCAGACTCTGTCTGCACAGAATCTGCTAACTGAAGACCCACCTTCTGGGCATAGGAGAGCTGGTTGTAGGTTGCCATGGTCGCAGCTTCGTTGGCACAGGCCTCTCTGGCTTTGTCAAAGGTCAGCTTATACTGGCCCAGTGGGGAGCGTAGATGGAACACCCCAACAGTGGTATCTGGATGAGGAAGAGGAGGAATCGCCCAGGTCAGCCCACCAGGTTGGCAGTGTTTCCAACAATGGACTCTGAAGGACTTTCAAAATGAAGGCCAGCTATACCCCAGGGTGTCTCCAGAAGCCACTTTCCCTTCAAGTTATGTTGAAGTACATCATTTAAAATATTTCTTTTCTAACTATAAAACTAGCATATGTTCATTGTAGAAATTAGGGCAATACAGAAAAGTAAAAACATAAGCAAAAACCACCTACAATTCTATTCTCCAGAAATAATCATTACTCCATGGCTAACATTTTGGTGCATTTCCTTCTAGAATTTTACTTTATTTTTTGGTAAATTTTTAATTTGATATAATTTGACATTCTTTCAATCTTCTTTCCTATTTATTCATGTTATATATACTCTAAATGTGGTAGCATACTGCCGATGTAGTTTTCATAAATCTTTTTAAAACAACATTAAATCATAATTATATCCCAAAATTATAAAATTTCTCTGGTAACATGATTTTCTCCTCCTCCCCATATTTATAATTGAAAAATTTGTTGTGACCTTTACAGCTATAAAAAACACATTAAAGTGAGTTTCTGCCCAGGGCTGTGTGTTTTCTGACCCCTGCTGTGCTTTTTAAAAAAGTTTTAAAAATTCATTTCCCCCTAAGATACTGGAAGATTTTTATCATTGGTTCATAGCTGATACCTTTCCTAACCAAACAATTCAGTGCAGACACCAGCAATAGTTCAAGAAGCAAGTCACATTTTTATATTGTCAAGTTCATTGTATAATGCCACAAAAATGATACTTTCTACACCAAAGAAGACTAAGTTTTTCTCGTTTGAACATATTTCAGTAGCACAGTGCGTAAGTCAAATGATCTTGGCCATATCTGAAATGCAAACACCAATTTAACAGCTTGGAGAAGTATGGAAAAGTGTTCCTTGTCTCTTTATTGAGACAACAAAATACCTTACAATGAATTTGAGTAGATGTATATCAATATATTTTATCATCATTTACTATTAGATATATATGTTATTTCTAATTTTCTGTGATGTTAAATAATGGTGGGATGGGTATGCTTATCTTTTTTCAATTCTCAGATTATTTCTGTAGGATGGGGTCCTGGAAACGGAACCATCAGGTCTCAGTATGAGTTATTTTAAGGCTGTCTGCTGCACACATTACCAAATCGGCTGCAAATCATGAAGGCAGTTTGCCCTCCTATGAACTGTGTGAGGGCAGGCGCTTCCTCCTGAATGTGGGATGGTTCTGTAACTGTGCCTATAGGGAAAGCTGGGGCATTCTCCCAAGCTAATGGTAACCACACAGCTCCAACAGAAGGGAGGTCCAACGTGATGCACAGTCACTTAGTATCACTGCCAACATTTTCTTGGCATTCATAAGAAAACAGAAGAGAAAAGCCCATGGGAGAAGCTGGACCACACTCTATGGTCTGGGTAGATTTCCACTTGGAAGTGGGCTTTGGGAACAGGTGGGACAGGCTGAATGAACTGTGTCCTAAAGAAAAAGCCAAGCTCTTCTTGACTTCACAGTCCCAGGGGCAAATAACTTCCAAATCAGCTGGTCCCAGCTGTGCATTTTTATCCCCATGCTAAGTAGCAACTGCCCATAAAATCTTTCTGCTTGGAAGTGCCCCTGTACCTAGACCATAGAATATCCCCAACCAAGCTTTCAAACCTCTCGTCACCTTCCCTCCCCAGCTGCTTTAACCCAGCACCACCACTGCATTTGGTCTCAGGATGGAAACTTTATGTCATGGCTGAGCCTTTCCTTTTCTCTATTCTGTGTCCATTGTTAGTTCTTTCAACCTCATCTCACTCCTCAGTACAGACCCTGCCACTAGGGGGTCACAGCCTTCATGTGTCTTCCTCATGGCTTCATCCTTCTCAGCTGACCCTTGATCATTCTCTCCTGGCCATGCTGTCCTGGCCAGCAGAAATGGCTTGCTAGCTCCTCTAGCCCAATTCAAGCCTCCAGGAAGTCTCCACCAGAGACCACATCTGTCAAACAAACCCAACCCTGGAGAGATCCAGTACATACTGATTAGCCATAAAGTGCAGTGCCCTGAGTCACTTTCTGAACCACTGAAGTCCCTCTGCCTTGGCTAGGAACTATGTTTGTGGGTCCTTTCTGGCTTCCTCCGTTGGGTTTCAAGATGTCCTATTGCCCATGCCTCTGCACTTCTATGTGGCTTTTCGCTTTCCTCAGCCTCCCAAGTAGCTGGGATTACAGGCGCGCACTGCCACAACCGGCTGATTTTTTGTATTTTTAGTAGAGATGGGGTTTTGCCATGTTGGCCGGGCTGGTCTCCAACTCCTGACCTCAAGTGATCCATCTGCCTTGGCCTCCCAAAGTATTGGGATTACAGGCTTGAGCCACCAGGCTTGGCCTGTTTTGTTTTTCTTCTTTCCCTTGAGGGTCCCTTCCCCAGGCCTGAAGAGGAGGGTGCTTTGGGCCATAGGCCCTGGTCACACTAACCCTGGAAGTGGAGGTCGACACATTTGGCGTCTGCATGGCACTGCCCATTGTCCTGTAAGCAGCGGTCAATGGGCAGCTGCTCCGGCTCACAGTTCAGCCCATCTCCGACATAGTGACTTTTACACTCACACTTGTGCTTGCCCTGTGGAGGGAGAGTGGGAAGAGATGAAAAAGTTCCTTCTCTAGGACCCCAGGATGCCCAAGTGCCCATGGGACCAATGTCCAGCCTAGGAGGTGTTCAGATGGACCAAGAGAACGTGCCTTTCCTGTCCAGTGGGAATAACTGCTACGTCCTGCTTTTATGCAGGCTTATGATGAAACCTCATCCTTTACATCTCAGTTCAAATGTGACTTCCTCAGAGACAGCCTCCCTGACCACCCTACATAAGTAGCTTTTCCATTCCCTTCTATCACATTGGCCTGATTTATGTTCTTCACAGGGCTCCTTGTGCTCTCTGAAAAAATTCCATGCATTTGTTTCTGTACAGTGCATTGCCCCCTCTCTCTACTTGTGCACAAGCACCAGGAAAGCAGGGACTCTGTCTTTTTGTTGTAACCCTGGGACCTGCAAGAGCACATAGTAGGTGCACAATGACCACTGGTTGAATCAATGAATGATCTCCTTTAATCCCCACAACAACTCTATGATGTCTGCATTATTATGAGGCCCACTTTACAAATGAGAAAACTGGGGCTCAGAGAGTAATTAGCCACCTCCAGGTCACACAGCTTGTCAGTCCAGGAGGTAAGATGCAAAAGCAATCTGACTCTAGAACCACCTTTATAACCAGGAACGGACATTATCTTGCATCATCTTTTCGGCACTTTTCCTGCCACATCTTACCAGCTTTTTTTTTTTTTTTTTTTTTTTTTTTTTTTGTGAGACAGAGTCTTGCTCTGTCACCCAGGCTGGAGTGCAGTGGCACGATCTCGGCTCACTGCAAGCTCCGCCTCCTGTGTTCATGCCATTCTCCTGC
The DNA here is from genome assembly GCF_000001405.40 of Homo sapiens. Classification (NCBI taxonomy): domain Eukaryota; kingdom Metazoa; phylum Chordata; class Mammalia; order Primates; family Hominidae; genus Homo; species Homo sapiens. Next base: position 103,749,743 of record NC_000012.12, on the reverse strand, counting down.
CTCAGCCTCCCGAGTAGCTGGGACTACAGGTGCCCGCCACCATGCCCGGCTAATTTTTTTTTTTTTTTGCATTTTTTTAGTAGACATGGGGTTTCACCGTGTTAGCCAGGATGGTCTTGATCTCCTGACCTCGTGATCCATCTGCCTCGGCCTCCCAAAGTACTGGGATTACAGGCGTGAGCCACCGTGCCCGGCCAGCTTTTTGTTTTAATAAGCCTTTTATTTAGGATAATTTTAGATAGATAGAAGGGTGGCCAAAGAGCAAACTCTCCTATACTCTCTACCCACTTTCCCCTGATGTCCAACATAACTATAGCACATTAGTCAGAGCTAAGAAATTAATGTTGGTACATTACTGTTAACTAAGCAATACACTTAAGAATTTAACCAGTTTTCCATGGACGTCCTTTTTCTGCCTAGGGGACTACCTTGCATTTAGCCCAATGACTTTTAACAAGAAACAGACTGTGCTAGAAAAAATGTTTAGGAAGAGTCCAGGAGATAAGCAGAGTATGGGAGGTGGAAAGGCAAGGAGGAGCGAAGCCCACGGCGCTGCTCCCAAATTTCCCTGGGAAAGAGCGACTCACCGGGCCTGTCATCTTACAGGTGGCGTGCTCGTGACACCCTCCGTTAAGGCCGTCTGCACAGGGGTCTATCTCTGTGCAGCTGTGCCCGTCCCCTTTGTATCCCTTCTGGCAGCTGCAGGAGACCTTCGTGCCCTTCTGGGAGCATCTGGCCACCTTTGCACAGCCCCCGTTGTCCTGTTTGCAGAAATCCACAACTGCAAGAGCAGAGGAGAGAGGGCTCAACTTACCACCTTCTGTGGAACTAGGGCTTCAGGTCAGGGTATGGGGCACCACAGCACTAGTGGTGTTGGGTGAGTAAATGGGCCCCTGCGTGTTCGTGCTTCTCTCTCCATGCCCTGTGGCCTCTGTGCTGGCCTTTGCAACATGAATATTTTTGTGACACCCTCATAGATGCAGCCTGATGACATCTGTCCGCTTCTGCCCCCTTTGTCATATACCTCCAGGCTTGACTTTGGTATCAGTTTTCAGAATAAATTTGGATTTTTAATGTTAGGACAGTGTGTGTGTGTGTGTGTGTGTGTGTGTGTGTGTGTGTGTGTGTGTGTGTGTGTATGTGTGTGTGTGTGTGTGTGGTGTAGAGTTAGTACAATATTGAGCACCCTGTGAGATAGACATTGTTGTCCCCATTCTGTAGATGAACAAACTGAGACTCAGCTTAACTGACCTGACAAAGCTAAAACAGCTAAAATGTGGCCTGGCTGAAGATTTAAACCCAGGTTGGTTTGCCTCCAAAAATCCATGCTTTCCTCACTGTGCTGCCTCTTAGAACCTTTGTTTTTATGATCCCCCAAATATCGACCCAACGATAGATTAGCTCCAGCCTCAGGAGTAGCTGAAAAGCCATCTGCATTTATGCAGCCACTTGAGACCCTGGAAGAATAAATACAAGGACAAGAAGACTCATTCTAAGGATGGGAGGGTGGGAAAAGAGAATCTAGGTCTTTGTTGCCATTGTTGAATGCTGACTCACTTCTGGAATGCCTTGTAGCTGAATAAAGAACAGGTATAGCAAGATCTAATTTGTGTAAAGAAAGTATATATCTCTGTGAATATTTATCCATGAAAAATATTAGAAAGTACATGTGGCTGAGACTGCTGATTTTTCCTCAATACCTAGTCTCTGTTTTCTTCTTCTTCTTCCCTTTTTTTTTTTTTTTTTTTGGAGACAGAGTCTTGTTCTGTTGCCCAGGCTAGAGTAGAGTGGCCTGATCTCAGCTCACTGCAACCTCTGCCTCCTGGGTTCAGGTGATTCTCCTGCCTCAGCCTCCCAAGTAGCTGGGATTACAGGCACCTGTCACCATGCCCGGCTAATTTTTGTAGATTTAGTAGAGATGGGGTTTCACCATGTTGGCCAGGCTGGTTTCAAACTCCTGACCTCAAGTGATCTGCCCACCCCGGCCTCCCAAAGTGCTAGAATTACAGGTGTGAGCCATTGCTCCCAGCCTAGTCTCTTTTTTTCTGTAATAATAGATTTTCAGGTGGGTTCATGGTTGCCCAATAAAAGACGACATTTCCCAGGTTCCCTTGTAGCTAGGCATGACCAATGATGAGATTCCAGCCAATGGGATGGGAGCAGATGTGATTTTTAACAATTCCTAGTTTGCATTCTTAAAGGGAAGGAGGTTTGCCTCCTTCCTCTCCTTCCATCTTGCTGTCCAGGCTGGGCTTATGGTATTGGCCACCTCAGGTGAGGTGAGTGAACGATGGCAGAGCCACAAGATAAAAGGAGTTCAGAAAAGGAGTTCAGCCCCCAAAATGAGCTTTCAGAGTGAAACTGTATTAGCCCTGAATACTTCCAACCTGTTATATGAGACAATAGGAAACATCTGCCTTATTTATGCCACTGTTCATTTGGGCCTCTGTATGGCTGAACCTATATCCTAACTACTATAGAGGGATATTGCAGTGTTCACAGTGGTTCTCACCTAGTGGTGAGAGTATGTTTAGGTTTAACTTAAAAAAATGGTGTTGTGTATTTTCTGATTTTTTTTTGAAGGCTGGATTACTTGTAGAGTTAGAAAAACACTCTAAAGTTAGCCAGGTGCGGTGGCGCATGCCTGTAATCCCAGCTACTTGGGAGGCTGAGGCAGGAGAATTGCTTGAACCTGGGAAGCGGAGGTTGCAGTGAGCCAAGATTGCACCATTGCACTCCAGCCTGGGCAACAAGCGTGAAAGTCCATCTCGGAAAAAAAAAAAAAAAAAAAAAAGAAAGAAAAACATTCTAAAGTAAAGTGCATCCCAGTTTGCAAAACAATTTTGAAACCCTGACCTAGAGGGTGAGCAGATCAAGCATGAGCACACCCATTAAAGAAACTGAGTCATAGAGAGGGTAGGTGCTGCTGAAGTGGCCCAGACAGGAAGGAGGGCTAGGATGAAGCCCAGGCACTGTGAGCAAGTCCTGCTCCTCTCCCACACCATGCTGCTATTTCACCTGTGCACAAAGGTGGCTTACCTGTGCATGTGATTCCGTCACCTTCATAATCCAGGTTACACTCACACGTGTTGTTCTCCTTACAGGTGGCATGAGCAGAACAAGGAGGCGTACACACTGCAGGCAAAACTGCAAAGAAAGGGGCCACTTTCATTCTGTACCCATGGTGTGAAGAGTTAAAACCCATCTAAGGAGACTTTCCAAGACTCTCTCTGGACGACCACTGTGTTCATAAGTGCCCCTGTACAGCAGGAAGATGGGGTGATTTGCTAAGGTCTTTTCTAGCCTTGGAGATTCTGGGATTCTAGAATTACTCTTTTATAGTAAGACATGATCTCTGCAATGTCATTGAGATTTATATGAGAAAAAATGTTCTTTAGGGGCTATCAATTAAAACTTTATACCACAAAACTTATTAGCAGGAATGAACTTGGCAGATTAGCTCTCTGGCTCTAAGGACAGGGGTTCCCGATGGATATGGTTAAATTGGAGGAGAAATTCCATGGCCTTCTGAGGGCACCACTGAGCTAGGGAGAAGCCTGGAGCTTTGGTATTGGCTGGGGTTACAGTGCATGCAGGCAGCAGGAGGCCATGTAGTGCTTAGGGGAGGAGGGAGGAGGCAGAAGGAACAGGGAGGAGGAACTCAAGTTAGCCATACTGCTGCAACCCATGAAACTTCAGGTTGCTAAAGCCCACAGGTAGGGCCTCGCCATGCCCTGTGACCCCAGGGAGGATTAAATGACAGTCATTCACATGGATAATTCAACCAGCACATTTCAGATCTACCAGAACACAGGGCTTCGAGTATAAAGGAGACATCAGAAAACTGACCACCTAGTAAGGATCGAGCTATGGCAATGATTATAAATGATGAGTGTGATAATGGCAGCTGCTTGTTTTGAGCATCTGCGTACACTGGGAACTTCAAAACCATGCTCGCTGACCCTGCCAGCAATCCTTGCGTTGCAGAATGTGTAGCATGGAGTTCTTTTTAAGGATAAGCAAGTCAAGGCTCAGAGAGTGTGGTTCTCTAAGGCCATTCATCTAGTAAGTAGCAGAACCAGGGGTCAGACCCTGGTCTCGGGCCTTCAAAGTGATTTCCATGAAACCACTCAGCCTCTGTGTCAGTACCCATCTGGGCCCCAAAATCACCAAGACAAGGCACAGTCCTTGCTTGAACCTGGGATTCTGTGCTTGAGGTGGGTCCTATAATCATACAGGATGACATGCTAGTTTCATAGGTTTGAGTTAAATCTTTTCATCTAGTTTTACTGCAAGTCTCCATCCTCCTGAGGCCCGGGGCTACAGATCTGAATTATCTTTTACCACATGGACCTGCTTTGTCACTTTTTTCAGATGTCACTCAGACTCCCAACCTCACTTGTATGCTCTTGGCAGTGTCCACTGCAGCCCTGGGCTGCCAGCAGCTGACCACTCCCATGACTGACCTGCCTGAGTGTCACACGAGGGGCCTGTCCACCCCGTTTCACAGAGGCACTGCCCGGAGCCCGTGATGCCATCATCGCACTGTCCGTGGTCTGAGCAGCCACAGGCTGTAAACAAATTAGGATATGGTCAGTCATCAGGGGTTGAGACCCAATCAACCAGCTCCCTGACCCCTTGTTTGCTATGCATTTTCAGTTGTGGGAGGCACCATGCTTATGTCACAGTCATTCATTCATTCATTGAAACATCTAAAAAATAACTTATTCAGGGACTATCACAGGCCAGGCACTGCTAAGCGATAAGGTTACAGGGAAAAACATAATAGAGAAGGTCCCTGTTCTCATGGGGCTTACAGTCTCAGAGTGCCCAGCTGTTGATCATATAATTATAAGTGAGATGAATGTTATAATCACAGTAGAGAGTATCATGGGGTACGCAATGAACATTTAGGGAGATCATCTCATCTGGGGCTTCCTGATGGAGAAATCTATTTAAAAGTAAAATTTTGGCTGGGTGTGGTGGCTCATGTCTGTAATCCCGGCACTTTGGGCGGCTGAGGTGGGAGGATTGCTTGAGGCCCGGTCAAGACCAGCCTGGGCAACATGGTGCAACCCCGTATCTACAAAACAACAACAACAAACAAAAATTAGCCAGATGTCGTGGTACACGCCTTTAGTCCCAGCTACTTGGGAGGCTGGGATGGGAGGACTGCTTGAGCCCAAGATGTTGAGGCTACAGTAAGCTGTGATCACACCACTGTATACCAGTCTGGGTAACAGAGTGAGACCCTGTCTTAAAAAAAAAAAAAAAAAAAAAAAGTAAAATTGTGGCCAGGTGCAGTGGATCATGCCTGTAATCCCAGTGCTTTGGGAGGCTGAAGCAGGAGGATTGCTTGAGGCCAGGAGTTTGAGACCAGTCTGGGGAACATAGGGAGACTCAATCTCTACAAAAAATTTAAAAAATAAAAAATTATTTGGGTATGGTGGCATGTGCCTGTAGTCCTAACTACTCAGAAGGCTGAGGTGGGAGGATTGCTTGAGCCCAGGAGGTTGAGGCTGCAGTGAGCCATAATCCCGCCACTGTATTTCAGCCTGGGTGATAGAGTGAGATTTTGTCTCAAAAAAAAAAAGTAACATTAAAAAATATGTACCAATTCCACCACCTCTCACCACCTCCAGCACTACCGTACTAGTGCAAGTCACCATTAGCGCTGGCCTGGGTTGTTGCATTATTTTCTCCAAGGGGCCCTGCTTCTGTGCCTGTTCTCCTACAGATACCCTCCCCAGAGCCATCCTTTCTAATCTCTTCACAACATCCCTCTGTTCACAACCCTTTGCTGGCCTCCTGTCACACATAGAGCTAAAGACTTTTCATTGGCCAAGAAGATCTGGCCCCTGGTGACCTTCAGATTGCATTCTCTTCCTCTCTTCCTCCTCTTTGCCCACTCCGCTCAGCCACCCTGGTCTTCTTGCTGTTCTGTACACACCAAGCTGGCTTCTGTCCCAGGGCCTTTGCACTTGCTCATCTCACCTGGAGGAAAGCTGTTCCTCTGGTCTGCACTGTCCACTATCTACGCGTGGCTATTTAAATTTAATTAAACATTTGCTTCCTCAGCCACACGTTTTGGGTGCTCGATAGCCACATGTGCCTAGTGGCTACCATACTGGCCAGTGGAGTCATGGAGTCTTTCCCGCACTGCCGAAAGTTTGATTGGCCTGCTCTTCATACCTCATGCTTGGTCCCCTTGCGTCTGTTAGGTCTCTACTCAAATATTCCCTATGTGAGGTGTCTTCTAAAACAATGTCTCCTTTCATTCTTCACCCTTCTACCTGCTTCTTTGCTTTTATATCCTTTATAACTATTTTTTAGAAAAATTTGTGTCTGTAAGCCTTTTGAGAGCTGGAATTTTGTCCCTGTCAGTCCCTAAACCACAAATCCCTAGACATTAGAAATATTCAGCCGGGCACAGTGGCTCACACCTGTAATCCCAGCACTGTTGGGAGGCTGAGGCGGGTGGATCACCTGAGGTCGGGAGTTTGAGACCAGCCTGACCAACATGGAGAAACCCTGTCTCTACTAAAAATATAAAATTAGCCGGGTGTGGTGGCGGGCGCCTGTAATCCCAGCTACTCAGGAGACTGAGGCTGGAGAATCACTTGAACCTGGGAGGCAGAGGTTGCAGTGAGCTGAGATTGCGCCATTGCACTCCAGCCTGGGCAACAAGAGCGAAACTCTGTCTCAAAAAAAAAAAAAAAAGAAAAAAAAATTGCTGGCTCTTGAGCAAATCACTTAAGCTCTTTGTACCTTGGTTTCTTCATCTGCTACTTGCAGATAATAACAGTACCTATCTCAAAGGGTGGTTAAGAGGATTGAATTGTAAAACATTTGTGCCTGGCACATAGTAGGCACTTAATCAATGTCAGCATTCACTATTAGTAAGGACTTAGTAAATCCACATTGGTTGAATGATCGAATGAACATTGTTCAGCCACATCTTGCCTTAGTGGCTGCTGGGGACAAGTTTCACTTCTAGAGGCGAAGCTTTTTCATTGGAAACTGGGAATGCATCCAAGGAGGAAATAAACACATAGGGCAGGCAGATTGGAGGGGTGTGGCTGAGAGAAAGGACAAAAGGATGCCTCCAGGTCAGGCAGATGGCATGAACAAGGACAGGGAGCACACAGTCAAAAAACAAGCTCTAGCACGGAGAAGCGGCGCCACATACGCAGACAATCAGGCCCGAATCTCCCCGGCCAGCACATCTCACACGCCGTCCCATTGAAGCCGGTGTTGCATTTACACTCTCCGGTGGCCGAGTACTGATCAAGGCAGACACCCCGGTTATTACACGGGGCATCTGGTCCTCCAGGGCAGGCTGGAAGAGATGAAACAGCAGTGACTCAACAGTCTCCCAAAGCCAGAGCAGCTCAGCACCTTTGTAAATGTGCTGTGGCATCTGACTTCTGTTAGCCCAGAGGGACCATCGCCTTCAGTGTCAGTGGATATTTAAGGCACGTCACTGGCCTATGGGACATGAACTTTATGGTATCTGATATGATTCTGTCTTGGCAGGGTGATACACTGAACTGTGCACTGTATTTGGGGGTTTGTGCACTGGATTTGAGGATATCTGGGTTGAGTAATGAACTTGCTCTGAGCTTTTGTTTTCTTAGATCTAAATGATGATGATAATAATGATGATACAGTGTCTGCTTGACCTATACCCATGTTGTTATTGTGAAGATCAAATGAGGCATTATAACTGAGAACATTTTGAAAATATAAAGCACTGAACAAATATTAGAATGATACTGATTTTCATGAATGGTCCACACTTTAGTGATGGAGGGTGGAGCTGGGTGGTCATGGGGGCTCTCAACCCAGAGTATTCTCAGTGAGATTATGATGAATGGAGTATGCATGCTAGTAAAAATCACAGCTGCTGAAGACAGACCAGTGGGACCTTGGGTTTACTTCTTGTCCTCTCTGTGCCTCTGTTTTCTCATTTACAAAATGGGGTCAACAGGCCAGGCACGGCGGCTCACGCCTGTAATCCTAGCACTTTGGGAGGCCAAGATGGATGGACTGCTTGAGCTCAGGAGTTTGAGACCAGCCTGGGCAACATGGCGAAAACCCAGCCTATGAAAAATACAAAAAAATTAGCTGAGTCTTGTGGCATGTGCCTGTAGTCCCAGCTACTTGAGAGGCTGAGGTGAGAAGATCACTTGAGCCCAGAGGGTTGAGACTGTAGTGAGCTGTGGTCCTGCCACTGTACTCCAGCCTGGGTAACAGAGTGAGACCCTCTCTCAAAAAAAGTCAGTGGGGAGGGGAAGACAACAATGGAACCTACTCCCTAGGGGTTGTTGCCCAGATTAAATGTTTTGATATGTATGGGAAAAAGCACTCAATAAAACTCAATAAATGTGCCTACTTAGAACAACATGTAGCAGATAGTGCTTTTGAGGCATTTGTTACGTGCACCTGTTGATGTATTGTTGGCTAGAAGTTAACACAGGGGTTTCAGAATGGGCCCAAATGTGCTTTGGCAAGGAGCCCTTTCCTGATGAGGTAACAGAGGGAGCCAATGCTATACATCCTCTACCAGGGACAGGGGTGCGCTCAGGAAATTATGGCCCATACATACTGTGTCAGTACATCACCTGCCAAGGGAGAGTCACATCAAAGTCTTTAAACATGCTTATCAATATCATGGAAATCATGTTGCACAGCATCAAAAATGAAATACGGTGTATTTAGCACCATAATAAATGTCTATGCTGTAATGTCAAGGGAAAAAGCAGACACACAATTACAATATATGCACAGCAGGATCTCAACTCGATAAAAAAAATATGCCAAAGTAGAAGGAATGATACACAACTCTTCAGAGTTCTGGGGTCTGGGAATCATTATTAGCAGTGTTTCCCCCATCCCCCTATAATTTTGGTACATTCAAAGACTGGACAACGAGCAGGAGCATATTACCACTTTTAGAGTTGCGAGGGGGGAAGAGGCACCCTCACCCTGACAGTCTCGCCCGAAGTAGCCCTTGCAGCACCTGGGGATCTGTATCACCAGGCTGCACCGCTCCCGGCAGCCTTCCAGGTTCCTCTTGAAGGGCAGGTTGTAGAGACACTTCTGCTTCACACCCTAAGGGAAGAGAGTGGACCATCCCTTCACTTACCACTGCAGGGACTAGGGCTCTGGGGCTCTAGTCTGTGCCCTCATGGAGGTCTTAGGTACTGCCCAAATAAAAAATGGGACTTCCAGTGTGAGCCAACTTTTTTTTTCCAAGGTGATATTTTTCCTATGGGAGTCAACAGAAACACGCAGATAGGGGAGGGAGTAGATCTAGGGTCCATGGGAAGATTTCTCCCCAGTCTCAAGGGGAAGAACTTTCAGACCCTTAGAGTGCTCTGCAAGTGGCATGGTTGCCTGGGGAGGGAGTGGGAAGGAGGTAGCTTGCTGTCATGGAAGGGGTGTGGGGCAAGGCTCCCAAATTGTAGGCAGGGAGGGTATGAGTTAGATTTTGTTTTGTAGAGATATTTTTGTTATAGGTTTTACTAGTAGACTAGAAAGAGCTTGACTTTGGAATAAGTAATACAAAACAGCATTTAATGAGCACTTACTATGTGCCAGGCACTTCAGTGTACCCACATTTTTAAAATTTACTTTTCCTAATAGCTGCACAGAGAGTCCATTATTAGCTCCATTTTACAGAGGCAAACCTGATAGGTCATAAGATTTGTCAAAGATTATGGAATTTGACCCCATACCTGTGGACTCCAAATTTCATTGACTTAAACATTACTCTCCATTGCTCTCTGGACTTTCATCCTAGCATTGCTCCTTACTAGCTGTGTAGCCTTGGGCTGATTGCTTACCCTCTCTGAGACCCATTTTTCTCATAAGTAAAGTGTAGGTAATAATAGCTTCCTATGAGTATTATAAAGAGGGATAGAGTAATGAGTATATAAAGGCTCAGCACAGAGCCTGGGACATGGAGAGCAGCCAACAAAATGCAGCTATTTTTATAATCATAATTATCTTCTAAGTCCTTCTAGGTCTACCATCCCATGACTTTTCTAGACAGGTCCTAGAACATGGGTTGACAGGTTGCCTGGGCTGAGAATATCTATCTTACCCCATTGGCTTTGTTGTTGAAAGAATGACATAAATTACATTTATGCAACATACGTGCACGGGCACACACACACACACACACACACACACACACACACACACACACACAGGTCTGATAATGAAACAGACCTATGGCTCTCCAAACATTATCACTGCAGTCTTAATTACCTTTGGTTTACTCCACCTTGGGCAGCTGGGAGTATTGACACAGCTCCCACACTCCCCCTAGTATGCAAGAAAAGAAACACTTGAAAACCAAGAATATCAGAAAACACAAGGAAATGTTCCTGATTAATACCTGGATGGATTAAGGGCTTAACTAATCTTAAGACTCTGGCTATGATCAAGAATATGAAAACAGGCCAGGCATGGTGGCTGACACCTGTAATCCTAGCACTTTGGGAGGCCAAGGCAGAAAGATTGCTTGAGGCGAGAAGTTTGAGACCAGCCTAGGCAACACAGCAAGACTCCAACTGTAAAAAAAAAAAAAAATTAGCCAGGCATGGTGGCACATGAACCTGTAGTCCCAGCGACTTTGGAGGCTGAGTTGAGGGGATCACTTGAGCCCAGGAGTTCAAGGCTGCAGTGAGCTGTGATTGCACCACTGAACCCCAGCCTGGATGACAGAGCAAGGCCCTATCTCAAGACGACAACAACAACAACAACAAAGAATATCAACACACACACACTAACTTTGCCACAGATAATTCTGAAGATCTGTCTTGGGCATTAGCTCCGTGGTTTTGTTCTCTGAAGGGAAAATCTGTTATACAGAGCTGGACCAGGGCAGTGTCTTACAGGCATATGCTATTAGCAGTGGGACATATGGGTGCAAGTGTTAGTTCCATTTTAAGTTAAATGGTATACTTTTGGCCAATCACAAATACTATTTGAGCCTTAGTTTTATAATAAATAGGGATAATAATTCTTGCTATTTGATCTTCAGAAGATTGATGAGGAAAAATGATTAAATGAAAAATATGTGTGGAATATAATTTGGAAATTAAGAAGACCCCTGTTGTAGAAAGGACAACTGGTTTCATCTCCTACTTTGGCTGACTGGGATCCAAAAAATTTGGGATAGTTATTGAAATTCCTAGGGGATGCCAGGTACTGATATCAACTGGTGACAAACTTTGCCATGTAAAGTCACTTTACCTCTTTGAGACTCAGTTTCTAAATCTACACAATAGGGCAGATGATAACTGTTCCTATTATTGGATTATTGTAGGGGTAAGCTAAGCATTGAACACAATGGCTGGCTTCAGGGGAGTACTCAGTAAAGGTGCTGGATGGATGAATGAGTGAATGTAAAAATGCCTCACACAGTGCAGGGCCTGGGATAGAAGTTCAATCAATATTGTCAAATGAATGAATCAATGGGTAAGTGAATAGAGGTGTGAGTGGCATATCATATTAGACTGACTATGTGAAATTGCCCTTTTCATAGGCTCCAGACTGTCAAATATGGCAATTTCATATGGTGTAATCTGTCAGACATTCAACAAATATTTGTTGAATGCATGAGTGAGTGACTGAATAGAGGGATGTGTTTGAAAACGAATGGCAGTTGGCATATGGTTGGTATCCAAAAACTGTTTTCTCAATGATAAGGGAGTGAATGAGTGGGTGAGTAGATGGGTGGATAAACAAGAATATTCCAGGCTGTGTGGGGCTAAGTAGATGCCTGTTGCTTCTGAGTCTAAAGAACTACATCATTTGGCCCTCAGGTCTTCTGGGTCCTAGTCTTGCTGAGGACAGGCCCTTAATGGTTTCACAACAGGGTCCACACTGGATCATGAGGGCCATTCTTTGGCTTAAGGTTCTCTTACTACACTGTTGTTTTTAGGACTGACCGAGGCATCGAAAGTAGTAAAGGTGTCACAGCGGCCCCCCAGGGTGGGATCAATCAGCAGACAGTCAATGCCGTAGGCCACACCCAGGTCAAACAAGAGCTCCCGCTGCACAATTCTGCAGGTTTGGCCATTCAGAAAGAGGTCACCCTAAGAAAGAAAAAAAAAAAAAAAAAAGAGAAAGAGAGAGAGAGAGAGAGAGAGAGAGAAACAGTCAATCTCTTTCACACATCTCTTCTTTCCCAGCCATGTAACATGGCCAGTAACTGCAAGACTCAGGAAGAACTTAATAAAACCCCATGTATTCATATATTTATCAAATACCCAGCTTGTATTATGTGCCAGATACTGTTCTAAGTCCTTTACCTGTGCTAATTCTTTTAATTCTTACAAAAATCCAAGGTGTCTCTATGGATGTAGCTATTATTATTAGTACCCATTTACAGACGAGGGAACTAAGGCAGTGAGAGGTTAAATGACTTGCCCAGTGAATGGTGGTGTGGGCATTTGCACCCAGGCAGTCAGCCTCAAAGCCTGCCCCCTTGAACCCTCTGCTTCACTTCCTCTACCAAAGGAGAAACGTCAGCAGTGGGTGATAGGTTGGAGCAAGGATGACCTTGCTGTGGTTAGGGATGAACTTCGCTGATGTGCCCTCTTTGTGTGTAGTAACTGAGTCTCCTTATTTAGTGCCAGCACCTAGCAAAGTGCCCGGTTTGGCTTTCTTTCCAGGGTGTACAAGTGACAGGCTTTAACTTTGTAATGATAATTTCTTTTTTCACATGTACCAGGCATAATCAACTGGGCTTTGGAGATATTATTTCATTTAATGCTGGCAATAATCTCAGGGCTTCCTTTCCTGAGGTCACCCAGCTAGTAAGTTGATGGATACATTATTCTTCCAATATACAAAATGCTTTTAGAAAGCTTTTGAGAGGAAAACAAGATAACTCCCAGCATCTATGGATGGGATGGAGATAGTGTGACTCAGTGGAAGGAACACCAGAAAACTGTGGTTAAAGCCTTGCGTGTTCACTCATGTACTATGTGACTATGGGCAAGTCACTGAACCTCTCTGAGGTTCATTGTTTTTTTCACCAGGTAAATAGAGTAAAGGATTTCTAATATAGGGTTGTTATACAGATCAGACTAAATAATACATTGCAAAGTGCTCTGAAAGCTATATCAACACACAGAACAAGCAGAGGGCATTCTTACTATCCTTCTCTGATAGTTGTCTATTTTGGTCTAGGGAGACAGGACAATCCCAAGAGTGCACACTGGGATAACGTACCAGAAGCTGGAATGAAAAGATGTGAATACTCTTCAAAGTCAGTTATAAATTCAATGCAATTCTAATTCAAATACCAAAGGGATACTGGTCATAAGATGTATGCAGAATGTTGTATGGAACTTGTTGGAATCCTCCTTGAAGGGAATTAACTCAATTGGGAGATGCATCCCTTTTGCCCTTCCTCCTTCCCACTGCCTGGAAAGTAGACATGGTGCCTGGAGCTCCAGCAACCATGCTGGACCTTAGAGGCTTGAACCGTGTGCTGCAGAGCAGAAAGAGAAGGCACCTCTCCACTGAGCCATCATACTAAAGATTTCTTTTATGAAAGAGAATAAATCCTTATATATTTAAGTCACAGGATTTTGGCTTTTCCATGATATGCAGTTGAAATAATCCCATTAGACCCATTCATCATATGGAATTACAGGAAGACAGAATTGTTCAGGAACTAGCCAGGGAAGGTAAAAATTGCAAACCTCTCAGTTGGCTGATCTAGGTAAGTATAGCCCAGAGCTGGCCCTGACTGACAAGAGAGGGTTGGAGGTGAGGTCACAGTGGTGGGGCTGGGAAGGAAGAGAAAGGAATGACTGTATACTTTCCTGTTTCAGGAAAGTATCTCACATTGGAAAATGCTCTACACAAAAAATGAAATCAACTGGAAGCTGCTCTCCACAGTGTAAGAGGCTTCCTGCCACCTGCTAGGAGGGCTTGGGTTGGCCAGGATTTATCAGGTTTTTCATATCCAATGACGCAGTCTCAGGAAAAATACCTCTGAAGGTAGTGAGAAAAAAAATGAGCCCGCTATGAATGGAGGGGAAAAAATGAACATCTCCTTGAAGGGGCAGTTGTTGGGGAATAGCTTGCTGTGAATGTGTTAACCCCTCCCTGCCCACCCTTCATGATGATACTCACGATGTCCCTGCCAGCTCCACATTTCACACTCAGCTCTGAACCTTGCAGGGTCTTCCAGGCAGTGGATGTGGGAAGATCCACAGCTAAAACCTGTAGGAGTGATGGCACCACGTGACTGCCCCAAATTTGGGCCGAAGAAGGGACGGCCCGAAGGAGCTTTACCAAAAAACCAAATTCAGATGCAAATTTTTCCACGAGTTATAATAACTTTAGCTTTACAAATGACCGTAGGTATAACCAATGGGAAGAATAATCGGGGCTCTCTGGGAGGTTGGAAATTCCTTCTTGAGGGAAAGAGTTGACCAGGTGGACTGGTTTCAATCACCCTTCCATCTCCCATCTATGCTTGGGAGTCTCTGAAGATGCAGTCTTAGCGTATGAAGCCAATGAAAGAATGAGTGGGTGAGGCTGGGAAATGACATAGGATGCAGTTATGGGTGGCACTGTGCCCCTCAAAGAGTTATGTTGAAGTCCTGACCCCCAGTTCCTCAGAATATGATCTTATTTGGAAATGAGGTCATTGCTGATGTAACTAGTTAGGATGAGGTAATCCTGGAGTAGAGTGGACTCTTAATCTAGTTTGAATGGTGTTCTTATAAGAAAGAAGAGGCAAATGCTACGTGAAGGCACAGAAACACACAGGGAGAGACAGTCCTGTGATGGCAGAGACAGATTGGAGGGATACACTACAAATCCAGGAGCACCAAGGATTTCCAGAAGCCACCAGAAGCGGAGAGAGAAGCATGGAGCAAATTCTCCCTCAGAAACTCCAGAAGGAACAACCTTGCCAGCTCCTTCATCTCCGACATCTCACCTCCAGAACTGTTTACTACAAAAAAAAACCACTTCTGTGGCTTAAGCTGCCCAGCTTGTGGTAATTTGTGATGGCAGCCCTGGGAAACTAATCTAGATGCTGTGGATGAACTAAAGTTGGGGCATTTGGCATTCTTGAACTGAGCAGACTTGGTCCTGGAGAGAAACATGAGTCCTGGATGAGGACTCAGGATGGCTGCCATGTTCCTATATGATTGTGCTTGCTCCTATATGATCATGTTTGCTCCCATATGATCATGCTTGTTCCTATGAGACTGTGCATGCTCCTATATGATCATGCTTGCTCCTGTATGATCGTGCTTGCTCCTATAAGACTGCATGCTCCCATGTGATCATGCTTGCTCCCATATGATTGTGCTTGCTCCTATATGATCGCTCTTGTTCCTATGAGACTGTGCATGCTCCCATGTGATCATGCTTGCTCCCATATGATCGCGCTTGTTCCTATATGATCGTGCTTGCTCCTATATGATCTTGCTTGCTCCTATGTGATCATGCTTGCTCCTTTATGATGTTTGCTCCTATGTGATCGTGCTTGCTCCTATATGATCGTGCTTGCTCCTATATGATCGTGCTTGCTCCTATGAGACTGTGCATGCTCCCATATGATCATGCTTACTCCTATATGATCGTGCTTGCTCCTATAAGACTGCATGCTCCCATGTGATCATGCTTGCTCCCATATGATCGTGCTTGCTCCCATATGATCGCGCTTGTTCCTATATGATCATGCTTGCTCCTATATGGTCGTGCTTGCTCCTATATGACTGTGCTGCTCCCCTATGATCGTGCTTGCTCCTATGTGATCATGCTTGCTCCTTTATGATGTTTGCTCCTATGTGATTGTGCTTGCTCCTATATGATCGTGCTTGCTCCTATATGATCATGCTGCTCTCATATGATCATGCTTGCTGCTGTGATCGTGCTTGCTCCTATATGATGATGCTTGCTCCTATATGATCATATATGTTCCTATATGATCATGTATGTTCCTATATGATCATGCTTATTCCTATATGATTGTGCTTGCTCCTATATCATGCTTATTCCTATATCACATATGTTCCTATGTGATCATGCATGTTCCTATATGATCATGCTAGTTTCTATATGATCGTGCTTCTCTGATACAGTTAATCAGTTCAGGGGCCACAATTGATTGAAGCTGGATCAATCAGTCATTTGCCTAGAAATTTTGGAATTGGATGAGAAAGAGTCCATCTGGAAAAACTTGAGAACTGTTTTCAGCAGCCATTTTGCCAGGAGAACTAGGAAGGAGGAAACGCTGATCTGCAGTAGAGAGAGGAATGATGCTCTTGGGTATTGATTAAAGTAAAAAAAAAATTGGCAGGTCCAAGGAACAGAACCAAATGTGGTATACTGCAGGAGCCAATCAACCACGGCCAGTCAGAGGAGGACACAGTGGGGCAGGGGATGCTGTGGCTTCCTGCATACAGTGGTGACAGGGACACACTGACAGTTCCTAGGCCACAATGCCTTGGTGCTGAATTTTATCACCACCCTGGGACATTCTTGCACTTATGTCTGCATGTAAACTAAATACCTTGGCATCTCGTATCACATGAAACTTCAAATACTCCTTCAGCTTGTCCTTGTTGTCTTGGTTGAACAGGAAGTCCTGTTGTTCAGCAGGTAGGGCATGGAGGGCTTGGTCGGTGGGCCAGAAGAGAGTGACTGGGGTGTGGATGGGATCGGTGATGACACTCAGCAAACCTGAGTCCTGAAACACAGGGATTCAGCCCCTTGCTGGCTTGAGCAAGGCCCAGACATGTGGGCAGGGGTTCTGTCTCTGAGGATTCTCCTCCATGCTCAAGCCCGTGGCTTACTGGGACTCTGGATGGTTCAAGGGTGATGCAGCTAGAGAAACTAGAAGCCCATCACACCCCAACCATTCTGACCTACAATTTTTTTTCTTATTTTTGAGACAGGGTCTCACTCTGTTGCCCCGGCTGGAGTGCAGTAGCACAGTCACAGCTCAATGCAGCTTCAACCTCGTGGGTTCAAGTGATCCTCCCACCTCAACCTCCTGAGTAGCTGGGACTACTGGCATGCACCACCACACTCTGCACATTTTGGTATTTTTGTAGAGATGGGGTTTCGCCATGTTGCCCAGGCTGGTCTCAAACTCCTGGGCTCAAGCAATCCTCCTGCCTTGGCCTCCCAAAGTACTAGGATTACAGGCATGAGCCAACTGTGCCCATCCTGACCTGTATTTTCTTGGACAGCAAATCAGAAAGTCAAATTCTGGAGTCCCCAGTGACTGCTCAGGGTTGAGTATCAGGGAAGAGGGAGCCTCAGAAAGATGCTTGGCCTGCTCCTCCCTATTCTCCTCTGCAATCTTTTGTTCATACTGGAAGTTTCTACTCAATTCATGGGAACAATCTCTGGAGTCAGTAAGATATGTCTTTTTTGTTTTTGAGATGGAGTCTCACTCTGTCACCCCGGCTGGAGTGCAGTGGTGCGATCTCAGCTTACTGCAACCTCTGCTTCCTGGGTTCAAGTGATTCTCCTGCCTCACCCTCCTAAGTAGCTGGAACTACAGGTGAATGCCATCATGCCCAGCTAATTTTTGTATTTTTAGTAGAGACAGAGTTTCACCATGTTAGCCAGGCTGGTATCAAACTCCTGACCTCAAGTGATCCACCTGCTTTGGCCTCCCAAAGTGCTGAAATTACAGGTGTGAGCCACTGTGCCTGCCAGAAAGATACGGTTTTAATTTCTACCTGCCTCACAGGCATAGAGTTCCCAACTCTCCCATGCAAATTCCCCATCTTTATAATGGAGTTGATAATTCCAGATGTGAAGCACCTAGTACACTACTGCCACATTCCAATTTCTTTCCCTCTCCCCAGCCTCAAATCCTCAATTTCTAACTCAGCCAATGTACATTATATAGCTCAACAAGCCATATAACATTCTAAGAAGGGAGTGGCAGAGAATGACTTTGCTCTCCAGAAAACTGAGACTTCCCCATGCAGATCCCACAACAGCTGGCCAATGTCAAAACAAAACAGAAACAACAACAAAACAAACAAAACAAAACTTCTTTAGGCAGGTTATCCTCTGAGTCAACTTCCCCTAAATTTTTACCTGTATTAAGTTGCTAAATTTGATGTAGCCATTGTTTGTTGCCAAAGTCGTAAGATTTTGCTGCAAAGATAATAAGAATGGGCATGAAACTTTTCCTTATACAGTTTAAGAGGAATTTAACAAGAGCTCAAGTGAAAAAAAGTAAAGGTAACATAACCTGACGGATACATAGATGGGCTCATCAGCACCTGCTCCAACTCTCTTCTGACCACGCTTTTCTGCATTCTAGAGACTAGTAGGCTAAGCGCTACTTTTTCCCAGACTCCCTTGCAGCTAGAACCCCAATGTGATATATAAGGTCCTCCAAGCAGAAGCACTTGTGCAAAGCTTCTTGGTGGAAAGAAATAATATGAGGTGGCAGCAGCTGCTAGAAGGGAGATCAACCCCTCTGGCAAGCACAATGGGGACATCTATAGCCCAGTGTCTAGTGTCCAAGGTGGTGAGGCTGGAGACAGGTGGCAGTCACAGAGCTGTGACAGCCAGGACAGCCAGAACAGCCTGGTGTTGGTGGTAAGGTTATCAGGTTAGGTGTTCACCCTTCGTGTGTGTGTTTAATTAAAAAAAACTTTTTTAGACAGGATCTCACTCTGGTTGCCCAGACTAGAGTGCAGTAGCATGATCTCAGGTCACTGCCCTCAGCTCACTGCAAGCATCTGATCCTGGGATGAGGTGATTCTCCCACCTCAGCCTCCCAAGTAGCTGGGATTATAGGCATGCACCATCACACCTGGCTAGTTTTTTGTATTTTTAGTAGAAACAGGGTTTCACTATGTTGCCCAGGCTGGTCTTGAACTCCTGGACTCAAGCAATCTGTTCATCTTGGCCTCCCGGATTGCTGGGATTACAGGTTTGAGCCACTGCACCTAGCCAGGTGTCTACCCTTTGTAGACCTCCTTGGGCTGCTCTGCTCCCAGCTGTGTAGCATCCGAATTAGGCTCTACCCTTCCAGAGATTTGATGATGTATCTACTATCTCAAGAAACTTTTTTTTGTCTAAGTGTAGTGGATTCTGTGTTCTGCTGTGGAAGACCTTGACCTATATTAATAAATAAAAATAAAAGTTAAAATTACATTTTCTGTCAATTTAGAAGGAATTTTACTCCAGAATTAATTTTATCTATCTTCTCCATTTTCTAAACCTATGTAAGACTACCTGTCCTTGTGGATGCTATAGAAAAACATATAAAACCCACTTATCAATTTAAGATAGTCTTTTACTTATTTATTTCTTACTAAGAATAATGTTTACTAGGCTTTTAATAATAGCTTGAGATTGAAGCAGAAAAAGAAAATGTTTCAAAATGATGACTTCGAATCAGAATAGAGATGATAATGTATTGAGTCACTCCAGGCTGAAAACATAACAGAGAGTTTACCTACCAGAATTCTTCCAGAGTTGTCTTTGGGAGTGATAAGCAAATTTTTGGGAGATAGCAATTTGTCTATGATATGAACAATCCCATTAGTACTGATGATATCACTGGATATGATCTTAGCCTTATTGTTTATATACACCGTGCTCTGAAATCAACCAAAAACAAAAAAGAAATGAGTGCAAAGTGAAATAGACACAAAATTGCTTCTCACAGAATGCTTTACCAATGTGTCAAATTATCAGGAGCAAAAACTGAATATCCAAGTTAATACTTGAGTGTATTTTTATTATGATTATAAAGTGAAAACAGAGATAAAAATGTAACTTTCACCTGGAGAAGTTAATTATAACATAGAATCATCTAAAACAGTAATTTCAATATGATTCTCCAATGTGAAATAAGCAAGCAGCTCAAAATTGGCTTCTCTTTTATATTTGTTCTATACCTCCTCCCCTGGCTTTTTTCCTTCTGCAAGGAATTCTACAGTCACCATTTTTTTCTCTGTAGTAGGGAGGGACTGGACCAGTCTGGTCAAGTGGCTTGGATCAAAAGCTTTCAAACCTTCCCAGCTTCTGACTAATGCTACCAAAAGCAGTTCTATTTACTACTTGGAGAGGCCTGCCCTTGAGTTTTAATCCTGGCTTTAATATTTGCTCTTTGTGTGACCTTGGACAAGTTACTTAACCTTTCTGAGCTCAGTTTTCTTATTCGGAAATTAAGGATTAACACTGTCTATATCAAGGGAGTATTTTGCAGATTAAATGAGTTAGTACACATCAAATACTAAGTGCCTGCATACAGAAATCACTTAACGTATGTTATTATTATTTCTTATATTACTTTAAGGAAAAAAAGAGAAAGAGGACCTAAGGATAAGGCACTTACTTTGTTTAAAAAAAAAGCAAACAACTTTTATGTTCAGGGGAACATATGCAGGTTTGCTACACAGGTAAACTTGTGTCATGGGGGTTTGTTGTAGAGATTATTTCATCACCCAGGTATTAAGCCTAGTACCTATTAGTTATTTTTCATGATCCTCTCCCTCCTCCCACTCTCCACCCTCCACTAGGCCCCAGTGTGTATTGTTCCCCTCTATGTGTCCGTGAATTCTCATTATTTAGCTCCCACTTGTAAGTGAGGACATGCAGCATTGGGTTTTCTGTTCCTGCATTAGTTTGCTGAGGATGATGGCCTCCAGCTCCATCCAGGTTCCTGCAAAGGACATGATCTAGGGGAGAGAGGACCTAAGGATAACTGGCATCTACCTGAGAGACGGAGATGACTATTGGCTCTCCTTGGAGGGAAGTAGCATTTGAGATCAATTTCAGGTTTTCCAGAAGCAGCTGGTGGCAGGCGACCACATGGTACCGAAGAACCTGGGGCATTAAACCGTATTTGTCCCAGTCTTTAACCTGTAACAGAAGATCAGAGGGTTTCAGCCAGAGGCAGGAGTCTTTTGCTGCAATGTGCCATTTGGCTCTCCTGTCCTCCATTCTCTCTTCCACACCTCTCGGCCCACCCAGACTCTGGGAAGTAAGCTTTGTGGTCAGGATTATAGAGTGGAGGCTGTTCAGACAAAAGGGAGGAAGTGACTCTAGCTCCTTTCTTGCCTCCATTGTGGAATATCAGTGTGGAAGGAACATGGGGTTCCTCTGGCCTGGATTTCACAATACATGTTGCAAAGATCCCAAGTTCTGTGAGATGATCCTCAAAAAAGAATTTTCTTGTGAAACATGCTGGGAAACACTGCATAGTATATAGCCCTCTTGGAGAGGTATCAGTGCCAGATTTAAACCTTTAGTAGTGGGAAGATCATGACGTATCTCCATTTGGAATTCAAAATACAAACAAGGCTGGGTGCAGTGGCTCATGCCTGTAATCCCAGCACTCTGGGAGGCCGAGGCGGGTGGATCACTTGAGGCCAGGAGTTCGAGACCAGCCTGGCCCACATGGTAAAACACCATCTCTACTAAAAATACTACTCCGGAGGCTGAGGCATGAGAATCACTTGAACCCAGGAGGTAGAGGCTGCAGTGAGCCGAGATCATGGCACTGCACTCCAGCCTGGGTGACAGAGCAAGACCCTGTCTCAAAAACAAACAATCAAACAATATTAACATAAAGTAAATAATCAAAAGCCCACAAAATTCTCATTGTTTCATAACTCCTTTAATGGCTTTTTATTTTGAATTATAAAGTGTCAAGTTCTTTCAAAAACTATTTTTGTGCCTCTGCTTTGCTGGTGTCCAAAATACAGGCATGGAGAGGCTGGGTGTACAGTGGTTAAGTACACGGGCCCAGGTTTGGGTCTTTGCTCCACCCCCTGCTAGTCATGTGATCTTGGGAAAGCTACTTCCCTCAGTATTCACAGCTGTAAAATGAGGATCACAGCAGAACTCACAGGGTTGTTGTGAGGACCAAATGAGTCATTCTAAGCCGGGTACTCAGAACAGTGTTGGACACTCACAGTAAATGTTACCCATCATTATTATGAATGGGCAATCCAGTATGAAGAGCCCCCGTGAATATTAGAACAGTAAAGGCTCTGATAAATCCTGCAAGAAAAGAATCTATTTAAATCTCTTTAACCCAGCATCTCTCCCTCCACTCCCCTGTTTTTTGTCTATAGGAGGTCTAAATCACTTGAGAATTGTTAATCTTCTCCAACCTCATACTTTGTTCAGGAATGTCCTTTAGAAAGTCTCTGGCCAGTGGTTACCCCAAATCCACCTGAATGTTTCCCCTGACAGGGGTCCCTGTGCCAAGAGGCAGCCCCTTCTATTGCTGGTGAGTTCCACCTGATCTCAGAGCTCCTGCTTAGAAACATCTCCAGTCTTGGTTCCAGGGCGAGGCCCAAGGACTATGTTCCAGCCGCAGACCTCCCCCTTCTGCCCACAGTCTCATGCTCACCCGAGCTTCCTCATCAAAGGCTGCAGATAAAGGTGCAAAAACAGTGAAGGGGCCTGGGCCGACCAGATCTTTCACGAAATGCTCCTGTGGGAAGAAAGGTGAGGCTCACACATCACTCACTTAACATCAATACATGCCGGGGCTCAAACTAATACCAGAGATGATGGCACCTGGGTGAAGCAAAGACTGGATGAGGAGACCTCTGTTTCAGTCTTGGATTCAAATGAAACCCAGATTCTCCGTCGTTGAAATTGTGTGTGGTTTTCTTCTCATTATAAAATTAACACGTTTATTGTATTAAAGATTTTGAAAATACAGCACAAAGAAAAAAATAATAGCTGCCTCCCTAGTCCCACCACCTAGAAGCAGCTCTTACTATTTTCAGGTATTTTTTTCCAATGTCTCTTGCACATATCAGTATTTTATATCATTAGGATAATAATACAAACATAAAACGTGAGTTGATATACTTAACTGTTATAATTGTCTTCTTGCAATTCTAAGATCATATGGTTACTATGAGCATATTTTCTTCTAGTTTTTAATGATTTTATTAAAATCTTATTTCTTACATTTTTATGATTTTATTTTAGTTTTTTATATTTTATTCTTATATCTGAATCTCATTCAGATGTATGATGTGCAGAAAGATCAAACTTAATTTTTACCCCAAGTGTTAACTAGCTGTCCCAGTCACACCTTTTTCTCTACCAGTGTGATGGGAGTCTTTTCATGTACTACATTCTTATGTAGAAAATTCTAGAAATCCAGGGTCCCAGACTTTCTTCTACCCTCACCAACTCTAGAGGCCACCAGTTTATCCTGTATTTGGCTTGAGGCTGAACTCTTTATTTATTTTTGAGACAGTGTCTCACTCTGTCACCTAGGCTGGAGTGCAGTGGCATGATCTCAGCTCACTGCAACCTCTGCCTCACAGGTTCAAGCAATTCTCACGCCTCAGTTTCCAAGTAGCTGGGACTACAGGCCTGCGCCACCATGCCCAGCTAATCTTTTTTGTATTTTTAAAAGAGACGGGGTTTTGCCATGTTCCCCAGACTGGTCTCGAACTCCTGAGCTCAGGCAATCTGCCCGCCTTGGCCTCCCAAAGTGTTGGAATTACAGGTGTGAGCCACTGCACCTGGCCTAGGCTGAACTCTTATGGCTAGACAGACATGTATATTTCCTACCTGCAACTGGAAGAAATACTGGGAAGTTTTCGGGTTCTTGGGAAGCTCCTGCAAACAAAGAGTAGTTTCACTTAATGCCTGTGAAATATATATTAGAACAATACAGGGTTGTCATGGGATGATTTCTCTGCCATCCCTTCAGCTGGAAATCTGTAACACCGGGCCTTTTTGGAGCTTCATCTGTAGGCTGACAATTAACGTTCAGAATGACTATGTGGACATAGTGTGAATTCTATAACCTTTCTGGAATCGCCATCTGATTTATGAAAGAAAGGTTCAGCCATTTCCAGAAGTATCTGAACTTTAAGAGCATTTTCTGACTTTCAAATATTTAAAAAAAATCAGTTATAGGTTTATGGCAGATTTGGTTACTCTAGTAACAATATTTGATCAGCCGGAACATTTTTGTCCCTCTTTAAATAACTGAACATTTACTTTATAATAGAAAGCTGCAAATATCACCTTGCCTCAACCACTATGCTCAGTACACACACACATGCACACACACGTGCATACACACATGCACATATGCACCTGCATGCACACACAAGCACACACACGTACACACATGCACACACACGTGTACACACATTAACACGTGCACGCACACATGCACACGCACACATGCACACACTGCAATCCACGCCATGGTAATGTGGTTGAGCTATTGAGCACTCTGTGTCCTTTGCACATATTACCTTATTTTAACAACCTGATGCAGTTTGTACCACCATTATTTTCTTTTACAGATTGGAAAATTGATATACAGAGAGGTGACATAATATGCTCAAAGTCACATTACCAACCAGGAGAACTGAATTCAAACCCAAGTGTTTCTGACTCCAGAGCTGTCGGTCCACCTTAATCCCTACATTACACTCTTCCTCAGGTCAAATGAATTCCCAGAGGAAGACAAAATTTCTTTTCATTGCTGATTTATGTAAAATTGCCTTTCATATTTTTATAGCGCTTTACATTTCACCAAGCTCTTAAATACTCCTTAGCTACCTGGATTCTTGGCATTTTTAGGGAAGTAGAGTTTACTTGATGGAAACATGTCTCGCGTTACCTGATAAATGCTGCCGCGGCAGGTAAATCCATCTCCAATGTAGTTTGGCTTGCAAGTACAAGTCCTTTCTACTTGCCCAGTGTGGTTGCAGATGGCAAATTCACTACAGCCGCCATTTTTCTGGTAAAATTGCCAAGGGGCAAGGGATGGGGATTAGACCAGTTAGTTTGCCAGCTCTACCGATATTTACAAAGCAATTCTGCGTTTGAATTCATTTTTTGTCTCACTCTCTTTGATTCATTTGTATTGTTTATCCTTTTCCTGAGCTTGCCTTCCAATTCCCTATGCTCATAGGGGCATCTTATTCACCTGGCCTTGTATCCTAAGATGACAGGTCCCTTTGAGCAGATCTCCAGCCCTGTACAGGTAAGCCCAGAGTTGCCAAATTGGAAATTTCTCAGCATCCAGGTATTAACTAGGAAGACCCCACCTGTTTGATACTTCCCAGCTTTAAGCTAAACTCTGATCATAGGAAAAGGTAACCATTATCAGAGAGAAGGCAGGTGGTACAAAATAGAACACATTGTCCCAGCCCTCAAAGAGCTTATAAGTTGTGGAAGATGGGCAGAGACCTAAAATACAAACAAAGCAAAGCACGGTTCAAAGCTAACATCCATGGGAACGCTCACTGCAGGGACACTCACCCCATGTTCCTCTACACACGCATCACCTGACCCCATAGGCCCCTTCCTCACAAACCCTTCCCCGTGCTTTCTCAAAGTCATTGCCATTAGCAACTTTCTGACATTCTCACCTTAGTAAGCTCCCTTCACCTCTTCCTGCAGAGGTCTTTGTCTCCTGCAAACATTGCCCTTCCTATGCCCCTCAAGTGAAGCTGTTTTCCTCCACTACCTCCACACTGGTGAGGGATTGAAGTGGCAATGTCCTGGCTGTGCTGGGAGAGTGTCTTTCTTACTGTACATTGTCACTTCCAAACACCCTCATCCTTTAAACACATAGTATCCATAATCCTTTACCAATTTTTACTCTTTGGTCCTAATGGTGTTGCCTGGATCACCGCCTTTCCCTTCATTCTTGATGTTGCCGTCCGTGGCAGTGTCAATACCCTTGTCAACGGCCTCTACCACCCCTGTCCCCATCCCCTGGCTTTGCAGTCAACATTAAAGTGCACTGACTGCTCCTGAGAGCTCCATTTCAAGCATCCCTCTCTCTCTGGCCACCAACTTTTATCATTTCAACTTATCTCTTCTAATACTGCAGTCTCCAACCTCCTTTGGTCCACAGGAACCTCCCCTCCTTTGAGCTTACTTCTTTCTCCCCAGCATTCCTGCCCACCCACTCAGTCCCCTCGAACCCCAGCCAGCTGGCAAGGTGGAACACTGTGACCCTCCCTGGCTCTTCTCTCCCTCCATCACTATGGCTTGGCAAATCCCTAGCCCTCCTGGGCCCCACTCTAACTTCTCTGGGTCTGCCGGGCTGGCGGTGCATTGCCTGAGAAAGTCACGATACATGCTATCTGGACTCCCTTCAAAGGTATGTACACAGATGCTTGCACTTTTGCAGTACATTTAATTTCCCTCTCTCTAGAGATGATGTTACGGTTTGCCTGTGTTCCCACCCAAATCTCATTTTGAATTATAACTCCCACAATTCTCATGTGTCATGGAGGAACCTGGTAGGAAGTGATTGAATTGTGGGGCAGGTCTTTCCTGTGCTCTTCTTGTAATAGTGAATGAATCTCAGGAGATCTGATGGTTTTAAAAATGGGAGTTTCCCTGCACAAGCTCCCTTCTCTTATCTGCCACCATGTGAGACATGCTTGTCACCTTCCACCATGATTATGAGACCTCCCCAGCCATGGGGAACTGTAAGCCCAATAAACCTTTCTTTTGTAAGTTGCCCAGTCTGGAGTATGTCTTTATCAGCAGCGTGAAAATTGACTAATACAGATGACATTCCACTCCTCACCTTTCTCAACTCTCAATTACTGTCCTCTCATCTTAGTTGATGAGCCCCACTTGTGCCTCATGGAGAAAAGAGACACAGGTAACAAGAACCACCTCATCTCCCCATCCTGAGCTTCACCACTTGTTTGGGTCTGAACTCACGGACTGTGCTTTCCTTATTTAACAAGTGTACTAACAACTAACTAACTAATGGACTGACTCATTAATGGACTCACTAGTTCATCACTGACTAATATACTGACCGACACTACGTCTGCTTCTATCTGAGGGTGATGTCTCCACCTGGGGTCTGGGTCCCACTCCCTCTCACCCCCTCCTGTAACAACAACCTGCTCTCCTTCAGGAGTGGTTTCCTCCCCTCTATCAGATCATACTCCCCAGCACAAAAACATGCCTTCATATTACTCATCTTGAAAAAAGCCAAACTCCTTTTTTTTTCCTTTAAGAGAACGTACTAGGTATAGATGAACAAAGACTGACCATGAGTTGACTCTTTCACCTGAGTGTCAGGTACAGATGGGTTCATGTATTAGTTGCTCTAGTTTCATGTAGGTTTAAAATTTTCCAGGGTAAAGTGTTAGGAACATTACTTACTTTAGTCCACATCCTTCTCCATTAACTACCCATTTATTTGCCCAGGAAGATCCTTGCAAATGTCTATGTTTCTACTTTCCTTACTTCCAATTTTCTTCTCAACTTACTTCCAGGCTCTTGGTGCCACTTTTACACAAGCCTCCACCTTGATCTTGTCTTCAAGAATTGAGACCTTGAGAAGGCAGTGGTCAGTTCTCTTCTCTCAACATAGGTGACATCTCAACATCCTTTGCCTGTACAATCACTCCTCTTGAAACATTTTCTTCTCTTGGTCTCTGTTGACACTATACTTGATAAGTGGTTTTCCTTCCACATTGTGGGCTTTTTTACTGAGGCTTCTCCGTAAGTACTTCTTCCTCTGCTCAATGGCTTAATATCCAGGGCCCCTCCACCTGCCCCGTCTTTGCCTCTACCTTTCATCTTGTGCTTCAGTCAGTCCCCTGTGTTTAAATACCATCTGTGTGCCAATGACCGCTATGTTTGTACCTCTGTCATGATCTCTCCTTCAGGCTTACATTTCACTGGAAATCTTCACTTGAATGGCTACCAAGCAACTCAAACTCAACAAAAAGACAGACCTGTTGATATTTCACTCAACATTTCCTCCTAAGCCATCCTTATCTTCATGAGTAGAACCAACATGTCTCAACAAAAAATCTAGATAGTGTCCTTGATTCCTTTTCCTTGTATTTCCCATATCCAGTCTATCAGCAGGTCTTATTGGTTATCTCCAAAATACATCCCCTGTCCAGTGATTTATCTCCCTCTCTCTCCAAGCTGGTCTCAAACTCCTGAGCTCAAGTGAACTTCCTGCCTCAGTGCCCCAAAGTGCTGGGATTATAGGCATGAGCCACTATGTCCACCTGGCCCAAGCGACTTCTTATTACACCCACTGCTATAGCTCTAGTCATACCACCCTGGTCTTTCTTGGTCAGCATCATTAGTCTTTTACATGGTCTTCTTGCTTCTGCTTTAGAACCCCTATCCTGCATAGTCATCACAGCAGCCAGAATGAGATTTGAGAGCCAAGCCAGACATTGACATTGACCTACATGATCATCCAGTGGCTTCCTAGTCACAACTGGAAAAAAATATAAGCTCCACAGCATAGCCTACATGGGGTAAGGTGATCTGGCCCCTCTCACCACCTCCCTTTTATTCCCTTTACTGCATTCACACTGGCTCTCTCTTCAGTTCCCAGAACATGCCAAGCTCTTCCTCTTCCCAGGACCCCTGGCTTGCTCTTCCTTTTGCTTATACATTTTCCCCAAGATTTTCATGTGGCTGCCCGCTTCTTAACATTCAGGAATGAGTCACCTCGGCAGAGAGGCCTTGTCTGATCACTACGACCCTTCCCCTCTCACCCAGTCTCTGTTCCATCAACATGTTTGCCTCCTGCTCTAGTCTAAATGTTTGTGTCCCCCACCTAACCCTCACTATGGTATTAGGAGGTGGGGCCTTTAGAAGGTCATTAGGTTCATGAGGGCAAAGCCTTTATAAATGGGATTAGTGCCCTTATAAAAGAGAGATCCTTTTGTGGTTCATTAGCTTGATATTGGGTTTTCACACTATTCTATGAGATGTGCCTCCCTCAAAACTTGTTACAACATTGACACATTACCCTTCTGATGTGAAAAGAGAAGAAAACAGAGACCCAAGGGAACTCAGTTGTCCCTTCTACCAATGAGCAAGAAGGCACCGTCTGTGAACCAGGAAGCAGACCTGCAGCAGACACAGAACTAGCCAGTGCCTTGATCTTGGACTGCCCAGCCTCCAGAATGTGAGAAATAAATTTCTGTTGCTTATAAGCTACCCAGTCTCAGGTATCCTCTGTGCTGTTAAAGCAGCACAAATGAACTAAAACAGTTTGGACTGGGGACTAACTCAGGAAAGGCAATGTTTCACAGTCCTTGTTGGTAGGACTTGAGCAGAAATAATTGTTCTTGGGCCAGATTTAGCACCAGGACTATTTTGTTTCTTTAGCCCAGTATTTAAAAGAGCTTTTTGGAATGAATTACCATCATTTACAAATTAGTAAAATTTACATACAAATTCATAAATTTTCATATCTTTTAAAATGTCAGGAGTACCGTCAACACTGGGCTGACATAGCTTAGAGCACCAGTCAGTTGGAGTAGATATTTCCCCATTAGAGCAGCAATATGATTTGGGTCTTCCTGTTGATATTATTCCCTGCCTGGCCCCTGATGGCCTATAATTTTACAATCTTGCAATAGAGTTAATTCCCATGGGAATATGCTGCTGAGATAGAGTAGCAAAAGACCTTCAGAATCTCCCAGGTCAGCTGTATCAGGAGTCATTTGTCCAAGACAAGGTGGCCATTTTTTTTTACAAAACATGAATGGCCCATGGAAGAATTGCTGTGAAAATTAAGCTGGCCATAGTTCTAGTGGTAATAGCTTCACATCTCAGCCCCCATCTTTTCCGTAGCTTCTTCTTTATTATCCTTACATAACTGTTTCATGTAGAGGACATTGATCTCTTGAGGAGCTTGCCAGACAAACACAAGGAGATAATGGGAGCCTCAATTGAAGAAGAAGGGCTTTAATTACAGGGCGTCTGCACTGTTCTCATGTCAACAGCTGGAGGCTCTCAGGTGGGAAGTAATATAAACAGGAAAGCAAGGTGTTGGGATTGGGCCTTGTAGGAAGAATAAGCACCCCAAGAAGTGGTCAAGGGTGCAGGTCTTGAGTAGGACAGAGATAGGCTCAAGTGCTGGCCATGCCACATACTAGCTCTGTGGCCTTGGGCAAGGGCCTTCACTCCTCACAGCCTAGTGGGTTGAACTGTCCTAAGGACTGGATGCAACTGTGGATGCAACTTATTTAGAAAAAGAGTCTTTACAGATGTAATTAAGGATCTCCAGATAACATCATCCTAGATTAACCACTTAATGCCACAAATGTCCTTGCAAGAGGAGAAGACACAGATACAGAAGTGAAGGCCATGTGAAGATGGAGGCAAGATTGGAGTGATGCGGCCGCAGGCCAGGAATGCCTGGAGTCACCAGAAGCTGGAAGAGGAAAGGAAGGATTTTCCCACAGAGCCTTCAGAGGGAGCACATCCTTGCAGGCACCTTAATTTTGGATTTGGTCCTCTAGAACTGTGAGAAAATACATTTCTATTGTTTTCACCCACCCAGTTTGTGGCAGTTTGTTATAGCAGTCCTAGGAAAGAGGCACAGCTAGAGTCTCTTTGTCTGTAAAATGGGGTTAATAACAGTTCTTACCTCATATGGCTGTTAGAGAAATTAAACGAAAGAATGATTGGGCACCCCTAAGCACAGTGGCTGACCCCTGGCAAGCAGTGGATATGAATGTGACATTGATGCAGGACTTCAGAGGCCTAGCTGACCACACAAACTGCTCCGGATGTGACAGGCTGGGTCAGCAGGCTTATCTCATCCCTTTGCAGGTACCAGGCCTGGGACAATTAGGCTCTGAGCAGCAGTAGGCGACTAGCCCAGTTTGAGACTCAGTGATTAATGACTGAGTAAACTCCTCGTTTGCATAACATGGGTCCAGCCTGCAGTCAAGGGTTATAAGAAAATCAGAAGATCCTGCTCCTGCCAGGATCGACATGCAAACGGAGACAAGAAGTGTGTCAACAATATCCTACAGACTGGAGGAAGAAAGTCAAAGCCCAGATGTTAGTGGTAAAAGGAATTCCAGGGACACTTATAACCATCCAAGGAAACTGAGGTCCCAAGAAGCAAACCAACCGAAAACCCTAGAGTCATGTGGATCAGGGCTGGGAGGAATCTAAATGGCTGTCTGGGTTGATAACCCATCTGTTGCTTCATTCCTATAGTTAAATACCTTGAGTTATAATAAGCTCATTACTTCTCAAAACTCTCTATGTCTGGACAGTTCTAATGAAATAAGTGAGTTAAGTTGAAAGAAATCTGTTTTCTTCTAATGTCCATCCGCTGGTCCTAGTCCTACTGCTTGGACTTACACAGAACAAGAACAACCCTTCTGTTTTGTGGCAATCCTTGAAATGTTGGTGGCAGCCTCCACCCTACATCCCAATTCCTCTTTAGAGAGAGAGAACTGGGAGAACTAATGATGTGTGCATGGACATAGGAGACACAGTGCTTCTATCCCCATATGAACCCCTGCTCAATGCAGAGCATCTAGAACTGGATCTTCTGTTCTAAGGTAGAGTTATCATGTAGAATGGGGGTGGTAGGGGCCATGGAGGGTAGTTGTGGGGTGAGAGTAGAATCATCTTCCTTAGCCTGTCCTCTAGGCCTCTGTGATGACAGAACAAGCTTTTGGAATGCTACACTATATTGTTGACTCATAGTGCGCTCGCTGTGGATTCCTACGTGTAAGTCTAGGAGAATAAGGAGTGGAAAGTTGCTGTGAGGTTTACCTAAGATGGCTTCCTAGAGGAGGTGAGAGACATGCTTGGTGGAAAGGGATCTTTTTCATAAGAGTTGGCAATATGGATAGGGGATAAGCAAGTGGATAGACTTAGCTCAATATGGTGCAGCCAAAGGGGCAGGCTGGGGGTAGCAGACTGTGCCTTCTCTCTTTTCTCCCCAACATTACAATGGAGTGTGCCAGAGAAACAAGCCTCATGGTCAACACACAGCTCTGAGGCCTCCAGAGGAAGAGTTCCTCAACTCTGCATCCCCGAGAAGTGGGGTGGGAGGCACCCTGGGCTCTGAGGCTTGAAGGATATCCACCCTAGAGCCATACTCACAGTTAAGCAGACATTGATGAGTGTGCAGACCTTTCCATCTCCAGTGTATGCTGGCAAACAGTTACAGGCAGCCTGTCCAGGAGTAGAAGCACATGGGGTCATTTTGCAGGTGGGTTCTGTACTGGCCGCATGGTCTGGCTCTCAGACCTGAACTCCATCATGGTCATGGTAATGTTAGGAGAGTCTCTATTTGACGTTGGTAATATCTATTTTATAATGATAATTGTCACCCTATGTTTAATATTTTAGCACTTGACACACTTCACTTGAGCACTGGGATCTCATGCACATCCTATCTTTGTTGCTAAGATACCGTTTTTTTTCTTTTTAATGTTCTCACTCCATTTGGTCCCTTGCCTTCAGGTATTCACCTCTTTTCTTTGATTGGTAAAGGTCAGTTGAGAAGAAGCCCAACTATATCCCACTCTCATTCATACTCATATCTTGCTCATCTGCGCCCATGCTGAGCTGAAAGGCACCAGTGCTAGGAGATGCTAAGGAGAGACCTTTATAGCCCACTGAGGTGTGCACATGGAAACAATCTATCAAACCCATTGGTTGGCCCAGGAAGTTGGGTGGAAGCTTCAAGTTGAGGGAGGGGACACTGTCTGAAGAAGCTGGGGACAAGGTCCCATGTCCCATGTCTGCGCAGGAGCACCCGGCCAC
The DNA here is from genome assembly GCF_000001405.40 of Homo sapiens. Lineage (NCBI taxonomy): Eukaryota > Metazoa > Chordata > Mammalia > Primates > Hominidae > Homo > Homo sapiens. The sequence continues at coordinate 103,717,175 of NC_000012.12, read as the reverse complement.
TGGGCTGAAGCCCAGCTCACACTCTATTCACTGATGTCCCCAAAGGAAGAGACACCTGCTCCCACTGTGCCCTCCCAGGAGGCAGCTTTTCTAACTCACACAAGGGCCTCCTATGTAGCAGCAAGGGCCCTGGGTTGACGTCTGCTTCTTAGAACTTTAAGTCATCATTGGTGCCAGCTAGGGCTACACGGGCAGGTTTTCCCGTTTCTCTTCCTCTTTCTTCACAATGGGCCCCAATATCAGTGCAAACCTTTCCCAAGACATCACCAGCTGTCCCTCCTCAGCTAACGTCTTGTTCTCAAAGTTCAACTCCACATCCTCCTTTACTGCCCCCTAGGACTGGATGGGCACCCTTGGAGGTCCCAAGCACCAAAAAGTTTATAGATTATCTCCTACCTCATATGTAGTTTGAAATAAAAACTACCAAACCTCAAAAGATGTCTAAGAAAGCTCAGCATTGACTGTTCCGAATTCCCCCATGACTAAATGTGTCCACACACATGTGCATGTGTGCTCACACAGTTCTTTCAAGACAATTTTTTTTCCTTATTTTTGCGTACTTTAGGTACTTGCTTGATCTGCCCATTGAGAGACCTGGCACTGAGGTCTCCAGATGGCTCAACTAGGTCAATAGAGCATTCACTGGTGACTTCACTTTGTCATCCAATTTTGGATATATGTGATTTCCTGTCTGGCCATTTTGCTTGTTCACCATGTGGCAGAAACTGAGGAAGGCCGAACTTGGGTCTCCAGGCCTCCAGCTTCCCTGCCTGTATCTTTCCACCCTGTGACCCCCATTCTCTGATGCGGTTGCTCTCATGTTTTCCCCACCTCCCCCAGCCTGCTCTCCAGACAGATGCTGCAAGCTCATGGTACTCAGGGCCATGTGACTGGTAGAGTGCCCACAGTATTATCTTCCACCATGGCACATGTGCTTCAGAGCCTTAAGCCAAAGATAAAGTGTGGGATTCTGGGCATCAGAATGCTGAAAGAAAGTGGAGTATTTTAGGGGACTGTCTAGATGCTTCTGGAATCACATGGTATTTGCAGATACCTACTTCTCCGCACTCTAGGGAAGCCCCTTGTCCTAGTACCCTTGGTTTTCCCCCATTTCACCTCATTCCCAAAGAAGGGCCTCTTGATTCTTTCAGAATTTCCCCTAAAGTATTTATTTTCAGCTGCAGCTCTTTAGAGGTCCGTTCTCAGCCTCTTTCTCTCAGGCCTGTGTCTAAAGACCTAGGAGTTCCCTTTTAGGAAACCTAAGGGCCTGGGAGAGGTGGCACTCACCTGGTTGGGTCCTGTCTGTGTGCACTCCGCATTCTTGTCACAGCCACCATGGTTCTCCAAACACGGGTTGATTTCTTTAAAACAAAAAGCCAACATCTGGCCTGGAAATCCAGTCTGGTTTCCAAGTGAAGCCAGCTTGAGGGATGAGCTAAGATGGCTAACTGACTGAAGGGAGCGGGTGTCAAAGCATGATTCAGTTTTCTGGAAGTTCTGAGACAGAAATAACTGAACTAGGAGGGTACTGTATATGGTTTCTTAAGATTGACTATTCTGGGATAGGCCAGTTCCAGCAGAGGGATTGTCTACTGGCTTAAATCAGTCCGTGGAATAAATTTGAGCATTTGTAGCAAAGTACTTGAAACCATAGAATCTTGGAGTCTAATCTAAGACTGCTATGAATGAAGAGACTTAGGAATTAAAAACAATCATTTGCAACCATCACAATATAGATTGGTTCAGGGAAGAATCATCAAAAGATGCTAAACTAAGGAGCATATTTTGAGGGGGAACAACATATCTGCTTGGTGTTAAAGTGTGTCTCCTCTGACTGCTTATCAGTAGTAAAGTAGAAAAAAAAAATAACTGTATAATGGAAACATCACAGCACCTTCACTGAGTGGTCAAAATTAACATCACACACAGAGGGCAGAAGGAGAGCTCAAGGTTCCCTGAGACAGATGCAATATCACTTGTGTGACATTTGGGCCTTGAATGTATAACCTGAATCTAAGAATGAAAAACATCAGGCAAACCCCAAATAAAGGACATGCTACTAAAAAAAAGTTGGCGAGGTGGAGGATATTATTCCCATGTGTTAATGTCATAAGACACAAAGCAAAGCTGAGGAACTCTCCCAGATTAAAGGGGACTCAAGATACATGACAATGAAACACAATATCCAGCCCTAGACTTGATCCCTCACTGGAGGAAAAATTGTCAAAAAGGACATTATTGAACAACTGACAAAATTAGAATATGAATGGTAATTAGACAAAAGTATTACATCAATAATAAATTTACTGAAGTTGATAACTGTGCTGTGGTTACGTAAGAGGCTATCCTTATTCTTAGGAAATATACACTCAAGTATTTAGGAACAAAGGGAATACAATATACACAGATTACTCTCAAATGGCTTAAAAATGTATATATACAAAGAGAGCAAATGATAAACAGGGCTAAATGGTTTTTTTTTTTTTTTGGAAATGGAGTCTCACTCCATCGCCCAGGCTGGAGTGCAGTGGCACAATCTCAGCTCACTGCAACTTCTGCCTGCTGGGTACAAGCAATTCTCCTGCCTCAGCCTCCCAAGTAGCTGTGTGTGCCACCACACCCGGCTAATTTTGTATTTTTAGTAGAGATGTGGTTTCACCATGTTGGCCAGGCTTGTCTCGAACTCCTGACCTTATGATCTGCCTGCCTTGGTCTCCCAAAGTGCTGGGATTAGAGGTGTGAGCCACTGCGCCCAGCCAGGGCTAAATGTTAATAGGTGAATGTGGGTAAAGAACAAGTGGGTCTTTTTTGTGCTATTTGTATAACTCTTCTATGTCAATTTTTTTCTAACTAAACAGTTAAATTCAGACAACTTACTATGGCATACCTTTATAGTAGAACAGTGTGTGGATATTTAAATAATGTTAGAGGTATACTTGTTTTCAGGGAGAGTTACTTTGATATATTGCTAAGCATAGTAAATGCTGTATATCCTGAGATACCATTTTTGTTAAAAAAAAATACATGTAGGCATAGCAAAATGGGGTAATGACAATAATAAGAGCACTATCTTCAGAGTATTTTCTCCAGTACATGTGCTTTCTTTTTCTACAGTGAGCATGTGCTACTTGTATAAAAAGGAACTAATAAAAGTTTAAATGTTCTGTCATCGCCATGATGTTTAATTGGAAAATGTATCTCCTTTTACCCTTCCGAAGTAATTTTTGGACATGACATGCCTTCATACCCTGTGGTCACTTTTCCATGCCCTTATACTTTCCTGCCCTGGCAAATGGAATACTGACCTCAGTTTTGTGTCCTGATAATCAGGGCACACACGTTGGAATCATTTAATAGGGCTATGACTCTTATACCATTTCGCCGATGGAAGAGGGAAGGACACCTACCCAGGCACACAATGCCATCACCCGTGTAGCCTGCTTTGCACGTGCACACTCGCCTTCCTGGGGTGGTTCTCTTACAGTCAGCCTTGGCAGAGCAACCTCCATTGCTGATCTCACAGGCATTGATTGCTATAGAAGATGACACAGAGCAGAAGGGGAGAGGGAAGGGCAAAAGCCATTGATGTATTTTTCCTCAAGTCATTGAGAAATGGAACATACTGCAAAACTACTTGAGCAGGCACTGGATTAAATATGGCCAATTCCCAAAAACAGAGAGCAAGTAAAACATCTGTGATTTGCCCTTTCTAGCTGCTTTTATTAGCATTCTGTACACATCCTACTGCAGGACACACCTGGGGATGAAGGTGAGTCTACTTGGCCCTCTGGGAGAATCCCCAGGGTAAGATGGTCTAGAAAGCAGATTGGCATGATCATTGTCCAGTGCTGCCACAATCTGGACCAAAGCCTGCCAGGACACAGTGCTCAAGAGAAAAATGACCTTAAGATTTTCCATTTTTTCTAGCACCAGACACCATAAGAATATTAGCTTGCATTTATTGAATTCTATGTGCTGGGTCTGTTCTAAGCACTTCACAGGTATTAATTCAGGTTATTGTCCAACTCAGTGAGGGAGGTCTTCTTATTATCCCCAAGTTGCAGATAAAAATAATAATGCAAAGAGCAGTCAAGAAACTTTCCCAAGGTAATGTAAGTAATAAGTATTTAGGTTCAAACCTGGGGAGTCTAAGTTGACCTGAGTTTTCAACAGCTGCATTATTCTGCCATTGAACACAGAGAGCTCACTTAACCTCAAAACCACTCTGCAAGGGAGGTAGTTTTAAGTTTACTTTACAAATGAGCTATCCAAGGCCACCTGGGTAGTTGGAGGAAGAACCAGGGCTCAAATTCTTTTTTAGTCTGCTCCAGACCCTCGATGCTCCAGCCATACCCTAGGCCAATCAAATCAGTGAGTTAAATTCTTTTTTAATGGACACATAATTGGACATATTTCTAGGGTATATAGTAATGCTGTCATAATGTATAGATGAGGGTAATTAGCATATCCATCATCTGAAACATCGATCATTATGTGGGTTCTCAACACAAATCACTGTTTTTTAAAGCTTCCCAGGTGATCCCAATTGTGGTCAAGGCTGTGAACAGTTGGTTTCCTGTCCCCAGGCACAATCAACTGCCCCATTACATACAATTCACCATCAGTGGTTGGCACCAGCTGCTGAGGCCCATTCAGACTGCAGGAACAAGAACCTCTCAATAGCCTGTGCAAGCCTTGCCAGCCCCCCCAGCAAATTCCTTCCTTCGCTTGCCTGTGCAGATGGTCCCGTTTCCTTGGAATCCTGCTGCACACTTGCATGAAGCTGTACCATCTGAGTTGGTGAGGCAGCTGCAACAAGGAAGGACAAATGGGGTTTGTAGAAAAATACTCCACCTCCCACCACATGACTCACAAATGCCCTTCACCCTCAGTATCCTGGCCCCTGCCCCCATGAGACACTCATAAGTCCTGCCTAAGGCTTGGGAGAAGAGTCTAATTCTGGCATAACCCCACCACAAGCAGCTAAAACTGTACTCATTTATCAGGCAAACTACAGCGTGCATAGATATAGGTGTCAGTTCAGGAATAAGATGGGTAGCTGCCAAGCTTTAGAGAGCCACTGATGTGCTAGGAGCCATGTTTCATGTATTATTTTGTGTCATCTACTCACTATCCAATAGCCCTGGCAAGTCGGATTATTCCCATTTACAAATGAAGAATCTGAGGCTTTGGAGGGATTCAACGTTGGACTCAAGATCATGTGGTAGTGCAAATAACAGAGGCTGACTTTGAATTCATGTCTAACTCCACTACTAGGTACTTAATTCATTAAGCCTCTCTGGGAGTTAGCATTATGAAGCCAAGTTATGACTTGCTGTGAGTCAGGAACAAGGTTTATGGAAACTGAGGCCCACTGGGTTTCCTCAGTCTCCATGAGTCCTGGTAGCTTGGACTGGGGTAACAGTGGGCATTTTCGTCAATGTGCCAGGTAAGTCAGATGGCAGCTTGTTAGAAAGCCTGGATCTGGCTATTTGATAGTGGCCTCTTCAGAGATATTTTTAGTTTCATACTCAAGTTTATCCTAAGCCCTCAGAAATGGTGTCAGGAAACAAATCCCCTGAGGATAGAGACTAGGGTAGACAATATTGGGAAAAAATCCCCTTTACACTGTCCCCAGAGGTGGCCCAGGGCTACCTACTTGGCGCTGGTATGGCATGTCCCATTGCAGTTGTCTTCTGTGGTTGCTGAAAAAGAGAACCAGTTGCTGTCTTAGCCCTCTTACTAAATCTCACCTGAGGATTTTTAGTATTTTGTGCTCAGAAAAGCTACTTCTTTGGAAGTGATATGTATCATGTGAGCGATATAAAACTATGAGGTCATGTCAATCCTTTTTTATACTGGCTGCCATGAAGCTCAAAGCCAAATCTGAAGGTCAAATACATTGATGGTGTCTTCTGTTTGCCAGGCCCTGTGCTAGGCAGTGAGGATGCAAGAGTGAATAAAACACAGAATTCTCCCTGGAATGTGACCATGTGCTCTTATGGTCTGGGTGTTGATGTGTACCCCTCTTCTGGGTTTTGATTTTCTACTTTTATTTGTATTTCCTATGCTATTCTTTCTAGTTTATTCCTAACTTTATTCCCGGTTTTCATCATTTTATTATGGAGTGCTGTAAACAAGCAAAACTATAATTATAAAAGATTTTTTTGCATGTGCAGAAAATCAGGGCTTTGCACACAGCAGGTACACAATATTTGTTGAATTAATATGTAAATTTCCTGGACACAGCATAGGTTATTGCTCTTGGATGCCTACCTATTTCTTGACAGGACAAGATCCAGAAGTAAATCATTAGAGATGAGGGAAGAATACTCTTGGATAGGATGCTCATGTTAAGAGCTTTTGGGATAGAAATCTTACCAATCCTGGCTGAGTCATACAGGAGGTCCTGAAACAGAGGCCTGCAAAAGTGGTCTGTTTTGTGTCGGAGGGAATTTAGACTCAAATGGGCTGGAATGGAGGCAATTTTGTGCCTGTATCTTATTCCTTGAGCCTAAACAATCCCTTTCTCTCTATTCTCTACCTATTGGCATTTCAATCATGTTTTATGTCCTTTTCTCTGGAACCTGCTCTAAACCTTTGAGCCAACTTCAATTAATTGGTAGCAGCTTAATGGTGTGCTACTTTGAGAAGGGTTGGGTGCCCCTGGCTGGTCACAGAGGGAGGGAGTGTCATGATTGATTAGTGATGTCTGCTGTGGACTTAGGAGCGAGGAGTTTGCACACAAAGGAGTTGTCTTCTTTGTTATAGTCTACAGGCTCTTTGCTTTGTACTCCATACCACAATTTTTCCTTTTACTAAACATTTATTTCCTTTTCTAGACTGGAAACTTCCTGTGTAGAATGTGCACTGGAGACAGGGATGGGAGATAAGTCTGGAAAACTGGGTGAGTGTTCATTGGTGAAGAGTCTTTGTGCTCCACCCTGCTAAGGAGTTAGGACTTTCTTCTGTAGGCAATGAAGAACCACAGCAATTTGTCAAGTTCTGGGGAGGAGCTGGGGTGAAAAACACGATCTATGTTTTGGTAAGTTCTATCTGGCAGTAGTGGGGAGTACGGAGTGGAGGAAGATAGGACAGGAAACAAAGAGACCACAAGGCTACTGGTGAGAGGGGAGCAGGAGGAAGAGATGGATTGAGAGATGTGGAGACATGGAATATGTTAGGTATGTTAGTGAGGGACAAGGAGGTATGGAAGCTGAGTAGGGAGGTTCCTAGATTGGGTGACCAGGTGCATGGGTGGTGGGGTCTTTCTTCAGAGTAGAGAAAGCAAGAAGAGGAGAGAGCCTATTGTATTTATTCTGGGGATTCACCGAAAATGTCCTACTGTTTATGTGACCCCATTGCTTCCTGCTTCCCTCTCCCAGGCTCTCAGAAGCCTGGCTCTGTACCCTGACATTTGACATCTGCTCTGGGATATTTCTTTGGCTTGGGACCATTCAGACTTCCCAATTCAGCTTTTCAACTAACCTTCCTCCCTGACCCCTTGTTGCTGACCATTAAAAGGCAACTGCATTCCCTTGATTTTTGCATTGCCTGGAGCTTTGGGCAAAGACGCCCCCTCTGTCAATGCCACATCCATGGAGCCCCCACTAGGCTAGCAATCACTTGTGATCTCCTCCCCAGCTCCCAACCCGGAAGAGGGGGAGTCTCTGATACCTGCTTCCAGGGGTATTCTCTTCAATCCAAAGTCTGAATGATTTTTCTTAAGTGCCAAATACGATCATATTGCTCCCTTGTTGAAAACTCTTTAATGGCTTCCTGTTGCCTTTAGTGAGAAGTCCAACCTCCTTAGCGTTTCACGGCCCGGCGCCTGCCCACTGCTCCTGCCTTTTCTCATCAACCCTCCTCTTTGCCCTTAAAGTCCTCTCATTCTGCAATCCTTTGATTCCCTAAATGTGTTGAGCTTTCCCATGTCGTTGTGGTATTCCAGGTGCTTCTTTCTGCCTGAAATTCCCTTCTCTTTGACCGCCCTCACCTGAAGCACATTAAGAAAAATCAATGTGATGTGGTCGGATTGAAGGAAATGGGCCTCTCAGACACTATTGGCAGGAGAATAAATTGCTATTTCCTCCGGAGGACAACCTGGCAATAAGTAGCAAGACCTTTCCCCCAGAGTGCCATCCCCTGACTCAGAAATCTCATCTCTAGGAATTTGACTAAATGAATATGGTTATTGTAGCAGTGTTTGAGAGAGCAGAAAATTGGTTCAAAAAAGTGTAGCATGGTCATACTGTAACATTTTGTGGAGATTACAAATTAATATTTTTCTATTTTAATCACAGGGAAAGATATCTATATATATATTGTGAAGTGGAAAAGTAGGTTACTAGACAATATGTAAAGTGTGATTCCCTACACATTTGCTTATATACCTAGAAAAAGGTTGGTAGCCTAATATAAAATATCAGTAATAGTTCTTTCCTGCCTTGAGGTTATGAGTGATTTTATTTTCTTCTTTCTGCTTTTCTTTATTTTACAAACTTTTTGCTGCAAGAAAGAATCATGTTTATTGCCAGAAGAAGTAAAAAAAGGTGTCATTTATATTTTAGAAAGAAAAATGTAGCTGCTGAGAAGCAAAGCTTAGAGCAGATTATAAATACTGGAGGCCTCACTCTTACCATTGTCACAATGCACTCCTCGCCAGCCAACATCACAGTCACAGGAGCCATCTCCCAAGGGTCCTTGGTTGCATCTCCCATGGACACAAGAACATGCTAAGTGGGAAAATCACCTGCAAATCGTCAGATTCTAACCCATGTTCAATAACTCATTTGTCATTTACTAGGTTTGCTTTATTGCACTTAATTCTCCAACCTACTTCTAGGAATCATAGTCTTTAACAGGGGTCTTGAATCACAAAAAGGGCAGGGGTGCAGGAGACAGAATCTAGCAAGTTCACAGGTGAACTAGCTCTAGCTTCAATGAAGTGGCTCAGACTGCAGTTTTGAGACAGTGTAGCACTGAAGATCTGTGACCCAAGCAGTGTGAGAGTGTCCTCAGTCAAGGTTACCTGAGGATCCAGGGTTATGCAGGGCTCCTTTGATTGGAACCACGTTTGCCCCTTAAGAATGGACTTCAGGAAGAAGCCCATTTGACACTGGGTTTGTATAAGCCTGGTGTGGCACTGCTTCCTCAATTACACAGATGAGTCTCTGAGAACTTGATGAAAGCTACAGATGCCTTCCCCAGAAAAATGTATTCAGCTTTAGCGGTTTGCTGAATCCCATCAGGGTCATCTACAAATCCCATTTTAGGAACTCATGCACAAATGCAAGCAGATAATTACTCCAAATAACATGGGAAAAAATCAACACTGTAATTCCAAGTAAATATTATATGGCCCAATTATAATGATTCAATTGTACATTAATTTTGTCTGGCTTAGACCAGCTGAGGAGAAAACAGTGATAGCCAAGTGAACTGTATGGTTTTTAGTACTAGGTAGAATAATGCTTTGTTAGGAAACCCAAACTCTGGAGTCAACACTCTCACAGCTGTGTGTTCCTGGACACAAGGAAATCTGGATGTGAGAATACAGATGACTTGGCTCAAACAGATCATTGTTTTTGCAAAAACTACTTAAAGCATGTGTCTTGCTGCTGGTGAAACAATAGAGCAACCCTCAGGTAAAGAACAGCATGATCTAAAAGCAAGCTTTGGAGTCAAGAAAGGTGTACATTCAGTTCTCAGTTCTGCCTCTCATCAGGTGTAGCCTTGGGGGAAGTCATTCAACCTCTTTGCCTTACTACCCTCATCTGTAAAATGGGCATAGCAATACTCATGTACCTAAGGTTCCTGTGTGGATTAAATGAATAACATGTGCAAATCTGTTTTTCAAACTATCAAGCAATGTCCACAATGGAAAGTTTAGCCGTGATGATTAGTGTGCATAGGCAAATATAAAAACGCATTTGGGCTGGGAATGTCAATGAGCAAATTGGAAGTGAGTTGGTAGGTTCAAGTTAGAGACTGAAAATGTTTGGGAACACTGCAAATGCAAATGACAACACAGATGCTCTTATAATTCACAGTGATAGTAGCAGGTGGGATTCCAGCCCACTTGGGGCGACAGGCCAGCTAGAGAGCACGTGTGGGATCACTCTTTCCCTGCATATTCCTGGTTGGTTTCAGCAGCCCAAGATCCTCTGTGGAGAGGACGGTGCTCACCTTGGTCACAGTGGATGCCGTACTTGCCCTCGGTGCAGGTCTCGCAGGCTGTGCCGCTGAAGCCCTCCCCACACTCACACACACCTGTGCCATTCACTCCATCCAAACAGATGCCATTACCAAAGCAGACATTCTGGGCATTCCCTGGGCAGGGCTGGCATTGGGGGCCAAAGAAGCCGGCACAGCATTCTCTCGTCTGAAACAGAAGGACAAAGCTTGACAACGCACTTCTATCCTCTGGTGTTGTCCAGCCTCGGTGTAGAAATCCTGCTGTGGGTGACTTCTTGTGCACCTGTTTCTTCGACCTCACATGGAGTGGGTGAGGGGTGGGGGCAGGACCCTCTGGGGACTGGGTGAGGCTTGGCAATTTCTAGGGGTGCTAGGAACAGGACCAAGGGCTCCACTAAGGAGGTAGGAAAGAGGGAAAGGAAAAAGGCATGTCAGAGAAGAGGATGAAGAAAAATGAGAAAGGAGGAGGGGCAGCAGAAGAAACTAAAGAATAATGCCTGTGATGCTGGAGAGTGGGAGGACCAAGGGGCCGTCTCCAACCCAGATCTGGGCCCCTTCACATCGATGTTATTTCGTCTACTACTGAAGGTGAGGAGGCCTCTGCAGGTGAGGCTTTTGGCATTTTACAAACCAATCTTTTGCAGTTCAGGGAAGCCCCGTAGGGTGTCTGCTTGGGTTTGCCTTGCCTTTATTCTTGAGTGCATTAAAACACAAAATCTCCCCCACCCCTATGCTCTGCAGCCTAAGGGCCAGATCACCCCACCTCTGCCCAGCTAGGCAGAGGTTATGTCTAGTCATCTGGGAAAGGAGCAGCACAGGAAGTTCTCATGACTTTTCCTGCAAATTCCAAAGGCACCACTAGAGGTAGTTAGCCTTGGGGTCCTGTTTTCTAAATGACCAAGTGCACCTTATCTTCACAATGTGAGTGGACACTTTCTCTCTTTTGCTTACAAGCATGCTCACAGAGCTACCCTGTTGTGAGAACAGGGTGGTCCCATTAGCCTCTCGGACTCTCAGTTTTTTTCATCATGAAACTGAATTGAATTGCAGCTTTTACCCATTTTCTGGATTACAGAGCTGTTCTGAGCTTTACTGCTACCACTACTACATTGGATGACAATGATAATGCAGGTAACAAGGAAGAGGAGATGGCAGAAAGCATACCTGCACAGGGATTTTGAAAAGGATACCATATGATGGATTTTCCCAATGGTGCTGCAGTAGTTAGTATGATTCAATTATTGTACTCACAATGACGGTTCTCACACATTTTGGCTGGCACCCAATAAACAGGGTTCGTCTTCCCATGAAATAGGAGGTATAGATGCATCTCCTCTTCTCATTACCCTGTGAAATATTAATGACTACGTCAGCTCCTAAGTTAGGAAAAAGTTTTCCAGTCTCCGAAAGCAAGTAGGTGGGTGATGCATTGCTGTCTCTCTGACTAAAGTGTTGTGGGAAGAGAAGGTGGTGGCTTGTTGGCACTGCTTCTTAAGCAAGAAAACATGAAAACACAATGTTGGTTGCCGGAATGCCAGGTGGCAAAATCCAATAATTATACTTTAAAGTAGTACTCCATGAAAAGAACATTTCTTTAGAATATCAACTTAAGTTTGCAAGAATTGTAGAGTAAACCAGGTAAAAATGTCCTTCCAGCACCGTACATTGACTCAACTGAACTTTGGTTTCTATTGATTTATAGTCTGCTTTGGTCCAGGAAAGGATTAAGGCTGCATACAAAGATTATAATATACAAGATTAAATTAAACCTCAAATGAGAACATCTGTATGGTTGTTATAGATTAAAATTTATCATAAATTAAAAATTATCATATATTTAGTAAAAACTATTATGCTGTTGAAGGTACATGAGTATTCTTTGTAATGTAATCAGAAGTATCTTTTACAATAAATAGCAACAAGAAACATGGATTGTCTACCTCCCCCGTACCTGCCATCTGTTTCTTTGAGAAAGTTAGTTGCAACTTCAACTATAAAAGGAAATCAGGCAGGTGGAATATATCCAGGCTGGATATGGTTTTGGATATGGAATCTCTCTTCTCTGACAAGATTTCTTGCTGCGGTCCTCAACTGGCTACTAGGATATGAAAGACGTAGAGCATAAAAAATTTCTGTCCTGTCTGTTGATTCATATGAACCCATTTATGTTTATTAAATTTTGCCTTGGTCCAAAAAAATAGATGTAAGATTTTACAAAGATGCATATAATATAACGAGGTAAAGTGTAATTCAAATTAAGTGAAGGAATGAGGGAAGTGCAAATCACATAATCTTGAGGTTCATTTTCTAATTGGGACTCCTCGGATCTGGAAACTATTTTATCAAAACAGACAAAGTACTTACTAGAGATTTAGTTCCGAATGGGCAGGTCAGCTCTGAGGAGCATGTCCTACATCTTCCCTTGGTAAAACACAAAAGCAATCAATGTAATTAACTTTAATACAAAATGAAGCTGCATGTCCAGAACTTGGAAATGAAGGTTTTTGAATTAAAAATCAAGGCAGATTATCTGGGCAGCCTCTTTAATGTTCTGAGACAAACACTTCAACTCCTCTGGGTCTTGCACATTTGCATCACTTTTCTCCAAAACACTCTTCTGACTCTGCTAACTCTTTAAAGTGTGACCTTATCTCATTTAAGTCCAAATTCTTTAACAATAACTTTTATTTATTAAAAACCAACTATTAAGTGAATTGGGCCAGATTCAGAAACTCACAAGTTACTGTACCCAGTGCCCAGCTTCGGAGCACATTGCTAAGATGAGGGGTTCAGCATGGAGATGCCCCAGAGATAATACATGCTATTACAAAACAAAGAGTAAAAGTTCACAATGACAGAAACCCTCAAGCTCAACCTGTCCCTAAAACAGGAGGTGGTCAATGTGTCTAGTTCTGAACCTTAAGCCTACCAGACAGGATAATGTGGTTGTTCAGGGTTCCAGTTCTGGGCCAGGCTGCCTACATTTAAACCCCTTCTCTGCCACTTGGTAGTGTATGAACCTGCATGTATTAGTTAACCTCTCTGGCTCACTTTTCCCATCTGTAAAATGGGGATAGTAATAGTACCTACTTGGTAGAGTATTGTGAGGATTACACAGGTTAGTGCATGTAAAATGTTTAGAGCAGTGCCCGGCATATAACGAGTGTCCGATAAACGTCAGTGGTTATAATTATTGTTGAAAGGTCCTACATAGCCCCATGAATTGGCATGAAAAGCCTCCATTATCATATTCCATAATACACTGAAATCATTCATTTCCTTATTTTCTCTACTGGTAGAGCAGGCTTGGCCCATAACTGCCATAGGGGCACCATGGTTCCTACCCTGTGCCTGTCCTAGATATGGCACATTTTCCCTTTGAAGAAAGCCATGGTCCAAAATCCTGCCCAACACAGCACACCACTCCCCCCCACCATCCCCACACACCTGGCAGCCTTTCCCAGGCACACAAGGTACAACCTCTTGCACTAGATCACAAGCCCACTGAGGGCAGGGGTCATGTCTTATGTATCTTTGTAGAACCACAGCCTGGTATGCTCCTTGGCACATCAAAGATACTCATTCAGTGGTTTATGGACTGAATTGATACACCTTAATAGAAAAGCCTTATGCCCCCAAAATTATATAAAAAAAAGCCAATATTCATTAGTTCCATCACTGGCTCTGGCCCATAGAACTTACTCGTATAATAGTAGTGTCATTATTATCACATCTGTTCTTCTGAATTTCCAGAACTTTTCCCAAGCCATGGATCACTCCCTTATCAGTGGCTACATTGGTGTAGTTTATTGGAGCCTCATTTACATAGAGCTGTGAACAACAGGGTTAAATGTCACTTTTTATGACATTTAAAGAGATATGGAAAAGATAGGAAGTGGAGGTTAGCAATAGGACAATTGCCTAGGAGATATTACAATATTCACCTGGAGATATAATAGTCACTTGTATTGGAAAGAGCTCTGACTTAGGAGCGGAAGTCTGAATAACAGTCCTGGCGCCATCTAGCTGTGTGACCTTAGGCCAATTGCTTTCCTCTTCTGAACTTTAATTTTCTCTTTTGTAAAAGGAAGAAGTTGTTCTACATAATTTCTAGGTATCTTCCATGAAGCAAATTAATTGGCTTATGTTTGTTTGAAAAATACCACCCATGATCATTATGTTAGTGCCCACCGGCAAGACGGCTCCATGGACTTGCTCAGTTGTGCTGTAGACCAGTGGTTCTGGAGGTGGTAGTGCCTTCCATAACCAAGAATCGAAGAATGCAACTGTTCCTTTCAGTATGTCTCCGCTTCATGGTTAATGTGCAAACAACCCTCAGAAAGGCTAATGATGGTTATACAAGAATAAAAATAACTGATAGGCCGGGCGCGGTGGCTCACGCCTGTAATCCCAGCACTTTGGGAGGCCGAGGCGGGTGGATCATGAGGTCAGGAGATCGAGACCATCCTGGCTAACAAGGTGAAACCCCGTCTCTACTAAAAATACAAAAAAATTAGCCGGGCGCGGTGGCGGGCGCCTGTAGTCCCAGCTACTCGGGAGGCTGAGGCAGGAGAACGGCGTGAACCCGGGAAGCGGAGCTTGCAGTGAGCCGAGATCGCACCACTGCAGTCCGCAGTCCGGCCTGGGCGACAGAGCGAGACTCCGTCTCAAAAAAAAAAAAAAATAACTGATAATTTTTTAAAAAATGGTATATTTATATCTGTCCTTGTTTAGCGTGTCCATAAACAACCAAGGCATGGGTATGAAGTCTGTATCTAAATGCCGCCAAGTCAAATTCAACTTTGAGTTGCAATTTGTTTTGATTTTTTTTTTTTTTTTTAGGGAAGAACACTTTAATGAGTAATCAATGAAAAATAAATGAAGCCATGGATTCATTCATTAATATAACACATATATAACTGGAAGCAAATCATTCTTTGAAAAATTGGGGTGGGGTGTGTGTGTGTGTGTGTGTGTGTGTGTGTGTGTGTGTGTGTGTGTAGCAGGGCTGAAGTTGGGAGAGGGGAAAACTCAAGTTAGGATCCAACAATGGTTTAAAATTCTTAAATTCATATATTATCCCAGAAATCCATGTTACAGCAATATTAAAATGACCGTACTAAGTGCTTAATTCAAACTTCCACTGAATGTTAAAGTCCCTTATGATTTACTTGCAGTCAAATGAGCTTCCATTTGGATGTTGGGATAAGTCTGGCTGAACTCCACAGAGGTGTTCCAAGGTCTGTGTACATTTGGAAAATTAAGAGGAAACCTTAGTCTCAAATGGTGATTGTAATAAATTTCCAGAATTCTAAGATGTTGAGCTATTTTTAAATACTAAAAATAGAAGAACATTTGATATTGTAATACTGTTGATTTGGCATTTAAAAAAGTCTAAATTATTTCCATTCTGAGGTATATTCAGAGAATTATGGATCACATTGAAATTTTGACTTGACTGTGTCTACTCATTTAGAAAGCATTTCTCTTAGGAACACTTTTACACTGTTGGTGGGACTGTAAACTAGTTCAACCATTGTGGAAGTCAGTGTGGCGTTTCCTCAGGGATCTAGAACTAGAAATACCATTTGACCCAGCCATCCCATTACTGGGTATATACCCAAAGGACTATAAATCATGCTGCTCTAAAGACATATGCACACGTATGTTTATTGCAGCATTATTCACAATAGCAAAGACTTGGAACCAACCCAAATGTCCAACAATGATAGACTGGATTAAGAAAATGTGGCACATATACACCATGGAATACTATGCAGCCATAAAAAATGATGAGTTCATGTCCTTTGTAGGGACATGGATGAAATTGGAAATCATCATTGTCAGTAAACTATCGCAAGAACAAAAAACCAAACACCGCATATTTTCACTCATAGGTGGGAATTGAACAATGAGAACACATGGACACAGGAAGGGGAACATCACACTCTGGGGACTGTTGTGGGGTGGGGGCAGGGGGGAGGGGGGAGGGATAGCATTGGGAGATATACCTAATGCTAGATGACGAGTTAGTGGGTGCAGCGCACCAGCATGGCACATGTATACATATGTAACTAACCTGCACATTGTGCACATGTACCCTAAAACTTAAAGTATAATAATAATTAAAAAAAAGAAAGCATTTCTCTATACTTCCATTGTCATAAGAGAAAGTAAATTATCAATAAAAGCCTCTATTGTATGAATTCTTTCTCTAGATAAAAGAATTTCTGCACACATGGAAAAATGAACGCTGCAGCTCTAAAATTGATTCAGCTAACTGCATTGGGCATTAATCTCTACATGATGAAATAAAAGGTGACAAACACATACAGAAGCAAAAACGAAGCTCTGTCAATACCATAATTACCAATCCTGGAAAAATAAAAAGTATATTTAAAAGGGCCTCTTCCAAGTTATTACACAATAGGTAGACTTATCTGTAGGAGTCTGAGAAAAATATTTGAAGTTAGATTATTCTTTAATCAATCAAGAGTCAGAAAGACTTTTTTCCCCATAAGCAGATAAAAACCATTTTACATAAAAATTTACTTGTTATTCAGTAGTGACACCACTGAAGAAATTGTTTTTAAAATTATACTTTTTAGAAAGGTTCAAATATTGTCGCTTAAAAAGTTCTGTGATTAAACCTTCATTTCAATATAGTGTTTAGTGTCTCTTAAATAATTTGTTTTAATTTTTCTTGTGATAATTTACATTAAAATTATGAGTTTCTTATTGAATTTCAAACTGATCTTTTTACTTGATATTTGAAATATGTGAATAGAATTTTATAACTGAAATATATTAAATATTGAGCCTCATGAATTCTTTTCTATGAATTGTAAACACGTTTAAATATTTAGGTATCATGTGAGATGAACACTAGAATACCAGTGTGGTGGTCGGTTAGTCCTAGGACTGCAATCTATCTCTATGGTTATACAATGATAATAACATTAATACACTTGGCTGCTGGCTCCTGTGTATGTCATGGGGCTCTTATGCCCTGGAGCCCACACCACTTCCTGGGAATTAGGTTGATCTCCCAGGTTCCCTCCCATCCTAGGCACGGCTTGGGGGCCATCTGTTGGGTTTGTTGTACCAGCGCTGAAGGACGCCTATGACTGCAGAGATTCAATGCCACAATTTGTAAGGCTACACTGATCATCTGAAGGCTGGCAACTGGGCAGGAGAGTGGGAGCTTGACAGTCTGGTTTAGGCTTTACTTTATGGTGAAACACAGACAACCGTTTTGTGTTGGTAAGGCTTAGGAAGCACTGGTGAGATGATCCCAATATGGAAGTTGACATGGTTTGGCTGTGCCCACACCCAAATCTCATCCTGAATTCCCACGTGTTGTGGGAGGGACCTGGTAGGAGGTAATTTAATCATGGGGGCAGGTCTTTCTCATGCTGTTCTCGTGATAGTGAATAAGTCTCATGAGATCTGATGGTTTCATAAGGGGGAGTTTCCTGCACGAGCTGTCTTTTTGCCTGCTGCCATCCATGAAAGACGTGACTTGTGCCTCCTTGCCTTCCACTATGATTGTGAGGCCTCCCCAGCCACGGGGAACTGAGTCTGTTAAACCTCTTTTTCTTTCCAGTCTTGGCTATGTCTTTATCAGCAGTGTGAAAACTGACTAATACAGAAGTGATGAAGGATGACAGGAGCCAAGACACTCATTCCTCATACTCTCCCTGATGTAATTCTCGGTGGCATTGCTGGGGTTTTACATAAAAGGATCGTACCTGGTCATTATGGAGAAAGAAGCTAAGGAAATAGGAGAAACCCAGCATGGTCTCACGATGCATGCCATTGTGCAGGTCATTCTTCAGGAGTTTCTCCTCCAGGACCACATGATACCGGAGGACGTCCTCCTCCTGGATCACACACAGAATTGGAAGTCAGTCAAGAGATCAGCCTGACAGTTACCCAGCTTCTCCCATGTGCTGTCACTGTGGAGATTACAAAGAGGAACAACAGCTTGTCCAAGTGGAAGTTTTGACAGAGGTATTAAGACACAATATTCAATATGAAAGTGAGTTGTGAAACAGATGGCTTCAGAGAACTTACAAATTTTCCAGATAGCACAGTCAAGAACTCATTAGAGGATTCTAAAACCCAGACTGAAGATATGAGAGCTGGGGGTAGATTTTAAAGGTGATAATTCTTTGGGCAGAACTACTGAGAAGTTAGAGTCCCCACACCCCAGCCTGCCTTTCACCTCTGGGGCACGAGAGGAGCTTCACTAGGATGCTCCAAGGACCTTGATCTGTGTCTCGTGGAGATAGGGTGGCATGTTGGATGGGGTCTGACCAAGGCAGGGACTGCTGGTGAGCTGCCTCTTGGTGAAGTGAGGAGGGTTGTTGCTGCGTGGGACCGATTTGCACTTGCATAGTTGGCTTGGGACAAGAATGTGGGTGTTTGCTGTGGCTCAGACATGGGGAGTGTCTGAGAGAGCCTATGTCAGCCTGGATGGGCAGGCTCCCCGGGGCAGAGCTAGGGGTGGGCTCTGTGGTTTTAGGGTCCTTCCTGCCCTCTTCCACCCCTCTTAACCTTCTTACCCTCTTGATGTCTCTTCCCAACCACTAACCCTTCTTACCCCGCTACTTCAAACCTAGTGAAACCAAAATGGAATTTAGTGAGATCAGAAAGGGAAGAGAAACATCCTGTGGGGAAGGAGAGGAGAAGGTTCCTAAGTGATTGCCTGTCAGCTCCAAATCCACCTCCTACACTCTGCTTGATGATGCTGGGGCTGAGGCTGTTTCCCACATTTCTCCTTTGCAAGGGGCTCCCTATTAGGGTCTGCCAATGAGAAGCTCTAGACAGTCAGAGGGCTGGAGGGGAAAGAGGAACTCAGTCCTTCCTGTTCTCTCCCTGTTCCTATTGGCATCACCCAGCCTCACTTCTCTTCCCTGCAGTGGCACCTGAATCTGGTTGGCAGTTTCCCGTCACTCGCAGAGCCAGCTTAATCCTGCCCTCTCCGCTCATAAGACACCAGCCAGGCAATGCCTGCTCCTGGAGGTCTGGGTCTCAGACCCACAGAGACCCTCGCCACTCATCCAAGCTCAAAGACACCAGCACCAGCTGAATAGTGACCCCTTCTCAGAGGCTCTAGGTTTATACATTTTAGAAATTCCAACCTCCTCCCATTGTTCTCCTAGCTTTAGGGGTCATAAGTGAATCCTGTGATTGCTACCATTGTGATATTTCTTTCTCACTTTAACCTTTCATTTATACAGCTTTATATCCAATAAACAATTCATTCTATCAAATTCTCAGTTTATGTAATTGGTATGTTTTCCATCTCCTGTGGACCTTGATTCAAGGACCGAGATGTTTTCTGCACCAAGCTCTGCTGTGGAGCAGGGAGGGAGGAAGAACTAGTTTTAAATCCAATTCAAAGTGTTAATTATTGTAAGGAATTGGATTCTTTATTTTTACTTAGCTGAGACTGAGTTTGTGACTTAAAGTACATTTGTCTCCAAGGTGATTATAGGACTTTTTGGGAAGGCAGAGAGGCTATGGGACTGTCTGAAGTTTCATTCTGTGGCAGAAAAATAACATTTCTCACTGAAGAGGTTAAAGAAATGGGTTGGGTTAGAGGGCAGGGAAAAGACAAGGTAGAAGATTTCCAGTTCCATCCCAGGAGTGCAACATGCCTGTTACAGGAGTTTAGGACACTCTCCCTGCCTTCAGAGCTTATAATCTAGTTGGAGAGCTAAGACTTGCTTCTTTGAGAAGACAGTTCATCCTATTGGGGATACATAATAAATGCTGAAAGGGGGTACACATGGTGTGAATTCAGAGGCGGGAGAGAGCAGCTCACCTCAGGTGGCCAGGGCCAGCTTCCCTGAGGAGGTGGGACTGGACATGATGAGTGGATAGGGATAATTTAGGAGGTGGTGAGGAAGAAGAGCAGCCTTCCTTATTTCCTTATTAAATAAGAAAAATCCCTATTTGCTGAAAATTCAAACACCGTTTTCAGTTCAATCGTGTCATTTCACTTTTCCATCAAAACCTTCTCGTCCATAGCCACATACTTAATACAGCCTCACACAGAGACTCTCCCATATACAATCCTCCCCCATAGCAGAGCTGCTGTGTGTTTTATGCATACCCCTGGAATTACACACTTGAGCTCATAGGAACAAGCATGCAGGTGTCCCAGGAAGCTGGAAGAATCCTCATGATCACCCCTCCTCTCCTCCCCCCGTCCCTGGCCTTTCCTTGGTTCCAGTAGCTAAGATGTCAGCAGCAGGGACCTAGAGGGGTGGATTATCTCTTTCTTCCTCCTCTTCTCCCCTTCTCTATTTTCCCTGATTCCTAACATCTAGGGGTAAATAGTCAAAGTTTGTCAAAGGATTTTGTGAATTAATTCAAAAGCTTCAATCATGCCACGATCTGACTTAAAACTCTTTTGTGGATCCTGTTTCTTACAGGACTAAGTCCAAATGACCTCTCCAGGTATTTAAGACTACCATAAGCTGATCATAATTTATCCGATATTCAGTAGTGGCTCCAGAATTTTTATACGGGAAGGGCCCAGGGCCACCCCACCCCAACCCCACATGAGAAGACACATTTGAAGCTGGATTTGCACGGCAAGCACACTGTTTTCACTTCCATGTTTATATTGGGTGGCTGAGATGAGGATGTTAATAAGATGGGGGTGGCACTGAAAGCCCCGAGAAGCCACCCCTGAGCCCACTCTTTTCTCCCACCACTGCTCTGGAGAAACCATGTGGTTTCTCCATGTGGTTTCATCACTCGGGCTAGAACCAGAGTGATGGTTCTATAGATAGATCCTAAACAGGCCAAGCACCTGTGGGTTTGGGCTTCCTTTGTTCATATTTACATATACACACCAACACCACACCCTTAATGCACCACACCTGCATCCTTGTGTATACAGGCTCAAGTGTGCAATTCCAGGGGCATGTGAGTAGCATCCAGCAGCTCTGACCGAGGGGATGTTTGTGTATGAGAGAGTCTCTGCACCAGTCTACGTCAAGTATGTGGCTATGGACAAGGATGAAGGAGTGAAATGGCACACAACTAATGGATTACAAACACTGAGTGTTTGAATTTTCACAAAATAACTTCCCTAGTTATAGTTCTTGACACTTACTAGAGACAAGACTTTCTTCTCCCTGATGTAATTCTCGATGGCATTGTTGTTTGGAGCAAACACTGTGTAGGCATCGGCAGCCTCAATTGCATTCGCCAGATTATATTGCTGCGATGGAAAGAGACAAGAGTGCATGAGGGATTCCTGTTCCTGGGTAACCTGAGCATGGTGGTCAGGCAGAGAATGTGGTACTTGCAATGATGTAGCCCCGGAAGATGGAATAGTCAGGCATCTGTTCCAGCCGCATGAGCAGGTTTGGTAAGGAGCCAGTTAGACGTCTTTGTGGGACCAGCACCTGAAAAAAGAAACCCCAGAATCCTGTTAGCATGTTTTGGTAGGACCTACTGCTTTTCGATACATAGGAGAGTCTAATGCCATTAACCTCTTTAGACAGTTCAATGGATTGACATTGACAACCTTTTGAAGATTACTCACAGTATAAAAATATTCCAGGATACAGCATGACAAGGCTGGAGCAGAGTTGGAGATGTTAGTCATTCAATTTTATGCCTTACCGTTAAACCTCCTTGATTAGAGAAAAGTTCTTCTTGCACGAAAGACTTTCAGCTTCTCCTAAGTAATTAATTCCAGCTCGCATTAATCTACCTTGTCAGAGAAGACCTTAGACCAAATCGAGGTGAAACACAGCAGGTTGCAGCTAATATCTAATCCTTTCTTCTTGGTTGTTATTCGTGTGTTTATTCTTTAGGTTCTCCATTTATTTTCTCTGAAGTCTCAAATCTACTGCAACCCAGTGGCCTGAATCTGGCTTGTAAAAATGTTTTGTTTGGCTTGTGCTATGTAATAATAGGACATTTTTACATATAAATTTAGATTGCCTTTAAAAAAAATCAGTCTGAATTTCTGCAGACACACAGCTGCAGAGAGTAGCAGCAGCCACTTTCATTATAGGCTCCACCACTCCCTAATGTCTTCTACTTGGGACATACTCCTTACTCATTTTGTTATCCATCTGATCTATCTGGGCATTTGAGTTTGCAAGCTCTGCATAATTAACCTTCTGGCCAAGATCACTATTTTCACCTTTGCATTCTACCTAGAACTTTGTCAGATTGAAGAATTCAACACTGGAATGTTTTTCTAATCTAATCAGTATTTTTCCAACATTTATTGCTTGCCTACTACAGGCCAGGCAGTGGGTATACAAGTGTGACTGAGGTCTGGGTTCTGCCCTAAATGAGCTCACAGCATACTACAGTAGAAAGCCCAATCCAGTCTGCTGCTTGTACTTAAAAATAAAATTTTGTTGGAATACAGCCATGCAAATTTGTTTACATATTGTCTAAGTCTGTTTTTGCACTACGGTGGCAGAGTTGAACAGCTATGATGGAGACCATGTGACCTGCAAAGTCTAATAATTGTATCTGGCTTTTTCCAGAAACGTTGTACCAACCCCTGTGTTGGAGGAAGACAGACACATTTCTGAGTTGTTGGAGCTGAAGGGGGAGGAGGGGCTTAAGGTGATTAGACGGGATTTGGCAGATTCAAGAGCTATGAGGAGAAGGCCTGATAGAACTTGATGGTTCTATGTCTATGTCACATAACAATAGGCAGTGATGAGGGCCACTGAAAATCAAGAAAAAGACACTCCTTTCTCTAGGAGTTTGCAACCCCAAACAGGGGTGCACAGCATGGGGAGTGAAGTGGGCTGGGATTTAGCTAGCCTCCACTCTGGCCAGGCACCTTTATGCAGGGCACAATGGTGGCCCTGACAAAGATGCCCTTGATGCCAATTGACAGATAGAGAAGGAGCTCCTTAGGGAGCGCCTGCAGCCCAGAGGCTACACAGATAACTGAATCAATTAACAGCCATCTTGTACTTTTTTTTTTTTTTTAGTAGAGAGGGGGCTTCACCATGTTGGCCAGGATGGTTTCGATCTCTTGACCTTGTGATCCGCCCGCCTCGGCCTCCCAAAGTGCTGGAATTACAAGAGTGAGCCACCGTGCCCAACTGAGAACAATTTTAATTAAAACACAATTAATTGTTATTTTTTTCTGATCTTCCATCTTACAAAAGTTCCCAATGTACCCTAAATTCCAACTTGCAACTTTCATTTTAAATGAAGATCCTAATATGGTAACTGAAAATTGCAGGGTAGCTTACAATCCCATTTCTCATTATTCTTTTTTTCCTATGTCATACCTTTGTTATACTGGGTATTAGAAGAAAATAAAAATGTCACCATGCTTTTTATATTCTTTTCCACTTTTTTCCTTAGGGCCTTCCCTACCTCATCTTTTTAGGATGCATTAATGCAGATAGGAGAGTGGAAAAATGATATGTAATCACATGCCTCTCCCTCCAGTTCTTGATTATATCCCATCTGGTTGTACAGACTTCACAGTGCCAGGGTGCTTAAGCTCAAGTGTGTTTTTTTTTTGTTTTTGTGAGACAGTCTCGCTCTGTTGCCCAGGCTGGAGTGCAGTGGCTTGAACACAGCTCATTGCAGTCTTGACCTCCTGGGCTCAAGTGATCCTCCTGCCTCAGCCTTCCTAGTAGCTGGGACCACATAGGTGCATGCTTTTTTTTTTGGTAGAGAGAGGATCTCATTATGTTGCCCAGACTGGTCTTGAACTCCTGGGCTCAAGCAATCCTCCTACCTCAGACTCCCAAAATGCTAGGATTATAGGCGTGAGCCACAGCACCTGGCCTCAAGTGTCTTTTGAGATGTTTCCATAAACAAGAAAGATAATATATGTGACCACACTTGATAAAGGGCCCATTGCAGAATACAGGCTGGATAAATGGAAACTGAGTCTCATTGAATCAATAGACTCTCTTGATGGTTTTAAAATAAAAGTCATGAGGCACAGTACCGGTTACTTCCATATAAGGCTAAGTATTTTTCTATTTAAAAAAAAAAATGCTGTATAGGACGATAAACAACAAAGGGAAAAGAGATGCTGCACGCACAGGAGAATGGAATCTTGTACCTTGTTGATGATGTGTATCACTCCATTTGTGGCTGCGTTGTCCCCATCGACAATGGAGGCCCCTTCAATTGTGATATTCTGTAAATGCAAACCACAGTGGGAAGATGAGTCTTTATAGAGCGCACCTTGGGATTGAGATGATCTCTGGGGTTTCTGCTTTTTGAGCAGCAGTGACCTTCATACTTTTGGGCCAAGACCCACAGTAAGAAATACCTTTAACTTGTTGTCCCATAGACCCCTCTCTCTCTCTCTCTCACACACGTGCACGTGCACACGCACACACACACACACAGAGACAGAGAGAGAGAGAGAGAAAGAAAAAGAGAAAGAGAAAGAAAGAAATAATACTTTCCCCTATGTGGGAGGTACTGTGATCATCAAGTCTATTCTATTCCATGCTATTTCATTGACAAAAGTGCTGTTCGAGGCTCATTAAAGTGACCCTGTGGTTTGACCCTGGAGACAGAACTGTGGGTTGAGCTGTGTCCCCCCCTGCCCCCACAATTTGTATACTGAAATCCTAACCCCTAGTACCTCAGATGATGACTTTACAGACAGGGTCTTCACAGAGATGATCAAGTTAAAGTGAGGTCCTTAGGGTGGACCCTAATCCAATTTGACTGGTGTTCTCACAAGAAGCAGGAATTTGTACAGAGACAGCTACACTCAGAGACTGCCATGTGAACATGAAGATGCCATCTACAACCCAAGGAGAGAGGCCAAAGACAGGCCCTTCCCTCAAAGCCTTAGAAGGAACCAATCCTGCCCACATCTTGATCTTGGACTTCTGGCCTTCAGAACTGTGAGAAAATAAATGCCTGTTGTTTAAGCCTCCCAGTCTGTGGTACATTGTTATGGTAGTGTTGGCAAACTAATACAGATGGTAATTGACTTTCCTGATCAGAATCCAACTACTTTTTGAGGCTATGAATTGCATAAGAAATGGGGCTAAGTAAAATCCAACCCACCCACCCACCCACTCAGCCACCAATCAACACCAACTGGACTCTACTCTTTCTGGTTTCCTCTCCTCTTCTCCCCAGTTGAAATCCCTTCTGGAAACCCTGGTCTTGTCTCACTCTGAGCAACTCCCAAGTCACATCTGCAGAGGACCTGAAGAAAACCCTCCTGGCAGGAGATATTTATATAGGACATAGGAATGAACTCATTACAAATGTGTCTTTAATGGTTAGCTCCTCTAGGTCAAGGGCCTTGATTGATTTACCTCTGAATCTGTAGGGCCTGGGATATGCCTGCCCAGATGGGTGTTTAGTTAATGCTTGCTAAGATAATCAATGATTTAAAACACCAATAAATTAGCATGACTGTAGGAATCACCTTACAATGTATTTGTATATCAAAACATCATATTGTACACTTTAAATACATACAATTTTAATTTAAAACCTGATGGAAAATAACTTCAATGTCACCAGAATTATCATAAGATATTAAAAAGCCATAGGACCACTGTTTTCTGCTTTCTAAAAGAAAATATCTGATGAGTCACATATATGTAGGTATTACTACGCATAGATCTTTTTCATAGTGCTCACACTGATGAGTGGGAGGGTAGAAATGTTTTAGGGCAGTAATTCTCAAACATTTTTGACTGTAGCCCATGGTTCATGGATGTAGCAGTTCTCATTTTGCAGTGGAATCTTCATTCTCATCTTGTGCAATTCACAGGAAGAGCTCTGAAACACTGCCCGTGCAGCAGGGCGGCCAGACTCCCTCACAGAATTCTGAATCTGAGTCTTTGACACACTGTAGAAAGTGCCAGATGATAAGCTTCTCTAGGGCTGGGTTCTTCCTTGGGCATTGCCCTATCTCCAGCACCTAGATCTGTGCCTGGTACATAGTAGTAGGTGCTCAATAGTTGTTGGTTGATTAACTCTACCTTAATATAAAATTTCATTTCTCTAATAAAGATTTAATTCTATAAAGATTGAGTATATATAGACTCAACTCTATAAAGATTCAATTTCATTTCTCTATACAGATTCAATTACTAATAACCAGGTCTTAATCAACTATACGTCAAAAGAAAAGTTGTGGAATTGCACATCCTTTACCCTTTCTGGGTTAGTCTGTGGTCTGTTGCAAGACTTGTGGCCAATCAGTGGGCAGAAGGCCACATTTTAGAGGATCACTGCTATAGGGTAACGTGTATATGTGTATGTATTGATATATGATGATAATTATTGCAGCTGGGTGATGCCCACATGAGGGATTCTGTTCTCTGTAGTTTTGCGCATGTTTGGAAGTTCCCATAACATGAAAATTTAAAAAGTACAATATAAACAAAGCTGTTATGTTTCAAGTAAACAGACAAATTCCAGAGCTCTTACCCCATCCACCTTTGCCAAGTGAAGGAAGTTGCCCTGCAAAGATGTTGCCAACATGTCAGAAGAAGACAGGGTCTGCAGATCTGCCACTCTGTATGTGCCTAGTAGCATATGGTACCTGAAACAATAGTCCACAAAGGCTATAATTCAATATAAATGTATGGGGCTGTATCATTGAATAGTTAAGAGAATAGGCTCTGGAGCCAGATTGCCATAGTCAAAATTCAAGTTCCCCCTGCAGTTACCAGCCTTGGCTAGAGTTAGTTACTCAACCACGCTGTGCTTTGGTTTCCATATCTGTAAAATGGGAATCATTACAATATCTATCATAGGGTTGTTGAGAGAATTAACTGGGTTATATGTAAAAGAGTGCTTGGCAGAGTTGGCTGTCAGCAATTGTTGACTATTACTATCCTGGGGTGGGAGGAAAGGAGAATCCTAGAACATGTTCAGCTCCACGAATTTGAAGGACCATGTGGTTTTCCTACATTGAACTTCAAAGACATGTTTACACAGATGCCATTCAGATACGATGTAAAATAAAATAAGTAACACCTACTTTATTAGGGCTGGAATATTGCTCTGTGACAACCAGAAGCTTTTCTCATCCTGGTCCATGTCCTCAGTAGCTTGTTGGGAAGGCACGAGGACAGTGAGGTTTGAGGTGGCTGACAGTGTGGGTTGTAGAGAAGCATTCTGAACCACAGAAGGAAAATAAAGTGACCTGCTTATGTTAGGGGACAAACAGAGCTGCCTTAAATGCTTGGAAGAGATGACAATTTCCCATAAGATACTGGAAGGGTCCTAGGGTCTCCTTTCCCAAATCCACCCCACCCACTGGCTGTTGCCTCATTTTCCCTTGTGAGACTCACTTAATTCAATGTATGAGTCTTATCAAAGCAAATCTGCCTTTGATAATGAGATCACACTTTCAGTCATTATAAGTCCTTTACACTTTAGTCTAAATGAAGAGCCAAGAAATAGCCTTAATAGGTTCTTGTGAGTATGTGTGTGTGCAGAGAACCTTGAGCATTCATTTTTTTTTTTCTTTTTTTTTTTGAGATGGAGTCTCACTCTGTCACCCAAGCTGGAGTGCAGTGGTGTGATCTCAGCTCACTGCAACCTCCGCCTCCCAGGTTCAAGCAATTCTTCTGTCTCTGCCTCCTGAGTAGCTGGAATTACAGGCACACACCACCATGCCTGGCTAATTTTTGTACTTGTAGCAGAGACGGGGTTTCACGATGTTGGCCAGGCTAGTCTTGAACGCCTAACCTCACCTGATCCACCCACCTCAGCCTCCCAAAGTGCTGGGATTACAGGCATGAGCCACTGCGCCCAGCCACCTTGAGTATTCTTGGACGTCTTTGAAGTAAGGATGGTGGGGAGACTGCAGGAACAGTTTCAGCATGGGAGAAAGTAGAGGGCTGAAATAAAACCTTACATAAATTTCATTCTTGCCTAGAGAGCCAGTTTTTGGTAGAAGCAGTGGCATGTTTAACAACTGGATCTCCAGGAAAAAGAAAAAAAAAAACCAAAAGACTTGGTTTGTAGTATTTACTGATTTCTATGGCGTAAATACTCCCACCAGGGCTGATTTCAAGATACCAAAATGACTGTACCGAAAGTGGAGTTAGGAAAAATGTGCACAATCAGCTTTCGTGAGTGAGTGTGAACAGGGTTCAGCACACCACTGGGCCAGCTCATGCCTGTGGGGTGAGACCAAGAATGAAGAGTCTAGATGAAAGTCAGCATGCTCAAGAGAGCACGCTCAGTCTCTTCTTTCACCTATGCTGGGATGGGGGGTTCAGAGAGGCCCCATACAGAAGCAACAGGAAGCTGTCCTGGGGTGGGTGCTGACCAGGCATGGACTATTTGGCATGTGTCTATTTTAAGGGGATAAACCATTTGTTGCAATGGCTGGCTGGGCTTGGCAGCTCTTGTTGAGCTGAGAGTTAAGCACATATGAAGTATGTCAGATTGCAGCTATAAATCCCAAATCGAACTTGGTGAATTACAATGATGAGTCATGTTAACTTACAAAAAAGAATCCTGTGATGAATGAAGCCCCCTTTCTGGCCCCGACACACTGATGCTCAGAGCAAACCTCTGATCAATCACATCAGAGTCTTCAGGGGTGGGACCTATGCAGGAATATTTTTTAAAAATGTGTTCCATGTGGTTCCACAGTGCAGCCAGCGTTGAGAAACACTGCTCAGCACAATTGCCTACACTCCTTACCAGCTGCATTTTCGGTTTTCTATTGTATGCATTCCAAGTTTCTAAAATATATACATTCCCAATCCTAAGTCCCAATAAAGGTACTCACATTTATCCATCGGTTAAATATAGCTGCTTCGGAGAGAAATGACAATTCCTTATTCATATCATGCAAGGGAGGGAAGAAGAGATGGGAGAGAACACAGAGAAAGAACAATGAGAAGTGCAATCACAGTGCATCTCTGGGTCACCTGCACTCAGCCTTCCTGGGGCTAGGCTCGTTGTCCTGGCCTGCCTCCCTGATGCTGATGTGAATGCGTGCTCCAGCTAGCTGCATTTCCATGCTGACAGAACCGCACATTTCTTTCACACTAAGGTGGCTTGGTTATTCTCTATGGAAGTAATTCCAGGAACTTCGAATGAAGCAACAACTCAAGGTTCTTCCAAATCAGAATTTAGGCTGTAAGAACGCGGCTACCTAGACGCTAAGTGGGGGTCACAGAGCTCAGCAAATAGCCCCCTTTCAGAGCCGTTGGTGAGTAGTGGCTCAGAACAATGGAAGCAAACCACATGGGTTTTCATGTTGGTTCTGCCATTTCCTAGTTCCCTAGGCCAGTTACCTAAAGGACCTCAATTTTCTTATCTGTAAAATGGGCATAATAAAAGCTCCAACTCACAGTTTGATAAGAGAAATAGGAGTTGTTTTTAAAGTGATTAGAGGCTGGCATGCAGTAATTTCAGTAAGTTTTAGCCCCTATTATCTTTAATTTACCCATATGGCTCTCTCTATATATAGAGCCACCCCAGTTGGTACTGGGGTGGGGTGAAGGGAAGCTATAAGATATGAAAGAGGATGTAAGATATTGAAGGGAAAAGATGGCCCTGGCTCCTCTATGACTTACAGTTGTTTAGGGGAAGTTCGGCCTTGAAAAGATAACCAATATTGCTGGCAGAGCAGTGACATTTGAAGGCGTTATAGTTTTTTTTTTTTAATGTCTCTAAACACAGAGTTATTAAAAAAGACTGGGTTCACTTCTTGGATCTGCCATTTACCAGCTGTGTGATCTTGGGCAAGTCACTTAACCTCTGAGAACTCAAGTGCTTTATCTGAAAATGAATATGGTGAAACCTTGCTCCAGGGATTATGAAAATTAAGTGCATTAATATATGTGAAAATATTTTTTAAACTACTGAATACCAGAAAAATGGCAATATCATGATCCTATGCAAATTTACATGAATACAATAAGTCTCAGTGCTGACTCAATTCCATCTAGTAGTTGAGGTTATTAAGCAAGTCAATAAGCACATGTTAAAAAAGTAAGTTAGCAAGAAAGTGAATAAACACAAGAGCAGAGATGCCTGAGTAATCCCTTAGAGGGGACATTTTAAGGGAGAGGAGGGCTGAGGTGCACCTGATCTGCTGGTGGGAAGGCCAGAGTTGGGGAGGAGAGAGAGGAACATGGCAGACCTGGAGCTGGGGAGGTGGCGGCTAAACTGCAGCGGAAAGCTGTTTAGAAGAAAAACAAGTGGGCTGGGCATGGTGGCTCAGGCCTGCCATCCCAGCACTTTCAGAGGCCGAGGTATGTGAATCACTTGGAGTTTGAGGTATCTCACATGGCGAGACCCTGTCTCTATAAAAAATACAAAAATTAGCTGAGTGTGGTGACACATTCTTGTAGTCCCAGCTACTTGGGAGGCTGAGACAGGAGGATCACCTGAACCTGGGGAGGTCAAGGCTGCAGTGAGCCATAATCATGCCACTGTACCTCAGCCTGGGCAACAGAGTGAGATCTTGTCTCAAGAAAAAGACCAAAAACAAGAGTGAAGT
Organism: Homo sapiens; assembly: GCF_000001405.40. Classification (NCBI taxonomy): domain Eukaryota; kingdom Metazoa; phylum Chordata; class Mammalia; order Primates; family Hominidae; genus Homo; species Homo sapiens. Next base: position 103,686,493 of record NC_000012.12, on the reverse strand, counting down.
CTGTGTGGAGATACCTGGAGAGCCAAGCTGAGGACTTAATTTTGCTTTTCGTGGGAGGAGAGGGACGTCGTGAAAGCAGGATTTTAGAATTTTAGGAAACCAGGGTCTGTAGCTAGTGCAGAGAAAATGTTGTGATTTATGTGCCATGGTCTGCATGTCAGGAGACAGCTCCTTGGCCTGACTCGGTGAGTAGAAGGCACAGTTGACAGTGAGAGGGGAAGGGTGGAAAGGGCCCCCCAAGGGCAAGGTTCTTAGGGCGAGACTCTTAGTGCAGGCTGCGGGTCCTGGGAATTGTTAGGCTCGTGATTTCAGCAGAGAGGAGGGGCAGGAACTCAACAGCAGGGAGTTGAATAAAAAGTAAGTGATGAGGAAATTTGTCAATTGACTTTCTCATTTTGACAAATATTTATAAGCAATAGGACTGACGTAGGAAACAAGACAAAGATCATCTTTCAAGAGTTTATGGTTGTAGAGGGACAAATATCACAAGTTCTCACTGATATGCAAGAGCTAAAAACATGGATCTCATGAAGACAGAGAGTGGATTCGTGGCTACCAGAGACCAGGAAGGGAAGGGGAGGGAGGGGATGAAAAGAAAATAAAGAATATAAATGTATTTATTACTGCTGAACTATATACATAGAAATGGTAAAGATGGTAAATTATATATGTATATTTTACCTCAATAAATTAAAAAAAAGTTTATGGTCAAAATAGAAAAATGTAGGAGCAATGCTGATTTAGTGTGGCCCATGCTGTACAGATAGAATGTTCTACACTGGTGGTTAAATATTTGGGCTCTGCACTTGACAGCTATCAGAGCTATCAGCTGGATTCCTCACTCTGGAGCTGAAGGGTGTTGGGCAAGTTTTGCTAAGCCTCTCAGTTTACCTGCCTGTAAAATGGGCATAATAGTAGCAGAAGGTTGTTGAGATTTAGATGGAGTGCTACTGCCTGGTAAGGACTGAGCAAGACGCCTGGCATAAAGAAGTGTGTACACACACACACACATGCGCGCACGCACACACACACGCACGCGCACACACACACACACACACACACACACACACAGCATGGGTAAGCAAAGGGTAGCCCAGACAGGAGAGCCCAGTGAACCCAGCAGAGGCCAGTTAGTTGCTCTTTAGGAAGTCTGAGAATGGAAACAGGTAGAGTATCAAGAAAGAGAAGTAAGGACTGCTTGGTACACAGAAGCTGCCAAAAAGCCAGCTGCCTTCAGCCTGTAGAAAACGTGACCCACAGAGCATGTATGTCATCTGTGAGAAACAGCTTGCTTCATGTAAAATCTCCTGCAGCAAAAGATATGTCAATAGATCACTTTAAAGGCATCTTAGCTAAGAGGTTTTTAAAGGGTTTTGTCTATATTATTGAGTTCATCATCGATGACTTACCACTGCTGCGTTTCCATAGCACAGAAAGCCATCTCCTTCATAGCCCTCTTGACAAACACAGCTCCAGACACCAGACGAAGTAGATTGACAGCTTGCCTGAGAAAACCAAGATGAAAGAAATGGTTACCCCAACAAAAACGTTAGACCTGAGTTACATCTATGAGACGACAGGCTCCATCTAAGGTGATAACTGCAAATTTGGGGCTGAAAGATGGTAGAAGTAACCCATAGACCCTTTAGTGTTGCAGTGAAAGTCTCCTGTCTGCATGTTTGATGCAGCTATTAATCACGATTATTTATTCTCATCCCTGCCAGATTTAGCAAATAAAAAAATACAGGATGCACAGTTAAATGAGAGTTTCAGATAAATGAGTAAGTTTGAGTATACGTTTGCCCATGCAATATTTGGGGCATACTTGTGCTGAAAGATTTTTCAACACATACTTGTGCATCTGAAATTCACATTCAATTGGGTATCCTGCATTTTATCTGGCAATCATATGTTGGTTCTTCCAAGCTTTGCAATGGAATGAAACTTGCAATAGCTACTCACATCTGGAATGTCAGGGCTTGGTTGGGCTTAAATCAAGCAGAAGTGTGAGAGCTCCTTCAGCTTTGCAAAATGTTCTTGAGATTCTTGAGTAACAGACACCTTGGGGGCATCTCCCTCCTCATTTTTCTTCTATCAGAGAATTAGTCCCCCACGCCCCACCCTGCACATGTACTAGGGGTGGGCCCTGGCAGCTATGTTCATAACAACCCCACTTCTTGGCCACAATTGACGGACTCATATGTAGACACCTGCACCCAGTTGGGCCAGTTAGATCCTTTCCTCTATGATTTTGAACGGGGACATGGGGTGCTAATAAATTAGAGGGCATCACTGATGGTGGGGGAACCGTTTACCTCAAGATGTACACAGAAGCACTACAAGTTCGGGGAATGAGACAGAGGCAGAGAGAAAGAAAATGCACAGAGGGAAGTCAAACGAGAGGTCACATTGTCTCAGAGGACTGGGGAAAGAAACTGCTTAGATTCTGGTGATCCTGCTCTCTTCATGTCCTGGTTCTGGGCTCTTGGGAAGTCTAGCTATACTTCCTGCCTCTAGATTCCCAGAGCTACCCTGGGGGTCCTCCCAGCAAATTTATCTTCTGCATGGACTCTGTTACCTGGAACTCCAAACACTGTGATTAAGGCATCAGACTTCATTGATTCCTATGTTTGGTGCTTAGCGTTCTTTTGAAAGCATAACCACCCCCAGCCCTAATACCTGTGCCTGATCTTTCAAAGTTGAGAAGCAAGGCACCATTTACCCTTGAATGGGCATTTTCACCGATAACTTGTAAAACTCTGTTGTGACATTCGAAATGGAAGTCCGGTTACCTCTTAAACTATCCTTTAAACTGTTGGTTTAGAGGTGCCAGGTTTAGCAAATAAAAATATTGAATGACTTGTTAAATTTCAATTTTAGGTGAAAAATGAGTAATTATAAGTTTATCCCACACCATATTTGGGACTTACTTGTGCTTAAAGATTGTTTGTTACTTACTTCAAAATTAAATTTAACCAGAACTTCTGTATTTTACCTGGAAGTCATATGTTGGTTCTTCCAAGCTTTGGAATGAAGTAGAAGTTGCAATAACTACTCGCATTCTGCTTAGAGATTCCCTTTTGGGGGTAAGAGATTTTGTTCATCACTAGGCCAGACAGGAAATAATCTTTCTTTCTCAAGCATTGTTTTTTTTTTTTTTTTAAGTAATGAAAAACAAGGTTAAATAACTCACCAATGGATGACATTTCCCGGTTTGTTCCAAGCATGAAGTTATTGGTTCACAGTCAATCCCATTTCCTCGAAATCCTTTCTTGCACTCACACTCATTCTATAATTTTAAGAACAGAGTCAAGTGGATTATTGAAAGCAAGTGCCTTCCATGTCTTTCCCTCACACAGCACTGAGAAACGTACTATGGAAACTGAAGCTGCTTGGCTGTCCCAGAGAACAGTGTTAATGCCTTTTGCTTGATACACTTCAGATTCTAGAGTTATTAGTCTCCATATTCTACATTACATTTTCCAATATGATAGTTTCTTGGTACTCTCTTCCTGAATTTATTTATATATTTATTTATCTTTTTTTGAGATGGAGTCTCACTCTGTCGCCCAGGATGGAGTGCAATAGCATGATCTTGGCTCACTGCAACTTCTGCCTCCCAGGTTCAAGCGATTCTCCTGCCTCAGCCTCCTGAGTAGTTGGGATTACAGGCACGTGCCACCACGCCTGGCTAATTTTTGTATTTTTAGTACAGACGGGGTTTCACCATGTTGGTCAGGCTGGTCTCAAACTCCTGACCTTGTGATACGCCTGCCTCGGCCTCCCAAAGTGCTAGGATTACAGGCATGAGCCACCACGCCCAGCCTCTTCCTGAATTCTTTACTCCAGAGGGTCCTATGGAGATAGTCTCAGAGAGAACTTGGGCCCTAAAAAGCATCATATTGGATGGCCCTTCTACCTAATGAGAAAGGTTAAGCAAGCTGTGGGGTATCCACTTGGTGGAGATGCATGCATGAGGCCATTGCTAGCCTGTAAGGCACTTTGTTCAATTTAGAAACATTTGGCTCCAGCACGGTTTGTCTTTTTAAAGCAGCATTCCTCGTAATTAAGGTTTGTGTCCATTTGGAAAGTCTAAAAGTTTCCAAGCCAACTAGTCCCAGCTGAGGGCAATCCTAGACAGGAGGGCAGTCTCGATCCTCCCCTGGCCTGATTTCTGTAATTGTGCACAAGGGCTGATGGGAGCATCAGAAAACGAGGATGGATGTGGACACACTCAATCTGAGTCAATGAAAGAGAATGAATCCTGGGTTTTTGATCCATTCTGTTTCTTATAGAACACCACAAAGAGACCCCCCTCTTTTCCCATCTTCCCATCTTCCCATCAGGATGTTTTTCAAGTTTGTCTACAGAAAGGAGGACAGAGCAGAGAGGAGACAGATACTGTAAGAGGAGACAGATACTGTAATAGGTTGAACTGCGTCCCCTTATTCCCAAATTCATTTGTTGAAGTCCTGACCTCCAGTACCTCAGAATGCAACCTTATTTGGAAATAGGGTTGATACGATATAATTAGTTAAGATGAGGTCATACTGGAGTAGGGTGGGCCTTGAATCCAGTAAGACCAGTATCCTTATATTAATAAAAAGGGGGCTTTGGGAGGCCAAGGCGAGCAGATCATGAGGTGAAGACATCGAGACCATCCTGCCAATGCAGAGAAACCCCGTCTCTACTAAAAATACAAAAATTAGCTGGGTGTGGTGGCACACACCTGTAGTCCCAGCTACTTGGGAGGCTGAGGCAGGAGAATCGCTTGAACCCGGGAGGTGGAGGTTGTAGTGAGCCGAGATCGCACCATTGCACTCCAGCCTGGCAACAGAGCGAGACTCTGTCTCAAAAAAAAAAAAAAAAAAAAAAAAAAAGTAGGGGGGAATTTGGAGACAGATACACCCACAGGGAGAACAACATCTGAACGTGAAGGCAGAGATCAGGGTGATGTGTCCACAAGCCAAGAAACACCAAGGATTTTCAGCAAAGCACCTGAAATTAGGAGAGAGGCATGGAACAGCTTCTTCACAGCTCTCAGATGGAAACAACCCTGATGACACCTTGATCTCAGACCTCCAGCCTCTACAACTGTGAAACAATACATTTTTGTTGTTCTATGCCACCTAGTTTGTGGCACTTTGTATGGCAGCCCCAGAAAGCTAATACAGACACCAAGTCATTTTTTTTTTCCTTTTCTCAAGTGCAATCTGCCAACTCAAGTGCGTCAAAAATGAATGCAATTATTTACTGAGTGCTTGGCAAGACATAAGACTGCAGTGAGCTTTTTCACAATTAAGACTCCTGGAGCCACATTTTAAAGCTAATTTTCTCCAGACCCATGAGCAGGCTCTGCTGTCAGAGAAATCAAAAAGATAAATAGGAAAGCAGCCCTCAGACGCTGTGGAACAACCAGACCATGGGACTTACCCTATGTGGCTTTTACAACATTTATCACTTTAGCGTTATACATAGGTTTGTCTGTCGCCTCGCACAAGATCGCATTTCTTCAAGTCTGGCTGAGGGCCCTGGCCACGGTAATCTCTTATCCTCACCACTGAGCTTAGTGGCTGAGTGGGTGTAGGCACTTGAGAAGTGTTGGATGAATGAGCAAATGAATAGATAAGGGAACATCTGTTTCATTTTGTCTGGCTAGCATCTGTTCTCTCACTTTCTGGAAACTACACGCCATTTGGCTCTGGGGACACCATCACTCCCCCTCTCCTAGTCCACATGATAAAATGTGGCTGATTCCTCCACCCCAGGGTGAGGTGCAGGGCCTTGGCCTGTGCTTATCACTGCATCTTCCACCCTGGGCCTCCCCAGCCTGATTTCTGTAATTGTGCACAAGGGCTGATGGGAGTGGTAGGAAATGAGGATGGGTGTGGATGCACTCAATCTGAGTCAATGAAAGAATGAATCCTGGCTTTTTGGAGGAAGTTACCAGATAATGTACTCCATTCTGCTTAAGAGTTGCAATGGTATAAATTGGAAGTGGCCGGAGGTCATCCCTCACCCCAGGAACCTGGGAAGAAGCTGAGCCAAGAAACAGACCCTTTATGCTGCCTTCTGAGCCCTGAATCATGTTGTACCAGCAGCTAGATCCATATATGGCCTTTAGAGTCATGTGGGCCAAAACATTCTCTTTTCTTTTTAAACCAGTTTTTTTTTCTTCTTAAGAATTGAAGTAAATATATGTATGAGAAAATGTATCATTTTAACCATTTAAAAATGTATAGTTAAGGGGCATTAAATACATTCACATTCGTGTACAACCATCATTACCATCCTTCTCCAAACTTGTTTTCATCTTCCCAGACTGAAACTCCAGACCCGTTACACAATAACTCCTCGTTCCTCTCCCTACTCTAGCTCCCGGCAGCCACCATTCTCCTTTCTGTCTCTATGAACCTGACTATTCTAGGAACCTCAGAGCAGTGGAATCACACAGTATTTGTCCTTCTGTCTCTGGCTTATTTCACTTAGCAACACAGCTTCAAGGTTCACCCATGTTGCAGCATGTGTCAGCATTTTCTTCCTTTTTAAGGCTGATTGCTATTCCATTGTATACATATACCACGTTTTGATTATCCATTAATCTGCCAATGGCCATTGGGTTGTGTTCATCTTTTGACTACTATGAATAATGCTGCTATGAATACGGGTGCTTAAATATCTGCTTGAGTCCCACTTTTGATTCTTTTGGGTGTATACCCAGAAGTGGAACTGCTAGAGCATATGCTTATTCCATTTTTAATTTTTTGGGGGAATTGCTGTGCTGTTTTCCATAGCAGCTGTACCATTTTACACTTCCACAAGTAATTGAGTTTTCTGTTATAACTGAAAGATTTCTCCCTGACACAGATTTTCTATCCCTGTCCCATTGCCAACTGTCACTCCCCGAGAAGCACCTTCTGTGGTCTATTGAAATAGTTTACCCTAGCTGTAAATAGACATGTCAACGTTGAGGATTTGCCTGGGTGTAGTGTGCTTCTATCTCCCACCAGTTTTCAAGAGTGGGAGGTGGGCTAGGGTGAGAGCATGCCATGCTGTTAGCTAAGCAGTTCCACTTTTTAACCCTTGCTCCTAATCATGTTGACCCCCCTTTTTTTTTTCTTTTTTGATACAGAGTTTTGCTCTTGTTGCCCAGGCTGGAATGCAATGGCACGATCTCAGTTCACCGCAACCTCCACCTCCCAGGTTCAAGCGATTCTCCTGCCTCAGCCTCCCGAGTAGCTGGGATTACAGGCATGCACCACAATGCCCGACTAATTTTTAGTAGACATGGGGTTTCTCCATGTTGGTCAGGCTGGGCTCGAACTCCCAATCTCAGGTGATCCTCCTGCCTTGGCCTCCCAAAGTGCTGGGATTACAGGTGTAAGCCACAGTGCCCGGCCCATGTTGACCACCTTTTAACCCCCTGTGGGGGTCTCTTTGGAAAGAGTTCTGTACAGATCACTAACTTTGGTAGTTATGAGCTCCCAGAGGAGCTCCAACACTTCTGACTGTCTCTGCACAAGTGTCCAGCCCTGCACTGGCCCGCAGGACCGATGTTCCATCACTCATTCCTAGCAGAATGGAGGAGTGAGTGGGAATGATGCCTAAAGCCACAGAGGGAGGCCCTAAAAACTTCTTGGATATTTTTAAATAAGGAAGATTGGCTGGGCATGGTGGCTTACACCTGTAATCCCAGCACTTTGGGAGGCCGAGGCAGGTGGATCACCTGAGATCGGGAGTTTGAGACCAGCCTGACCAACATGGAAAAACCCTGTCTCTACTAAAAATACAAAAACAAAATTAGCCAGGCGTGGTGGTGGGTGCCTGTAGTCCCAGCTACTCGGGAGGCTGAGGCAGGAGAATGGCATGAACCCAGAAGGCAGAGCTTGCAGTGAGCCGAGATCGTGCCACTGCACTCCAGCCTGGGCGACAGAGCGAGACTCCATCTCAAAAAATAAAATAGGGCAGATCTCCATTTGTCTGGGTAAATTCCTCCATGAAGGAAAGGGAAGGTAGGAGGTGGGCTTTAATATCTCATCAAGTTCCACTACAAGCTCTGGCTTTCTCCGATTATTAACTTGTGCACAGAAATGAGAGGTCTGAGAACCAAAAGGCTCGGGGTCAAGTGGGAGATATCATGGTGAGCAAGGTTAGGCTTTCCTCAAACAGAGCCATCATCATGGGAAGAAATATATTTCTCAAAGAGCAGAAAATAATTTGTAGGTCTTTAAAAAAGTTCAGCCTAAAACATAAAAGTGAGAAACTGTATCAAGATTCAAAAGATAAGGGGGTTGATTTAAAATCCTGGTTCCCATCTTCCGTGTGTTCTGACCTCCTTAGCCTTGTATTATAAACACACCTGTTGGTCCTACCTGTGGAAAGAGGTGGAAGCAGGTGGGGATGGATGGGGGAAGGGAGCCTTATCAGTTGTCTCTTTTTCCATTGCCACAATCCTAGTGTAGTTGGTAGTCCCTCCCCTGGAGCTCCTTAATTTTTAAGCAGTAGCCTTCTCTGCGTTGTCCTCCATTAAATGACAGTGAGTGAAAGTGATCAATACACTGCAGAGCTATAGAAATATAAGGTTGATCCAGGGTGGTGACTAAGAGGGCGGCCCTGGAGTCAGACTGGATGCAAATCTTGCACTATTATTTATTTTCTATGTGATTTATGCAAATAGCTTCTCATTGCCTCAATTTCCTTTTCTATAAGATGGGATAATAATACATCATAGGTTTGTTGTGGCAATGAACCCATGTTCACTGCCACGAATGACTGAAAAAAGCTGCAGTAAGTTCTAGCCAAAGTACTTCTGTGTCCTGAGGGGAAAGCAAAGTCACTGCAGGATTCCTGCTTTCTCTTTGCTCTCATGACATCCAACCTACCTGCCCGGGACCCACATACAAACAGGATGCGTTGTCGTGGCAGCCGCCTGCACTGGGCAGCAGGCAGTTGTTGATCTCCGAGCAGTCTCTCCCATTCCCTGTCCAACCCTGCTGACACACGCAGGTGTGGGTGCCCGTGCCAGTTTTGATGCATTCTGCCTGCAGGAGGAAAAGAAAAAGCAAAGCCTCTGAATCCTCAGTCCAGCCACATGATTCCAAAAATAAGAGAGAATTTCCAGACATATGTTCCAGAAACACAGATTTGCATTGAGTGAGGTGGAAATGCTTAATTTACATTGAGATTCATGAAAAGATTAGGTCATTTAAAGAACAAAATTGCTTGGAACTGGCCAGCTCATGGCCACTGACATCACTGTGTTAGTTATTAAGCCAGGGACTGTTTATATTGTTTTGCAGGTGTAAACCATCATCTTGAGGAAAGTATTGTTATTATCTCTATTTTACAGCTAAGGAAACAGGTGTTGCCCAAGGTCATGCAGCTATAAAAAGACATGAACCCGGGCCTGTATAATGTGGCAACCCAAACTCCACTATACTAGCTCCCGGGCCTCTCAGGAGGAGCCTCACCAGGAGGCTGGAGGACAGAATGAGAAGGAGAGAGGGATACAAGATACGGAGCTGAGGCTGAGGGGGATGGGGTTGGGATGGGGCTCACTCAAAGGGAATCAAAGGAATCTGTAGGCTGGGGTCAGGTGGTTTCATCTAGATTTTATCCTCAGAGCCAGAGGAAATTACTGAAGGGGCTTAAACCTGAAAAACATGATCTGATTCACTTCAAGCCACTCTGGCTGTGAGTGGACAATGCACTGTGGGTAGATAAGAGGAAGCAAAGAAACCAGTTACTAAACCATAGGTAAGGAATGAAGGTGACTAGGGTCAGGTGGGGATGGCGATCATTGAAGGGAATTAGTGAAAGCAATGGTAGGTTCTGGATACACCCCTACCAACAACAGAACTTGGTCACTTGACTCCCCTAGATCCCAGTTTCCTAATCAAGTAAAATGATCACTTGAGCCCAGGAGTTTGAGGCTGCAGTGAGCTATGATTTCACCACTGTGCTCCAGCCTGGGTAACAGAGTGAGACCCTGTGTTAAAATAAAAATTCAAGGTTTAAACACAAATGCTTCATGCATATGAAAAGTGATCAGACATTGACCTATGGAATGTCTTTCCTCAGGATTTCCTAAAAAAACCCAAACAATCAACTGAAAAAAGCCAACAAGAAACCAGGCAGGGCTGGGCGCGGTGGCTTAGGCCTGTAGTCCTAGCACTTTGGGAGGCCAAGGTGGGCAGATCACGAGGTCAGGAGTTTCAGACCAGCCTGACCAACATGGTGAAACCCTGTCTACTAAAAATACAAAAATTAGCCGGGGTGGTGGCACGTGCCTGTAATCCCAGCTACTCGGGAGGCTGAGGCAGGAGAATCGCTTGAATCCGGGAGGCGGATGTTGCAGTGAGCCAAGATTGTGCCATTGCACTCCAGCCTGGGCGACAGAGCGAGACTCTGTCTCAAAAAAAAAAAAAAAAAAAAAGAAACCAGGCAGGGTGGAAATGAAGACCAGTACTCACATTGCGGCTACAGCCTCCTGGAGTTAGTCCTGTGCAAGGGTCCATCTCAGAACACAGAGTTCCATCTCCTTCATATCCTGCTTTGCAAATACAACTGCAAAGGAGAGTGTGCAATATCAGCCCCAGAATAAGCACCAACGACCCAGAAGAGAGCCAGCCAGCTAGAGATGAGCCAGTTCCTGGCCAAATGGCTCCATCCTTTGCTCCTGTGGAGGAAGCCAGCGCTCAAATGTGGTCGGGGTACTTCTGGGATCTGTAATCAGATACACCTGGGTGGAAATGAAGCCTGCCCACTTCTTAGCAGTTGTGTGACACTGCACGAGTCCCTTAACAACTGAGAGATCTTATTTCTCATGAGGAAAATGGGCCTAATACCTCCCATATAAGGCTGAAGGTTAAATGAGCAAATGCACACTGAGCGTTTAGCAGAGCGCTTGCAGATCATAAATCTCAACACCTGACAGTGTCTCTGCTCTTATTTTACCAGAACCTGCCTTTTTATAACTCTTCCTGCTCAATACTAATTATTACCTCTGGTTCAGCAAAGAAGAGTTCTACTCTGTCTTCTATGCAACAGCTCTTAAAATATTTGAAAATGACAATCAGGTGAGACTTATCCTCTCCCATTCTCTGGCCCCTCAGAGGTTTTTTCCCCCAACACCACATTTTCAAGTGCCTCTTCTGTGAGCTGACTTGGTTTCTTGACCCATTACCTTTCCAGACGCTCCTCTCAAAATGTTCCGTGATGACACTTTTACTATTAAAGGTGGCCCATTCATTCATCTATTCAACCAATATTTGTTGAGTGGCCTATGATAGATGCTGGGGACATTGTACCCCCAGGTCTTACTGCAAATTCAGTCATACATGCCTTACAAAAATTAAAAAAATATATATTTCATGTATCAAGCTTCCTACAGGAACAAAATACATTATCTAGTGTCCAAATGAAGAAATAGGTTGATCTGTTCCAATAATGTTTGATTTACCTAAGACAATATAGTTCATACAGACCCATGCCGACAGTCCTCTGTGGATGATTTCATAGGTTTCAGCGGTAATGTTGATTACATGTAGTTTTGCCTTATGCACCGATATAGATCCTAACTCCTTAGGAAAAGGCATTTCTATTGTACAACTGTGGAAAAGAGACAGTCTCTTGTCTCATATAGCCTATAGTCTAGTGGGAGAGGCAGACCAAAACAAATAACTATGTAAACAAAAATTAAGAAAAGCAGTGCAAGGAGAGGACCAAGAATTCCAGACATCCTCTGCATTTCCCAGGATAATTTAGGTGGTTACTGCCTTGGAGCTAGGTATTTCCAGAGAGGTAAATTTCCTCTGGCATTTTCCCCCTCAAACCCACTGCAGAATGCTAGACAGTATTAAGGAAACAAATGGCAACCTACTGATTAAAGACCCAATTTCCTGCAAGATGCCTTTAACAGGGGAGCAATTATTAACAGCCTTAAAAAGTAAAGGTGTCTTCAAAGGTTAGAAAGTTGGTGGACAAATCTTCATTTCTTTCATATGTGGTGATAATAATTATCTTTTCCATAATGGAACATCTTTGATGTGCTAGCCCCGGTGCTAGGTGATTCTGCATTGAGTTCTGCTAATCTCCACAACTGCCCTGCTTGGTAGGTATCATCATCCTCACTGTACTGTTGAGGAAAGTGAGGTTCAGAGAGGTTAAGTAACTTGCCCACAGTCACACACCTGGTAAGTTTCAAAGCAGGGAGTGCTGCAATTGAAACCCAGCTCAGACTGAGGTTCTTTTCACAAACACCACACTGTCAGCTGGAGATAACAGGCCTCAGTTCAGAGTTCAGATATGGGTTGGCTCCGTCTACAGGTAACACAGCGTCATTAAGTGCCATCCCCTTACACTTAATGACTCAGCGTCATTAAGGGCCATTCCCTCACAGACCTACCTGGCTGTCCCATTGCTGTATTCACAGGTGGCGTGGATGTGACAGAACTGCACGTAGGGCCCACAGGCTGAGGTCTGCTTATCACAGAGTCTCCCGGCAGAGCCGTCTCTGCATGTGCCAGTGAGGCAGGCCCCATCGCTGTCTATCCTGTTATTGCATGTTCCGTGAACGCACAGGCATTCTGAAAGAGGAGGAGGAGGGACATCCGTCCAGGCCTTGGGGACAAGCCAAGCACTGAGGCAGAGCACCCTGGAGGACAGGGACCACCTCTTCTCACCCCCCACTCACTCTTGTCAAAGCAGAATCGGGGCTGAGCCGGGAGAAGACTTAGGCTGCTATTTCTTGGAGTCTCAAGTGTTCTCAGAGTGCCTGGGACAGCCCTGGAGAGCTTGCTTGTCCCACCCAGGAGGGGAAGAACTTGGTCTCAGAACTCCTTTAAGGCTGAGCATGGTGGCTCATGCCTGTAATCCCAGCACACCGGGAAGCTGACGTGGGAGGATTGCTTGAGCCCAGGAGTTTGAGACAAGCCTGGGCAACATGGTGAAACCCTGTCTCTACAAAAAACACAAAAATTAGCCGGGCATGATGGTGTGTGCTTGTGGTCCCAGTTACTGCAGAGGCCGAGAGGTGGGAGGATCACTTGAGCCCAGGAGGTTGAAGCTATAGTGAGCTATGACTGCACCTCTGTACTCCAGCCTGGTCAACAGAGTGAGACCCTGTCTCAAAAACAAAACAAATAAAAAAAAAAAGAAAAAAGAACTCCTTTTTATCTATATGTGTGTGGGGTGTGGGGAAGAGGATGTGACGCTTTGAAAGAGGCCAAGGAACTCCATTTTCAACTACTTCCTGGTTGGAGAGTTTAGCCTGGAAATTTCTCACCTTTCATGAAGATATTCTGGAATAAATAGAAGTGATCTCCCATGCTGGCAGGACTCCTGATAAGTAGCTAATATGTTTGTTTTTCACTCTATCACATCAAACCAATGATAACCAATAGGCGATATTTGGGCACTGACTTCATTCAAGGCACTAGGTCAGCCTTCCACATGCACCATCTCATTAATAGTCACCAGGCCCAGAAGGTAGGTACTTTTATATCCCCCATTTTTCAGATGAGGAAGCTGAGGCCCAGAGAGAGGAAGCAAGTTGCCCAACTTGCTGCTAAATTCCCAGGCAGAAACTTAAACCAGGATTCAAAGTCCATTTCCGTTCGTGACTGTGTAAACACCGTAGATCATTATATGAACTGGCATTTCCATATCACCGTTATCATTTTAAACCTTAGCTGCTGAATTTGCTTTCAATTGTAGGTATTTAAAAATTGTAACACGGGCCACCTCATCAGACTCAGGTTCCTATGCATGTGAAAGTGGAAAGAAGGACATGGAGATTTTCAAAGGCACCTGGCAAGGACTGGGGGGGCTTGGAAAATGATCAGAAATAAAGGAATCTGGAGTTTCACCCCAGAAGGGACTCATGGGAGAGGAATTCGTGTGGGTGCTTGGAGCCATCATCCAGGAAAGAGAACAACACAAGTGAGCGGGCCTGGAAAATCACAGCCAGACTTAAAGCAAAAAAGAATTGTTATACAATTTTAGGGAAGTCAGCATTTAATTTGCAAGGTACGAGACCCCTGTATGAGACTGTGCACAGCCGTAGCCCTGGATTGAGAGGTGTGACAGCTGGAAGGCCACCGCCCCATCCCAGCCTTGGTGTCCTGCCCGGCTGGCCTCAGACAAATGCCAACATTGTCAGGCCTTGGGATAAACCCTGATTTTTTTCTTCCTCTAATATGAAAATCTAATTTGGCAAAAAGAACATTGGAAAGGGTTCAGTAGCCTCGACCCTGATGTGCTCTGCTTTCCCATCCATCCTGAGAGTTATTTGTGAAGATCAAATAAGGTAGGAGAGCGGAAGGGTTGTGTGTTTCATAGGAAATGTGTGGAGTTAGTAGCGACAGTAAGAGGAGCGGCTTTGCTTATTGATGACTTGCTCAGTGCAAGCTCTGTGCCAAAAGCCCGAAATTATGGTCTAATTTAATCCTGTCAGCAAACTATAATGTAGGTACCACTATTATCTTCATTTTATAGGTGAAGAAATAGCCGTTTTCTGAGATCAGACGGTTGGTAGGCTGGAGTGTGGGGACTTCAGGATGGTCTGACTCCACAACGAGCTGTTAGCTTAGAAATATATGTCAAAAATATACATATGCTTATTTAAATATATACAGGATGTCATTTTAAAGAACAGAATGAGGGAATGCATTTTCTGAGGTTGCATAACTTTATTTTTTTCAATGCCTATTGTGGTGGAACTTTCTACATGTTCTACAAGCTTCTTGATATTTATGTCACTGTACTTAGACTAACAGCAACAACAATAGATAAAAATAGTGAGATAATAATATTTGTGGCACATGTTTTGTACTAGGCATGGTTCTAAGGCAAGCGGTTTCCATTTATAAGTTGTACTAACTTTAAAAGACACTTGCTATTTTCATCATCCCCATTTTACAGATGAAGAAACTGAGGCCTAGAGAAGTAGAGTAACTTGCCCAAGGCCACAGGCCTTGCAAATAAAGGAGCTGATGGAAGAGGTCTGCCTGAAAGGTAGGGAGTGAATCTGATTCTTTTTTTTTTCAGATGGAATCTCACTGTCACCCAGGCTGGAGTGCAGTGGCTCAATCTCAGCTTACTGCAACCTCTGCCTCCTGAGTTCAACCATTCTCCTACCTCAGCCTCCAGAGTAGCTGGGATTACAGGCACCTGCCACCACACCCTGCTAATTTTTGTATTTTTAGTAGAGATGGGGTTTTGCTATGTTGGTCAGGCTGGTCTCAAACTCCTGACCTCAAGTGATCCACCCACCTCAGCCTCCCAAAGTGCTGGGATTACAGGTGTGAGCCACTGTGTCTGGCCTGAATCTGTTTCCTGATATAGAGCCCACTATCACTTCAAGAATGTGGAGAAACTTTTGGAGAGTGGTCTTCAAAGTGTGCTTCCCAGACCAGCAGTGTTAGTGCCCCCTCGGAACTTGTTAGAAATGCAAATTCTGAAGACCCATTGGGGCCTAGTGAATCAGAAACTCTGCAGGTGGGGCTCAGGGATCAGCCCTCTGACACACGCTCCAGTTTGAGAACCAAAGCTTAATGAATGCTCTGTGATGATGGTGTAACCCAAGCAAAGGGGTCCTGAGACACCAGCCCTGCACCAGCACCCTGCTGCAGCACGAGAGGGAACCTTGCTTAGGAGTGGAAGGAAGCTCTGGAAGTGCCACTTACTTTTGTTACACCGAGGTCCGTATTTATTGGGATCAGAGCAGAACTGACACTGGGAGCCTTGGAAGCCCTCCTCACAAATGCATGTCCCGTTGCCGCCGAGGCTATCTGCACACTGGGAGCAAAGGCAGGGCCCATGGGCCATTAGGACACATAGTTCTCAGGTGTTTTCATTTCATGGCCTGACTTCTTTGAATTCAGATTAAATCCCACTTGACATGACCCTCTGGGACTCCTCGTGGAAAGTGGAGTCATGTGATATCAGGGAGGCTGCTAAAGCAGTGCCGAGCTTGGGAATCCCAAGCCAGGATTTAGAACTTTAAGGGAAGTCACTCAAGGGGGCATCACAATGCTGAACTGGGAACCTTTCAACAATGCTTAAGGGATAAGTGATAAGACAGGGGCCTCCAGAATGAGTGACTAGCCTCCCTTTACAGTCTCACCTGCTCAGCTCTGTGACTCCAAACTGCAGTGTTTTCTCTCTTCAGTGGTAAACATATTTGCCTCCCACCTCTCTAGCCCTGGCAAGGTCATATGTGTGCTGATTGACATCAGTGTTGGGTGTGGGCCCTTTCTAACCCCTGGCCGCAGTCATTTGTACTGGCCTCTCCCTATTCTCCTTGTCCACATGGTGTCCCCACTCATGGCTGATACTTTCCCCTTGAAAAAGCCACGTTTTAGAGGCGGGCTTATTAAATGCACAGATGTATAATTTCCCTGTATGAACCACAGCTACTTTTGCCTCCAAGCTAGATGAGTTAAGTTTCGGCTGTTACATTTCACTAGGTTTTGCTCATAGGTTCAAAAAAGCAATCAGGAGGCAGAGCTATTTTTTAACTATCATAAAATCTTAGTTCTGGAAGGAGTCTTGAAGATCAATGCAGGTCAACCCTGATATCTCCCACAGGAGGAACGTGAGGCCCAGAGATCCTTCTTGAGTTACCCAACGTCCTGCAGCCCGCAATAGAGAAGCAGACTAGAGGCAACATTACCGGAATCTCTCTCTCCCATCCCCCATCCCAGACCCAGATCCTTCTACTGCAGACACCTGCTGTTCTTTTAGTAAGGGGTCATTTCTTTTGCTTCCTGGGAAGAGTAGCTGGCATTATATCACATTTTGGTTTAGAAGTTCTAAAAATTATTGTTTGATTTGACTTATGGAAGGCCAGTCTTCAGTATTCACCTGTCCATTTCCTGAGCATGGATTTGAGAAGCCTCCTGGACACTGGTTGCAGTCAGGTCCATAGAAGCCTTTGCAGCACTTTGGAATCTGAAAAACAAAATGCGTGTTCCCCTTTGAACCCCCAAGTAGAGCACCAATTCCTCAAAGGGGATGCATTTTAATTTCCATTATTATACTAAGCCATATTCGCCTCTCCTTATGAGGTTGCCCTTTTCTTTGGCAGTTGATGGCATGGCTAGTGCTCAGTCATCTGGTCACCACAACTCTACTGAGCCCCTCCCCTGGGTGCTGGACTGGCTCTAACACTGTGCGAACAGACAGAGGAAGGCTCATGCTTGTGGAGCCAACGTTCTAAGTTGGGGAAGAGTCAATGTATGAATTTTAAAAACAGTAAAACAAGATCATTTCAGAGAACGGTGAGTGCTGGGAAAACAAAGTATTATCATCCAGTGGTGGCAGGTAGGGCCAGAAGTCAGGTGGGTACTAGGGAGGCCACTGCAGATTGGTGGTGACAGTGCTGGTTAATGGAGACACTGAAGATGAGTTAGCCTCAGGGAAATCTGGAAGAGCATTCAGAGGGAGGGAATGGCAAGTGTGCATGCTCTGAGGTAGGAATGGGGGTGACAGGCAGGTCAGAGCCACAGGCAGAGGGTGGGCCATGTGGGGAAGTGTTAAGAGTGTGATCTGTGTTAAGAGGGTAGGGAACCATGGGAGGCTGTGATGCAGGAAAGGACAGAGTCTGGCCACCATATGAAGAATCTACCTTTGATTCCTCTGCAGGAAGACAACAGCAAGCACGGGCCACCTGTGACCACGTGGACCCTAGGACCCAAGAGCATGGCCCTGGAGCTGCCTGGCCCTACTGGCCTAGACTGGGCCTCGGCCACGCGCTCCTCACCTTCACAGTGGCATTGCAGTACCGGGCACAGCCGCTCTTCAGGCTCCCAAACCTGCCACTGTAGACACATCTGTGTGTGAAGAGTGCCTGGAGAAAGCCAAGGAGGGAAAGCATGGCAGTCAGCATGTTTAGGTCCTCCAGGCACTGCACACCCTCTGCAGACACTTGCCATTGTACTTCCATTTCACCACTGACGTCAGGAGAGAGTGCTGGACCACACTAGCAGACCTGGGTCTACATCAGAGCTTGGACACCCTTTTTTAGGCCTGTTCCCTTGTTGGTGGAATACAGGCCAGAGTTTGCATCATCCATGGCCCACAGATCTTTATTCCCTCTTCCATGCCACAGCAGATGTCTCTAAGCAGAAAATATTTTCTGTTCATTCTGGATACGGTCTAGTCTCCCCTTCCGATCTATAGCCATCCCTAAGATCTCCTACAGAGACATTTTGGAGCCCCCAAAGGGTCTATCTACACTTCATTGAAAGGTTTGCCAAACAAAATTGTGATAGTCTGAGTTTTTCTCTTAGGAGTGGGGCAGATTTATATGCATCCTTCCATTCTAACCAACAATGCCCACTCATAATTATCTAGAACTCATGTTTACTGAGAACATTTTATGGGCCAGACACATTGCACAGATGAGTTCATCAATCTTCAATTCTATGTGGATGTTTCTCATGCCATTTTTTATAGATAAGGAAACAGGCCCAGACAGGTTAAATCATTTTTTCCAAGAAACACTGATAGTAAGTATAAGGTCTAGAGAATGGGTCTTATCACGTACAGACTTTAGGATCACAGTCATGTAGCCTCTGTGGGCCTCAGCTGCCTAATTTATAAAATATCAAGAAAATATTGATGAGACAATAATGCTGATTTCAAGTTTTGTCACGAGAATTTAGTCTCTGGTTCAAATTTTGTTTTAGATAATTGTTGATGTCAAGCTTATCCCTTCATCTTAGGCTGTTGCTCAAGAAGAGGGCAATGAGACTTTCCTAGGCTATAAAATCCTAAAATATTAGCTATATGAAGGAATTCTGAGGTCACTGAGGAAGGAGCACTACAGTCCTTTTGGGAATCTCAGGATAATTAACCAGGTGTGGGTCACAGGATTCCCGGGATGGGTGATTTGAGGGCTTCTTTTGGCTCCTACCCATGTGTCTAATTTCCCTTTCTTTTCCCTCTTCCTTCTCTTTCCCTGGGCTGAGACAATCATAGAATGGTGATTAAACATGTAGAACAAATCATGGTTCTGCCACATCAGCTGTGTGACCTTGTACAAGGTGGTTTACGTTTCCTTGCCTTAGTGCCCTAATCATACATTGGTTATGGTGATAATATACCCACCTCGTGGGGCTGCTGCATAAAGCATTTAGAACAATGTCTGGCACACAGCAATCACTGTGACACCAGCCAACACAATTTCCTCTTCTCCTCCCTCTCACATTCCCTGCTTGACAGCATCCTGAAGGACTCAGGGGTAATGCCTTTGTTAAGCAAAATAAATATCTGAACACCTGCATCTATTTAATTTTAATGTTTTGCTTTACTAAATACTTCACAATAGAATCACATTAAAGAGCTCATAACCTTACCTAATGATCTATTCTAGTGTTTAATGCCACTTCTCATTGGTAAGTTCTTTCTTATGATAAACTTATAGGCAAAAATTTCTATCATCATTTTTGCCTTAGAACACTTTGCTTTTTACCACCAATAGAGTCCTTGGCATATGAATGATAGATCATTGCACAACTGTTTTCCTTTTTAGATGGAGCTTCTCAGATAAAAGCAAAATGAAATGATTTCTTATTCATCCTCATGCCTCTGGAAGCAAGCACTATGTCTGATATATGCTCAATCCTCAATAAATGTGTACAGAATTCAATTAAACTTGGAAGCTTTTGATAGTCCCAGTATTATTTTCTTGTATGTCTCTGCAGAAGAGTGCTTGGGAAGAACAAATATTAGGACTTGTTTACAGACAGTTCTGCACAATATGCCAGTACCACCCAAAAGTGGACATCTATAATATTACAGTCCCAAAAGGGAAAAAGTAGATGGGAACTGAGTGCCTTCTTGATTTAGATATTGTGCTTCAATTTTTATCTATGTGAATCTTTTTGTTATTATCATTTACAGATGAAGAAACAGTAAAAGGGTTAAACGACTTCTCTAGGGTCAATGAACAAGGATTCAAACACAGGTCTGTGGGATCGCTTTCTACCATCCCCCATATAGTAGGCTACGAGCCCATCTTATATTACCCCAGCTGCAATTAATATCTTCTAAAGAAGGAAGGTAGATAGGTTGAGAAACCACACCAGTGGGGCTGCTTGGGTGATCTGTGCTTTCATGAAGCTGTCACACTCACTGTGGGCTCAGAGTTAGCAGGACATCTGCTCCAGTACACCAGAGAACAGCTCACACAAGTGCCCTGGAGGGAGAGACAGGAGGTCAGTGCAGGTGTCCCTATGAGAGGGAGCAGTGGCGATGGTCCTGTGGCTGGTTTCATGCTTCCCTCCCTGTGAAGGAAACCCCACTGAGCCATGATCCTGGCCTCTCTACCCACCCCCTCCCCACACCGACTCCACCGTGGGAGAAGGAGTGAAGTCAGCGCTGGGGGTGGGGGCTGGTGGGAGGAGTTTAGGAGAGAAAACTGAGCCTGCTCAGAGCAGCCCCCTTTTTTACTTCTTTCAGAGCCAGCCTGTCCACGGGCTCCCAGCTTCTGATCAATTCTCTGCATGCAGGGAGGCACCTGCCCCTGAGGGGACATTGCAGTTATTGACCTGTGCTAGGGATGAAGTATTAGCTTTGGTTACAGACTTAAGGCCATGTCCTCCAATTAGCTTAGCAGCAATATAGCCGAACACTGAATCTCTGCCTTTCAGTCTCCTGGATTCTCCTCTACTGGTTCAGGGTGATGGAATTGGGAGTGTGCCTCCAATTTCTCCAGATCCTCTCTGACCTTCTCCATCTGGCTCTGTGCCCCAGAAGGTAGACCGTGAAGGATGTTCTCAAGCTCCCTTGCCAGCTTCTGATTGGTGTTGGCCAACGTCCAGTCACTAGCAGGATTTTGGTGGGTAGGAGGACAACAAGGTCAAGGATTTCATCCCTGCTCCCTCTCTGCTTTGGTACCATCCCTACGGCTCCTGAAGGAGGTCACCTCTTCCACGCTTCCTGCTCTCACTGGGTTCAGGTAACTCTATGTCCTGTCCCTGGGCTCTTTGGTCCCTAGTTGCAGTGGTTTCCTGCTTCTCCCTCAAAGCTCCAGCAAAACTTATTCGTTTCCTTAGCCCTGTCCACACCTCTGCAGTAGCTCCTTCATCAGAATCTCTTCGTTTGGATCATCTCAGATGGATTCTGTTTCTTGCAGAGACCATAACTAGTACAGTGTTGTTATTAAACCTCTAAAATCCAAACATACATGGCCAAAGGCAGCTATAGATTCAGCCTGGTAAACACTGAGACTTCCAGAGGGTACCAGCTGCTTCTACTCTTTGCTAGTCCTAAATACTTTCCAGAGAATGCATTTGGACTTTTGATGAACCCACTCAAAAACCATTCTAAACCATGTAGAGCAAATAGATTTGACTTTAAACCTAGAGAAACTAGTAAAGGAAGAGTTCATTCTAAGGCAGCTATTAGGAAGTTCTTTTCCTTATGTAACCAAAATTCTTTGGGTTGTAGCTCAAACCCACATCTTGATTCTGTTCTTTAGGGAGGTGGAGAATAAGCTTTTGAATAATCTGAAATCGAACAGGTGATGCACCTGCCCAATCCTTGTTTCTACAGAATGAACCAAACATAAATCACTGCTGGGGACTGGCTAGGAAAGTGACCATGTTTCTGCCTCTCTTAAAAAAGGGGTTCTCAGCATGGAATCAAATTCTCCAGATGGCATCTGACTGGCACAGAGGATCAGCTCCGTCCTCTGTGGCCTAAATCATATCAGAGTCATTACATCAATTAAAATATCTAGAATTAAAAGAATCAGCCACAATCCTGTGCCAGGTGCTTGGCCAGCTATTTCCAGCCTTCATAACAAGAAGAGGAATCAGTAAAACAAAACAATAAATAAAATGAGACCATTTTTCCTTGTTTAATGCTCATGTTCCAAGGATATTGTCAGAGCAATCACTAATGTATTATTGAAGCATCCTGAAAAGAAAGACCCAGACCTATTATTGTTAAAACTTGGGGTTATGTTTTCCATGGGAACCGAAATAGTGCATGTACAGCAGTATTGGAATTTCAGGTGCTTTGATTAAAACCGGCTGAACTGGCCAGGGGCGGTGGCTCACGCCTGTAATCCCACCACTTTGGGAGGCCGAGGCGGGCAGATCACGAGGTCAGGAGATTGAGACCATCCTGGTGAACACAGTGAAACCCCGTCTCTACTAAAAATACAAAAAAATTAGCCGGGCGTGGTGGAGGGCACCTGTAGTCCCAGCTACTCGGGAGGCTGAGGCAGGAGAATGGCATGAACCCGGGAGGCAGAGCTTGCAGTGAGCAGAGATCCTGCCACTGCACTCCAGCCTGGGCAACAGAGCGAGACTCTGTCTCAAAACAAAATAAAACAAAACAAACAAACAAAAACAAAACAAAACAAAACTGGCTGAGCCAAAAAGTTGCTATGGAAATAGGAAAGGCTAGAGGGTACAGAAGCTCATAGGGAAACAGAAAGTTTGGTTTTTTGAAAAGTACTGCAGAAAGACGGTTGATTGGCTAGGCTAGAGCAGCTACCTGAGAAGAAATTCTATTTTAAGTCCCTCTTACAGTAAAGCTGTGAGCCTGGAGCAAGTGGTCCCAGATGACAGGGACAGGGGAAGGAAGAGGCAGGAGACTGATCCTAAATCCCAGGGGTTGGGTTGGAAAACCCTGATTGGATCCCAGAGCTCTGGTATAGTGGGTAAATAATATCTTTCCAAAAACTTGTGTCCCCTGGAACCTCAGAATGTGATCTTGTTGGGAAATAAGGTCTTTGCAGATGTAATTCGTTAAGCTAACATGAGGCCCTGCTGAATTAGTGTGGGCCTTAAATATAATGATCGATGTCCTTATAAAAAGAGGAGAGGTGGGTAGGACACAGTGGCTCAGGCCTGTAATCCCAGCACTTTGGGAGGCCGAGATGAGAGGATCGCTTAAGTCCAGGAGTTTGAGACCAGCTTGGGCAAGATGGTGAAACCCCATCTCTACAATAAAAAACTAGAAAAAAAAATTAGCCAGGTGTGGTGGTGTGCACCTGTCATTTCCAGACTGGGCAACACAGTGAGACCCCTGCAGCTACAAGCCACGGAATGCCAAGAATTGTTGGAGCCCCCAGAATCCAGAAGGAGGCAAGGAAAGAAACATTCTTCCCTAGAGCCTTCAGAGGGAGCATGGCTCTGCTATCTTGATTTCAGACTTCTGACCTCCAGAATTGTGAGAGAATAAATTACTGTTGTGGCAAGCCTCCCAGTTTGTGGTAATTCATCATGGCAGCTCTGAGGAGCCAATATTCCTGGGCAGCATCTATCATTGCGGAAATTCCCCAAGGAACTGTGGTTCACAGTTTATGAGGTGGGACTTCAGATCCACCTGCATCTTCATGAAGACGGAAGCCCTTTGGGGACAAGGTTCTGGAAGTCCAACTTTCTTTGACACCTTTCTCAGAATTGTGAGGAGTGGGATGCTCTCTGCTCTGAGGGGCTGTTTGGGGCCCTTACTTATTTTCCTAGTTTTCTTACCAGTTTCATCTCTCTCTTTGTTTCATCACATCGATGGGGCAGAATCGGGACAATGGAGGGAGGAATGAGAACTCCTGTCAGTGTGTAAATTCGGCCATTTTTGGCAGTGATCTCAATTTCTTCCATTGCCACATCATTTGCCAGAATCTGTCCCTGGAAAGAAAAAATGACATCTCTAATTCTGTACTATTCTGTACTGCAGGACTGCCAGTGATCCTCAGGCAGACTGAATGGTGGCAACTTTGCTAAAAAGTCCTCAACATCACTTAACTTTTCATTGGAGGGTAGGTTGCTATTATAAGGGTTTGGCTGACAGGGAAAGATTGAATCTGTTCAGTGAATTCTTGACTAACACCAGGCAAGGATGCCCTTGTAGAAATGGTTCTTGCAGGTGCAGGGCTAAGTACAAATTATAATTATTCAAGCTCTGCAATATACTTGCTGTGAGACCTTGCGCAAATTCTTTGACCTCTCTCTGGTGAAATAGGGATCCATTCATTTGAATACATTTATTGACCTCACTTATGCTCTGCCTTTGGAGCTGGGTATACATCTGTGAACAAATAGATGAGTTCTTGCTTATGTTTTAGTGGAGGGAGCAGAAAATGAACCAATTAGCAAAGATTTCTGATCTCCACTTTCCTCATAAACCTGCCACCCACCCCCTGCAGTATTAATGACAGCTTCATTCTTCTGGTTGCTCAAGTCAAGCTCCATGAGTTATCCTGGCTTCCTCTGTCTTCACCCCCATTTAACTCATCAGCAAATTCTGCTGTATCTACTTTCAGAATATTAGGTTGGTGCAAAAATAATCACAGTTTTTGCAATTTTTTAAAAATTGCAAGACTGCAGTTACTTTTGCACCAACCAGATACATTCAAAATTCAGCCATTCCTCACCATGTCCCTGCTACCACCCTGGTCTGAGTTACCATCAGTATTCTCCAGATTATTGCAATCAAATCTCCTCACCAGCCTCTCAAAATGTATGCCCGATCATGTCATTCCTCAGTTCAAAATCCTCCAACTGCTTCTCCTCTCATTCCAAGTAAGAGCCTGCATCCTTACCCTGACTTCTTAGGCCATGCATGACCTGACCCCCACTCTCCTCCTCTCTCTCTTGCCCAGCCTCCTTTCCTACTCTTCTCCCTTTTGCTCTCTCTGCTCTAGCCACACTGGCCTTGCTGTTCCTCACACAGCCCAGCATGCTCCTTTCTGCTCTGTGCTTTTCACCCTTGCTGTTCCCTCTGGAATGTCCCCCGGATATTCACACTGTTTGTTCCCCTAATTCCTTCAGGTTCAGGTTTTGTTCAGATGTTTCTTCCCCATGAGGGCTTCTTGAGTATTTATCTAAGATGTCAGCTCCATCCCCACCTTCTGTCCCCCTTCCTTGCTTTGCTGTTTTTCTCCTTAGCACTTGCTGCTGTCTAATAGATGATATATTTTATGCATTTAACTTATTTTCTATCCCCTATTTACTAGAATGAAATTTCCATACAACCAGGGACTTTTGTCTGTTTGTTCATTGGTCTGTCTTCAGGACCTACAACAGTGCCTGATGCACAGTAGGAACTCAATAGATATTTGTTGAAAGAATGAGATAATCATCACCATCAACAGTGATTCTATATCAACCCTGTGCTGCTGGATGTTTGTTCATATTGCAACCCCAGGGAGTTAGATGAATAATGCAGCCTTCTTTGGAGTTTTAAAAATGAATTGTGTTCCCCTGACCTCAGGGTCTTTGCACATGCTCTCTCTCTTTTTTTTTTTTTTTTTTTTGTCTGGAACTCTTTTCTACTGATCCCTGTCCAATTTCACTTTATTCATAGCATGGCCAAAGCATCACCTCCTCAATGAGGACCTCCTGGCCTGAAGATGCTCTCAGACTCCTCCTGTTCTGTGCTCTCACAGCCCCCTGAATTTCCTCTTGGGGACACTCATTACCATTGTAATTAAATAATTAACTCATTGCCCAGTGAGTTATTTAAAGTCTGTCTTCCCTGCTGGGATAGAAGTCTATCTTTTTCACTCCTTTATTCTCGGCATCTAGTGCAGACTCTCACGCATGTAGTTGCTCAGCACATATCTGCTGAGAGAAGTGAGCAAATGAATGAAATAATCATAAAGATTTTAAGCCCATGAGTTAGCATAGAGGCAGGATAACCTGATGAATAATCATTATCGAGCAAAGATGTGTTCAAGTGATGCTGGTGGTGGTTGAGTTTTCACTTACATTGTCGGTGGTGTTGAACTGTATGAGCTGGTTGGCCATGCTCCTGATGTGAGGGGTGGAGATGAGAGTGGCCACTTCAAGCTGCAATAAGAAGAGAACAAAAGGCAGAGATATTTGGGACCACACGCAGGGCCCTGAGTTCTTAAAGTCCTCACTAGAAAAAATAGGTTTCAAAGTGAAATAAGTAAAGGGAGTTTTGATCTCAAGAGTTTTTGTGGCTTTGAAGATCGCTCTGATAATGGACTCATTGTTCATGGCTGAGGGTTTATTCAGAGCTACAGATAAAGGACATTTTCTAGCGTCAAAATATTGGAATTCAAGACTAAGTTAGCTATCTTGGAAGCAGAGAGAAAGTAGCAGCAGGAAAAGTGGGGCCAACCTGGGTAAATGGGACAATGTGGTATCTGACGAGTTCCAGAAGCTTCCGAGATCCCTGCAAAGGAACCAAATACTTCTTTAGTCAAAGAAGAAAATGCAACACTTCCACTCTTGTGGAATCCTCTTCAAATGACGTTAGACAATCAAGAAAAATGACCCATAATCTATTGGGAAATCCAGGGTGAGAGAAACCCCACCTCCAAATAGCTAACGTTCACCAAATTCCCACTCTGTGGAAGAGGCTGTTTTGAAAGCATAATATGCACGTCTCATTTAATCCTCCCAACAGCCGTGTGAGGTGGGGACTCCTATTGACCCATTTTATGTGTGGTAATACCGACATTCAAAGACATGTCCAAGGTCAAAAAACTAACTCAGGATATGAGCCTAAGAATTAGCCCAGGCTCTCAGTTACTCTGCTCCATCACTTCTCAGAATGTCTAAGGCTATATTCTGGATTTTCTAAGACAGTCTTGATTTATTATTCTGTTCCATTTGCTCCATAAATAAACGTCTGTTTGTCAGACCACATACAGGTCATTTAGGATTATAGAGTCATAGGGATAGCGATCACCTCTTCCTTCCATGAGAAGTTTGTCCCTCTCCTTCAAAGCCCTTTCCAAGGTTTCTCAAGCTTCATAAAACTGAAGCAGCAGTGGAGAAAAGAGGGTCCTAGCCCCACAAAGGAGACCATAGACAGGATGAGCAGCCCCTATAGGGTGCCCTGGAGAGAGGCTGCAGAGTTGAGGAACACAGGGACCACACTCTTTGTGAGAAGAAGGCAGTGACCACAGTGGTCTGCTGTAATTTATCTGCAATCTGCCAGCTAAGTCAGAGATGGGAGTTACAAGCTTCACAGCCCTCAAGTTCTGCTATTTAAGTAGCACAGCCACAGTCACTCTGGCTTGGAAAAGTGAAGGATCACAAATCAAGATCCTAATAACTGCCAAGAGGTTGAATGTTCTAAGAACAGGTTGCAACAGCGTGAAGTCCCAGGCTAAGAGAAAGCCCTGCTGAACCTGAGTTTCCTCACCCAGCCTCCTCTCTGCATTTGGCCTTGGTCACTGTGCCAAGGGAGTTACCTGTTAGTAGCAGGACCACCTATCCTGGCTTGTCTGGTACAATCCTGGTCTATGCCTATTGTCCTGGCACCTCCATTCACTTTCAGAAGTGACCTGGCATGGATGATAAGTTATGTGGCCACCATATCTATTAGCCAATAGCATTATGTGCAGGGCAGGGTTGTCAATAAAAATGTTGAAATTGACCACCAGTTAGCCAGCCCTGGAAGTGATGCTTTCTGCAGCCCTGGTTCTGTTACTATGTGACCTTGAGCAAGTCACCTAGCCTTTACATCTCAACTTACATCTTCAACTTACGTCTCAGTTACTGCATGGTATTCAGAAATGGAGACTTACAGGCAGAAGCAATGTTATTACATGCTCTGATGCTCCAGTGGTTGAAGGAGTCAGACAAAGTGGGGACTGTTGGGAAACATCCCCCAAACTTGACTGCGTCCACCAAACTGGACTGCAAACTCCTGGAAGGCAGGGGCTGGGTCTGTCTGGTTTGCTAACCACCCATCACCATGTCCCCAGCAAGTGCAGTGTGGGGCATAAAATAAGTTTTCCATAAACATTTGTGCCAGTAAATTAAAGGGCATGGGTAGGGGTCCTGGGAGGAGCACTGAGCTGGCCTTCAGGAACATGAGATCTAGTCCTGGTTCTGCTTGTGTGTAACCTTCTGCAAGTCACTTAACCCATGAGTCTCAGTTTCACCTGCAAAATAAGGGGACTGGTATGGATTCCTTCCAGTCTTCTGATGCTTCTATAGGAAAGCATTTAGCAATGAGATAATCCACTTTCAAAGCCTCAGGAATTAATTATTGTATCCTTTTGACAAGAAGCAGAAGAATGAGAGGGACAAAGAAATTGATCCGCATCACTCCCGTTACTGTGTGTGCCTGTGTCTTATCTGGCTGAGATCTATTGGAGCCATTGCCCAGTTCGAATTCACTCCAGTGTGGCTCGAACAGGGTAGGTTTCCAGGAGCTGTCGTTGTTGAAGAGCCTTTTGGTGCGACACATTCTTTCTTTTATGAGGGCACTCACTTCCTTCCTGCTGTTTCAGGTAAAAACAAAATCAAACAAAACCAAACTCAAGTTCTTTGGTGCCAGAGGCAGAAAGAGATAATTTGACCTTGAACTGTATAAATTCACGTCCCTTTCCCCACTTTACTTGCAGGGTGTCTGTGAATTGGCAAGGGCAGGTGTCTTGCTCTCTTT
Source organism: Homo sapiens (assembly GCF_000001405.40). Lineage (NCBI taxonomy): Eukaryota > Metazoa > Chordata > Mammalia > Primates > Hominidae > Homo > Homo sapiens. The sequence goes on along the minus strand of NC_000012.12, from coordinate 103,658,101 downwards.
GCTTTTATTTCTGTCTGGTTCAGTGATGAAACCTTGAACTGGGGCTTGTAATCAGAAGCTGTGGTCTCTGCAGGAATGGGAGGGTTTCCAGACTGAAATTTTGCCTCAGAGAGAAGTAGAAAGATACACTGGGAAGAAGACATGGCATTCCAAAGTCAGAATTAGAAGCCCTTCTTCTAAAGAGGACTGTTTATTTTCCATTTCATTGGCATAGCCGATGGGGAATTTCCTGCACTCTTCCTTGAAGATAAAGCCGTTAAGATGGATGGAGACAGAAGGAGCTTCCTATAGGTTGAGAAAAATTAACCCCTCTGTACCTGAGAAAGAAGCAGAAATGATTGTACTTCTCACCTAGAAATTGAAATGGAAAAGCAGTTTTTAACTCAGAACAAAGAGACCTGAAGTTTCATGTTCTTTGCAGGCAGAAAGATACGTCTTGGAGAGAAACAAGATTGAGAGCCAGGAGCAGTGGCGTGCATTAACCATTTTTGTGGTGTAAGTATTCTTACCAAAGGCTTATTTCAAGCTATAAATGTCATCTCATTGAACAGAGCTCAGAAGAGATGTACACAATCTACTCTGGAGAGCTTAAATGAGTCATTTCCAGATACCACTGGAAGGAGTTACAAGGGAGGAGAAAGAGAAGAATGTTTGGAACAAAGGTGGCTGACAGAACTAAGCAATGAGGTTGATTTTTTCCTATTCTAGTTAAAAGGTTTTATTTTAATTTTAAGTGTGTCATAGAACTCCTTTATTATTATTATTATTAAAATGTGCATCAAATTAGAAGCTATGTACTCAGGGAGGCCACATAATCTCAGGATTTTAATAATTTCTTAGGGGAACAACATTACCTTTTTTTTTTTTTTTTTTTTAGCTCACTTTAAGTATGAATGTGAGTTCTAAAGAGAGGTCTAGCAGTTTTCTGCAATAGCTAGGTTTCATAAAATTTGGGTGTGAATCATATTTTGAAATATCATTCTATTTTGGAAGACCCTGGGAAATCTGACTTTTTCTATGGAAACTTATAACTAATCTTTTCATATGTTGAACATCTGTTTGCAATGTAAGAGATTACTTTTGATTTATCTCCTTGTTAAGTTTTAAAAAAATCCTGGCCGGGCGCGGTGGCTCACGCCTGTAATCCCAGCACTTTGGGAGGCCGAGGCGGGTGGATCATGAGGTCAGGAGATCGAGACCATCCTGGCTAACAAGGTGAAACCCCGTCTCTACTAAAAATACAAAAAATTAGCCGGGCTCGGTGGCGGGCGCCTGTAGTCCCAGCTACTCGGGAGGCTGAGGCAGGAGAATGGCGTGAACCCGGGAAGCGGAGCTTGCAGTGAGCCGAGATTGCGCCACTGCAGTCCGCAGTCCGGCCTGGGCGACAGAGCGAGACTCCGTCTCAAAAAAAAAAAAAAAAAAAATCCTAAGTTTTTTGACAGCAAGATATCCTTATAGATACCTGAAAGCATTCTAAAAAGGGATATATATCTATGTGAATTCCTAAACCTAACAGGCAACAACTTTCAGCATTCCCAAAACAGTGTGGGCTGGGGCTATCTGAATTAGAAAGTTGGTGGTTACCAGCGTGTCTATTTCTGGGCCTCATCCCAGCACCACTAAACCAGAATGCTTGAGGTAGGGCTTTGGAATCTGCCTAGTTAGCAAGCTCCATGGATGGTTTCTGTCTACACTACACTTTGGGAATCACTACCCTAAAAGACTGGGACATCCTTTCCTCCTTCTCTCCACATTCTATATAATCAACACTGATCTTTATGAAGTCATAGGTCATCTCTCCCCATTACCAAGATGGTGGCATAGTTTCAGGGCACTGAAAGAAAGCATGTGACCTTTCATGTAATTCCACTATTTGACATTCTAACGAACAAAATTCCACAATAGGCTGTCCTCTTCAAGTTAAGGCTATTATTTCTGGGAAAGGAAACACTTTAAATGGTTTCAGTCATTGACACCCCGATATGAAGAAGTCAATAATTGCCCTTTTAGAGGAGAATGTGAGAGAACTGAAAGCCCATGGTGGAGAAAGATGAAAGCAATAGAAAGGAAAGGAAAGGCTGAAGCATCTAAAAATAACACGTATTCTTTTTAAAGTTTAGCCTAGACCTGGCCCTGAATGGCCTAGTTTAGGCTTCATTCTCTAGGTGATTTTAGAGTTGTAGGGAACTTGAAGTGTTGATTTTACTAGTGAGAAATATTAGAAGAGTCAAGACAAATCAAACCAACCATTTAGGCCTGGGATTGCAAATACATTTCATTTCCTGTATCAAGTCTAATTGATCATGGCAACTTGAAATTCTATCGAAGAGACTGAAGCCACATCCAGGCTTAGTTCCAGAATGTTGTGATTGATTAGTGATGCCTGCCTTGGTTGTTGGAGGGTAGGTGGTGATACATGTACAACTTATTTACTATCTCTAGTTTAGGAAAAACCTGTTTAGACACAGACTGAGGCAGTGCTGCTGACACGATGCCATCAGAGCAAGCAGAATACGGTACCTCTGGAGAAAGGAGGTAATCGAGAGTGCCGTCCTTCATGTTATTCAATGCTTCATTATTTGGAACAAAAATGGTGTATGGTCCACCAACTCCATCCTCATCTAAGGCATGTCCCAAATTGGTTTCCTGCATTTGGGAAATGAAATTTTGTATCTGCAGCCTACCTTGGACAAATATTTAACATAATTCGCCAGAAATTTATAATTGACACCCCTGCTAATTTTACAAAAGTCTTGACATAAATATTTTTCAGAAAATTATGAAAAGTGCTTACCTCTAACAAAGATCTGAACTTGCTGTACCTTGGTTGTAGCATTGTCATTATGGTTTGCTAAAAAGAGACATTTTGCTTAAAAATCAGGAAATAAAATATTGTGATTTAGGAAATACAAATTCTAACATTTAAAGACTGATGACAGAGTTTATGTGTCAGTATGGATTTATATAAATGAACCTGGTCAACTGCAATGCATTATATAAATGTTCGCTGTCGTTGAAACAGTAGTTCAGATCTGCATGTTCTGAAGTATCCTTTGGCCCTCATCATCTAGGTCAGAAGTAATAAGTTTTATTGCAGCAATAACTGCCCTCTATAAAATATTTTCATGATGATTGGTCATGGACTGAGTTGCCTGATGCAGTAATAAAAGAGGTAAAAAAAAATCCAGATCTTTCCCACATATGTTACTGTACGTCTTGCTTTCTTTCTGCAGAGATTCCCAGGTTTCTATTGGAAACAGACAAACCACCTCTTCTTCTCTCTGCTCGGGATCCTAGCACAAACGAAGCACAAGCACAGAGTGCTGGCATGCTCTGGATGTGACTCTCCAGGGAACAAAGGAAGATGGACCTGGCCTGATGTGACTTTTATCTGAATACTCACCTCATTGTTGCTCTCAAATGTGGGTTCTAACTTGTCCATGGCTCTGTCAAGGATGTGCAGAAGCCCATTGGAAGCAATGATGTCCCCTTGTATAATTTTTACCTTCTTTTTGCCTCCATGGAGTTTAAGCTTTATTTGATTGTCCTAAAACACCAAAGAAAGATAAAATAAGATTACTATGGTGTCCTGGAAGGAGCAAGCACTGGAGTAGAGTCAGAAGTCTTGAGTCCTTGGGCTTTGATATTTATTGGCAATGTGATTTTGGATAAGTCACTTAATCTAAAGTGGGGATGAAAGTGTCTGCTTTGTTAACCTCACAGGGTTTTCATTAAGATCAAATGATATGATGTGTGAAAGCACTGACAACTATATATGCTAAACCTGGGCAAGGTATTATCAAGCTCTTCTCCAGCAGACTGCAAGCTTCATAAGGACAAAACTATTTAATTTACTATAAATTCATCACTCACTTTAGTGTCTTGCACAGAGAAAGCACACAATAAAATTATTTGTGGAATAAATAACTGAAGCTAATTCCTTCTTCCTCCCATATAACTCCTAATAAGTGACAGACTTAGTAAATATTGGTTGAATGAATGAACAGGTAAATACATGCATATCCTTGTGAGAAAGCAAGCCACATCTTCCTATCTGTCATTCATCCATCCATGCATGCATCCTCCATCCATCTCTCCAACCATCCATCCATTCACCCATCCATCCATCCATCCATCCATCCACCTATCCATGCATCCTCCATGCATCTCTCCATCCGTCCATCCATCCATCCACCTATCCATGCATCCTCCATGCATCTCTCCATCCATCCATCCATCCATCCATCCATCCATCCATCCACCCATCCGGTGACCTATCCATGTATCTACCCATCCATCTGTTCAGTGACCTATCCATGTATCCATCCATCCATCCGTCCATCCATCCATCCATTCATCCATCCATCCATCCATCCATCCATCCATCCATCTATCCATCCATCCAGTGACCTATCCATGTATCTATCCATCCATCCATCCATCCAGTGACCTATCCATGTATCCATCCATCCATCCATCCATCCATCCATCCATCCAGTGACCTATCCATGTATCCATCCATCCATCCAGTGACCTATCCATGTATCCATCCATCCATCCATCCATCCATGCATCATCCATCTTCACACATGCACTGCAGCAGATTGGTTAAGAATGTGGACTTTGGAGCCACATTTGAATCCTGGCTCTGGCACTTACTGTGTGGCCTCTCTTCTTTCTTACTGGAGCAACAGGGATTATGAAGTCCCTCCTTTACAGGGTTATTGTGAGCCTTATGTAACAAAGATAAAGATTTATCCCCATACTTTGCTTAGAACAAGCACTCAAGGATCTATTAACTATCGATGTTCAGTAAAATGTAATAGTATAGGTCCTATGCCTATATACATGCACATTTTGTTGACTAATCACCTGCTCCCCAGCTCAATAAAATCACAGAAAGAGTTAAGAAGTGGGGGTGGGGTGGGGGAGGATGGGTTTATATAAAAAACAAACAGAACTAATGGCATTGGGAGAGAGGAATGTTAGGTTGGAGAAGATGGATCAACTCCAGCAATCTAAAACAAATACAATCTATTTCCTTCTATAAGAGGAATGCTGATCTGGCTTTGTGCTGATGCTTTCAGGAAACAGGTTTATAGCAAAGTTTCTCCTTCCTGCTGGCAGTTGAATGACAGTTGCCTTGAAAACTAAATCAGACCAGACCAAAGTCAAACACTTTGTAACCCCATTTGCATAACACTCCACCCTTCCTCCATGGCCTTCCCTGGTGTTGCTGTCTGTTTCTTCCTATATAAGGTGTTTGACAAATAATACATGAGGAAAGAATTTCCTTGTAATTTTTCACAAACCCCAAACAAAAAGAGAGAGAAGGATATGGGCATTGGCTTGGTGGATAATTTAGTTCTGGGAGTGAAAATCAGAGGAACCCTTACCTTATCGCTGTTGAAGATTTCCCCCGACTTTCCAGTCAAGGTGTAGAACATGTCTGTGTTATTCATATATTCGATGTTCATCTGACCAGCAATTATGTGGAGTTTCACAAAGTATTGAGCAGCTTTATTATCCACCAAAAGCTCATTTACCTAAGAGAGAAGAGCCAATTTTACTATTATTTGAAGAAGAAAATGAGTTTTGTAACACATGCTGTGCCTTACTTATTATCAAAGACATCAAAGCCAGGGCACCCTAACTTGGGTTTGGGCTTTTGCAAATACAAATGCATGAAAGCACTGACAATTATACTTGCTATACATTACCATCAGTGCAATCAACCTGGGCCAGGCCTTCCAGGGAGTAGAAACCTGGAGAGTTGGAGGCAATGCACAATCTACTCTCAAACCAGGGGAGGTTGCTTTAGCATTGAAACTGACATGGGGAAAGCACAGCATCGCAATGGCCCCAGGAGGAACAAGGAACAAGGAATCTATCTTGAACATGGAAAGCAGATGGGAATAAAATTTGAAGTTTCATGGAAAGAGTAGGTAAAGCAAGTAAGCTGATTGTACTTTTGAATAGAAAAGTTAAGATTTTTGAAATCCATGGGATCAAATCTACTTTTGTCATTACTACGTAGTCAACACTGAACAGATGCTTATATTAACTCTGTGTAAACTATGTGTTAAATGAGAGACCACGTGCAAAGTGCCTAGCCTAGAGGCATACAATGTTTGCTGGTTCTTTCCAACAGGAGTGGTATGAGGACATCTCTGAAGGTGAACAATAGAGAGATGAATATCAGACAGGTTAATCGTGGTGGTATATGAGGGTTAGAGAGCCGGCAACTTACTGGGTTTTGATTCATTGCAACAAAAATTATTACCACAAAATATCTTGGATTAAGATAACTCAATTTTATTTTTTCATTTTTATTTTTTCCCACTTCCCAGATTTCAATCTTTTATTGGCTTCCATCATTTTATGTGTATTTGTTAATCCATTTACTTAAATGTTTATTTATTTCTGGCTGATCTGTTTCACAGAGCATTTAAGACAGATGACAAGAACACACAATAAAAATCAAGATCTGGGCCAGGTGCAGTGGCTCACGCCTATAATCTCAGCACTTTGGGAGGCTGAGGCAGGCAGATCACGAGGTCAGGAGATGGAGACCATCCTGGTCAACATGATGAAACCCCTTCTCTACTAAAAATATCAACATTAGCTGGGCATGGTAGCATGTGCCTGTAGTCCCAGCTACTTGGGAGGCTGAAGCAGGAGAATAGCTTGAACCCGGAAGGCAGAGGTTGCAGTGAGCCGAGATTGCGCCACTGCACTCCAGCTTGGGTGACAGAGCAAGGCTCCGTCTCAAAAAAAAAAAAAAAAATCAAGATCAGGAAAAATAAAAACACATGTTAGATGGTAAAGGTGGGAGGGAGAAAGATATATAGAATACCAGTTCCTACACAATGATTAAAATGGAGGCCAGTGAAGATAATAAGTTGTATACAAATCGATAAGTCCATTATTTACATTAGACCAAATATAACTATATTAGTGATGCCATCTCGATAGGACGCCTCCACCAGGCACTACAAGTTTCATTCCCACTGGATGACATTATCTCAAACAACAGCTGCTCACACTGAAGACTAAAATTTTCTTCTTATTTTTTCCTTATCGCTTGTACCATTTATAATGATTTAAAAAACCCACATATCTAGCTAATACATTAATTTAATTCTTCCTGTGGGAAGTGAGCAGTTTTGCTTTAAGCAAATCTTCTTTATCACCTGGATATATGTTAAGAACACTCAGTGGTTACCTGTAGAGGGTAATGATTGGAAAGGGGGACCAGGGGGCCTTCTAGGTTGCTGGCAATGGACTTGGTGTTTACACAAGTAGGTTCACGTTGGGAAAATTCACTGAGTTGTACACTTACAATTTGTATACTTTCTGTAAGGATGTTATATATCACTAAAAGAAGTTTATCAAAAAATCACCATCCTTATCATCAGTAGGTTTAATTTTAATGGGGATTTCCCACTTTAAATAAAAGAAGGTACTCCCTACTAAGGCTTTTCATATTAGCCCCTTGGTGTAGGGTCATTTTAAATACTCACATTGAATCCTTTCAGTCCCTTGTCTGTAGGTAACAGCACCGTGAAGGGTCCCAGCTTACTCAGTGGCCAGGCATAAGCTTTGTCTTAGGAGTCGAAATAACACAAAGAAAGAAAACGCCAAATGAGTCAGTGGTACAGGAGGAGTAAAATCAGGCAACAGGTCTTGGGTCACGACCGGTCCATTTATGCCCTTCTCTATTCTAATGGGCATGTGTAGGCCCTGTGTCAACTGGGAATCTCTCTAAGAATGTAAGGCACCCTAAAGCCATGGCCTCAATACATTCCACATAATGCCGTGAGAGTTTTCCTGCAGACAGCCTCAGCTTCAAAGATACCCTGGCTGAGCAGTTCAGGCATGACAAAATCCTACCACAACCCCAGGGTCCCTGATCCTGCGCTTAACTTTGAGTTGTCACTGTCTCGGTGAGCAAAGAGGCAGCCCTTGTTTTTATCCAGGGCCAGCTCAGAAGAGCCCCGATGATTGGTTTAATGCTCTGCAGTTGCCATGTTGAAATGCTTAATAAATTTTGAACAAAGAATCCTACATTTTCACTTTCCAGTGGGCCCAGCAAAGTATGTAGGTAATCCTGCTTCCATCACCTGGGGAAGCTGGGACGACAGGACAGGCTCTGTGTTCTCACACCCAGAGGCAGTGTATAAGGACTTTGTCATGGGGAAGGTGAAAGGTCAACAGGACTCTGTCTAGGGAAATGTTGGAGGGCCTGGTCTGCAAAAAACACTACCTCCCCCCTGTCTGGTCCCATTTGGTATTCTAAGAGTTCTTAGAGTAAGGCTGTGAGGAAACTGGTAGATTGCCCCTGAGCCCAAGGGATGCCACTAATACTTGATGCCCTATGGGATGCCTTGGGAAAAATGGGATGTTTATGCAGGAGACATTAAATGGGATATTTAACCTTAAGATTTATGCAGAGAACACAGCATTGACCCATCAATTACACTGGTTTATCTATGTTCTTGCTGGGAGATCATTTTTGGCAACTGGTAAATTCCAACATAAAAGCTGATATTTTTAAAGTTTCTGTTGATTGGCCAAGTCTGTGTTTTACTTTTTTCAGAACGGCTGGATTTGTGTTTTATTGGAAGTTGTGTCCAATGCTGTGATCAGTTATAATATTTCATTCTCTAGAGAGTGTGGAGTAATGGCCCTTAGAAGTCATTTGCAAATACATGAGGGTGTTTTAGGCTCTCACCTTGCCTGGGGGGCTGGAGGTGAATGTGTCACTGTAGGCAATTAGTGACTGGGGGACCAAGGGTGCTAAGATGGTTGCATACAACCAAGACTATTCCAAAATTCAAACAGCCCCTCCACTGAGGAACAAGGATGCTGCCCTGGGGTCTCAGTCACCCTCTCTATTCCCAGTTTTACCTGCCAAGCTTTGTTCATACCTGAAGGATCTAGAAGGTCAAGGACGAGGGGGACAGTTTGTATCCTCACATCAGTAGCTGTCCTGTTCTTACTGTTACTGCAGCTCTGTTGGTCTATGGCGACCCCCAAACCCTGTCCTCAGCTCTCTGCCTGCTAATTCTTGCATTGCTAGATCTCTTGGCACTATCTCTTTGCTTGTCTTCTTTGAAACAGCTGCCTGCCCTTTCCCTCTCACCTGCATGACCCCTCCAAAAAGGCTGATTCTAATAGACAAGGCTCGCCTGTCCCTTTCTGAATCATTGTATCTTGCAGATGCCCTTTCCTGAAAGAGGACTTTTGTGTGGAAATCTGTACCCATAGCTGCGTACCTAGGAGTGAGATGAAAGAGGTCAGCCTTCCTTGCCATTTTCCTCTGGGTTCAGTATTTAATTCTCTGAGTCGCTCCATAATGTTTCCATAACACGTTAAGCCATCACCCACGTAACCTTTCTGGCAAATGCATCTACAGAGAGGGGGAAAAGACATCCTCAGGGTTTTAGAGCCATTGAGTATTTTGATCATACAGTCCAATCCCCTCATTGAACAGATGGAGCAAAGGATGCCCAGGGTTGAATAGGGACAAGAGAGCATTCCTAGTGTGGTATCTGACATCTAGTAGCTCCTCAAGAAATGGATGCCTAATAAATTAAATGTATCTGTCAACACTAGATATCTTTGTATGCTCTTTGTCTCAGTATTTCTCAAAGTGTGATCAAGAAACCATGCACATCAGAATCACTTGGAGTGCTTAATATATTTAATATAACATATTTAATATAATAAATGTGGACCCTAGGGCTCCACTGCATGACTGAATCAGAATAAGCTACTGAATTCAGCCTGCAGGACAGCAAAGATTCAGCATTATTGATCTACTTAGAATGCTTCCCCCACCCCTGCTCCTTCCTAGCTGAGAGCTCTGCTCAATTGCCACTTCTTTCAGAAAGGCTTCCTTGATTGCCTGTCTCTTTCTCCACTCCCTCACTGTGTCTCCATTATATATACTCTCATGAAACCACATACCTCTTCTCCATAGCAGCGATCATAGTGCAATTTCACCCTGACTTGTGTGATTATTTGATTAATATCTGCTTCCCTATAACATTTGAGAAAAGAGTGAGGGTAAGGGCTATGTGTGTATTTGTTCACTGTTGTGAACTCCAGAATCCAGCACAGGGTAGGTCCATAATAGGTGCTCAATAGTTGTACAATAAGTAGTAATTGAATTAAATAAATAGCAAACAATGAAGTATATAAACAATGAAAATAAATATACAAACTATGAAATAAATATGTAAACAATGAAAATCACAGAGATTTTGTACAATAGTTTCATAAGACAGAAGTAGAGTTAAAAATGTACTATCAGTGGTATGCTGATAAATGTTTAACAACCAACTCTCTGGGGGAGGGGGAAGCCCTACTTTGTAGCATTTGCCAATTTCCATGGTTAATATGCCAATCTTGACCAATTTCAAACTAATAAGATGATGCTAACCCTCTTGTGAAATTTCTGAAACTTTAAAACTCAGCTCTTGTGAGTCCATAAGCTCTGGCTATAGCAGACCACAACTATGCAGTATAGAGGAGTTGACAGCTGGCTGAAATTGACAAGGTGATGAGGAAGATGACTTTCACAAGCATCTTGGAGATGAGCCAGGAACCAAAGCGAAGTAAGGGAAGAACATTCCAGAGAGGAGAGATGCAGGGAACAAAAGATGTGCTGTGACTACATCACAGTTTTGCAGTGCTCACACCACACCACAGCTGTGACTCACATTGAGGAAAGCATTCTAAAGAAAGACTATGCACTCTTTTTTTTTTATGGTTAATCCACGTGTGTTTCTAAATATATTTCCATGGCAAATAGATTACATGTTCAACAAGTTTGCTGCAGACCTTCAGAATCCTACCACCCTCTGCCTGGATTGTTGCACAGCCTCAACCTGGTCTTTTTGCCCATATGTTCTACCCTGAAATCTGTTTTTCATGCAGTCTCCTGACTGCGCTTTAAAATTCTGGCACCTGTGTGCTTAAAACCCTCACTGACTCCTTTTATCCACATGAGAAAGTGTACACAGGAGAATCCTGCTCTGTCTTCTTTTTGCTGTCCACTGAAAATTCCAGCAGCGCTAAACTACTTCTTTTTTTAGGCTGTTATGCCTTTCTCAGCCTGTTTGTCCCACCAGGAATGCTTTCCCATCCTCACCTTATCACTCTGGTGTGACCTCTCCCCAGTTGTGTTGAGCACTTCCAGCACATCCCATCGATACCTCTATCACAACCCTATCCACCAGAACTACCTCTGGAGACATTGTCTCTTCTGCTAGATGGTATACTGTCCTAGAAGATGGATCCCAACTATAATAATTCCTCATTATATCCTAGCACTTAGGGCAGTGCCTGATTGTTTAACTGATTATTTACTGATTATTTAAGTACCTTCTTAATTCTAGGAACCTTCTAGGTAAGAGAGCTACAAAGATGATAATAAGAGACACTTTGCCCTTCTTGAGTCTTACATGCTAAGGATGGACCTGAAAACAAAATAATTATAGCAACATGGTAAGGCCACTTGACCTCCTTGAGTCCCAGTTTCCTCTTCTATAAAATGGGTTTAATAATACCTTTAGGATAGTTGATAGAGAGATAAGGAAAGAAAAATAGCACTGTGACAGACATATAGAAAAAGCTCAATGCTTGGCAGATGATAACGACAAGGACAAGGCTGACATGATGAGGAAGGTGACTATAATGACAACAGTGACCTAGAGGTGCTGGGATATACCAGGACAGCCCGTAGAGAGATAAATGAAGTTTCATTGTAAGTGCCATGATAGAAGATTGAATAGGATGCTATAGGGCATGGAGAAGGAAGTAACTGATTTTACCTGGAGAAATAGGGGACAGCTTCTAGGAGAAAGTAATATTTAATTCTAGAAGGTTGCATATGAGTTCTTTCTTTCTCTTTTCTTTTCTTTCTGGAGTTTTCCCTCTTGTTGCCCAGGCTGGAGTGCAATGGCGTGATCTCAGCTCACTGCAACCTCTGCCTCCTGGATCCAAGTGATTCTCCTGCCTCAGCCTCCTGAGTAGCTGGAGTTTTGGCCTCCCAAAGTGCTGGGATTACAGGTGTGAGCCACCGTGCTCGGCTGCCTATGAGTTTTCTAGCTGGACAAACACTTGGGGGATCATTTACTGATGAAGCCTTTGGGGTTTTTATGAAGAATTGGCTCTCAACCAGAGGCAATTTTGCCCCCCCTCCCCAGCCCCGCCCAGAAGCCATTTGGCAATGTCTAGAGACATCCTTGGTTGCTACAACCGAGATGGGGATCTACTTACACAGCCCAGCCCCTCACAACAAAGAACTGTCTGGCCAAAAATGTCAGTAGAGCTGAGGCTGAGAAACCTTTTTATAAGGAATTAGTAAAGTAGATCTAATCATGAAACAATTTAATACAATCAAATAATAGTTTCCTACTTAAATGTCAACCTCCTCTGCAAGCACTGTGCTACGCTAATTTAATGATGGAAAGGAGGAGACTGGTAACTCTGGGAAGTGACATAAGACAACAGTCATTCTTAAAAATTAATCCTACTATAAGTTACATTCCTTCATTTGAAGACAACTGTTAACAGCAAGACATGTAACCTTTACAAACCACTGAGTATGTTTCTCTGTAAAAGTTTCTTGAGTTGTTAGGTGGCCAATGGTCTGTTTTGTGTCAAGTGACTTGGCCTTTCTTTCCTAAGGATTGCAGGAGAATCATATTTTTATGGCCTCAGTGCTAATGGAATGCATGAGACATCACTATTTTAAATTTTTATTTCAAATCTCAGTCCAAAGTCTGAGACGTTATGAGACCAGTTTCTGACTTAACTGTTCTCAGTTGAGCCATGGAACATTCACAACATCACCTCTTTAGGAAATTGTTTTCTTTTTATTAGGAGTAAATGTCTCTTGCTGTCTTAAGGCTTTAAAAACACCCAGAAGCCATTTGCATTTTACAGTTATGGGTTAAAATTAATTACACTTAATGCTGGTTGAGATTTAGTTAGTATATAGGGTGTCTCAAAGTCTTAGTACAGTTGCTTCCTTTATTTCTTCACTGGTTCATTTCATTTCTTCATTGTTTCATTTGTTCCTCCAAATTCTCACTCATTTCACTGTTTTTTATTTCTTATTTTATTTTTATGTTTAACATTTGTGGGTACATAGTAGGTGTATACATTTATGGGATACACGAGCTATTTTGTTACAGACATGCAATGCATAATAATCATATCAAGGCAAATGGGATAGCTCTCATTTCAAGCATTTATCCTTTGTGCTACAAACAACCCAATTATACTCTTTCAGTTATTTAAAAATGTACGATAAATTGTTGTTGACTGTAGTCACCCTGTTGTGTTATCAAATGCTAGGTCTTATTCATTCTATCTGTTTATATTTTTTGTACCTATCATTTCACTGTGTTAATTGGTGACAGGCATTGCTGCAGCAAAGATGAGTAAGACATGGACCTTATATTCTAGTTGGGGATTGAGATAAGTTATAATAATAGCCAGCATTTATTTTATTTTTATTTATTTATTTATTTATTTATTTATTTATTTATTTATTTTTATTGATCATTCTTGGGTGTTTCTCACAGAGGGGGATTTGGCAGGGTCATAGGACAATAGTGGAGGGAGGGTCAGCAGATAAACAAGTGAACAAAGGTCTCTGGTTTTCCTATGCAGAGGACCCTGCGGCCTTCCGCAGTGTTTGTGTCCCTGGGTACTTGAGATTAGGGAGTGGTGATGACTCTTAACTAGCATGCTGCCTTCAAGCATCTGTTTAACAAAGCACATCTTGCACCACCCTTAATCCATTTAACCCTGAGTGGACACAGCACATGTTTCAGAGAGCACAGGGTTGGGGGTAGGGTCACCGATCAACAGGATCACAAGGCAGAAGAATTTTTCTTAGTACAGAACAAAATGAAAAGTCTCCCGTGTCTACCTCTTTCTACACAGACATGGCAACCATCCGATTTCTCAATCCTTTCCCCACCTTTCCCCCCTTTCTATTCCACAAAACCGCCACTGTCATCATGGCCCGTTCTCAATGAGCTGTTGGGTACACCTCCCAGACGGGGTGGTGGCTGGGCAGAGGGGCTCCTCACTTCCCAGTAGGGGCGGCCAGGCAGAGGCGCCCCTCACCTCCCGGACGGGGCGGCTGGCCGGGCAGAGGGGCTCCTCACTTCCCAGTAGGGGCGGCCGGGCAGAGGCGCCCCTCACCTCCCGGACGGGGCGGCTGGCCGGGTGGGGGGCTGACCCCCCCACCTCCCTCCCGGTCGGGGCGGCTAATAGCCAGCATTTATTAATAGCTCTTATGCTACATAGTCTTATAAGGGCTTCAGTGTGGTATCTTTTCTAATGCAACAACCCTATAAGGTAGGTCCTGTTATTAGCCCCATTTTAGATAAGGAAACTGAAGCACAGAGAAGTTAAGTATCTCACTCAAGATCACACAGCCTGTAACTGGCAGCGCCTATGCTCACTGCCACTGTGCTACATCCTTATCACAGTTCTGGACCCTAAATTCTCTCATAGACACATTCCAGGGTGCTCTGGGAGCCCAGAGGGAGGGGCATCAGAGAGCACTGGGAGGACAGGGAGGCATCCTAGAGGTGGAGATACTTAGGCTGGCCATTGAAGGAGCAGGGTGTTAGGCTGACTCACAGGAGGTGGGTGGAGCACGGAGATGGCATCCTAAGTGGAAGGAAGAGCACGTGCAAGGGCCAGGAGTGGGGAGCACCATGGCATGTTTGAAGAACAGTGCGATGGACTGGATGTTTGTGTTCACCTCAAAATTCATATGTTGAAATCCTAACCCACAGTGTGATGGTATTATTAGGAAGCATGGCCTTTGGGAGGTATAATAATTAAATCAAGAAAGTAAAGGCCTCATGAATGGAATGAGTGCCCTTAGAAAAGAGGTCCCAGAGAGCTCCCTACCCCTATCCACCTTGGGAGGACACAGTAAGAAGTCACCACCTATGAATCAGGCTTCACCAGATCCTGAAACTACTGGTACCTTGATTTTGGACTTCCCAGCCTCCAGAACTGTGAGAAATAAATTCCTGTTGTTTATAAGCCACTCAGTTTATGGTACTTTATTATAGCAACCCAAACAGACCAAGACAAATAATAAGTAGTTCAGCAGAACCTGAGGCAAGGGTATATTCACAAGTATGGTGGAGATAATGCTGGCTTATCTGCACCTGCTATGAACAGCCACTTTTGGCCATATCCTCCATACCCTGGGAATGGTCTCAGGCCCTGGAAGCTGGTTTGGAGCTGTTTGGGCAGGAAATTGCAGGCTTCTGAGTACCCCGAGTGTGGTCTAGTGGGGGGCCCAGGCTCTTGGGGAGCATGCCCCTTTGGACGTTCAGATTCCTTGCCCTGGAGTAGCCAGCAGAGGGCCAGAATGGGAGCTTCTAACATGCAGTGCCCAGGGGAGGGGCTCCTGTTGCCCAGGTCTAAGGGTCAAACTGCTGGAAACACATCTGGCAGTGGCTGAGCTGGGATTTAAAACTAGATCCATCTGAGAATGTCTCTTGCCACTGTACCATGTTGCCTTGGAAAGGACTCTTGGGAAGACTGTTTACACTGAGGATATCCCAACCTGTACAGATCTTATATAAACACTGAATATCATCAATGTCACTAGCATTCCAAGAGTCCCTACACTTCACTGTTGTTTGTACTTTTGCACAACTGGAATGTAAACTGTGCTTATTACAATAGGCCCACTCAGCCGTGTCCTGGCTATTTTTCAGCTGAGTTTAGTTAAATGAGAGAGAAATGCTCATCTCTTCTACTGTCCCTTACTTCCTACATCTATTAATAAGTAAAAGTAAAAAGGCAAAGCATAAAGTTATTTGTTCTCAGTAAGAATCAAAATGGAGCTTAGCGTTTAAAAGCATATTATATACATGAACTCATTAGCTCTCCACAGGCAGAGATTCCTGGTCTCTAGACCTACTTGACAGGTGAGGGAACTGTGGTTTAGAAAAGTTTAGTCTTGCCTAAGGTCACCCCAGGGGGAGTGGTAGAGTTCATGTTTCAACCCACCCTTCTCGATCAGGTGGTCTTCTGTGACAAATGCAGTCTGATTTTGAAGATTCTGCATAAGCTACTTGCCATATTGAGAAGGCATAAATGAAATAAATTTTTATCCCAGATGAACTAAATTACCTGAGGACTGATGACTTCATATTTTATCAATATAACTTAGCTAGCTTTTTTACTTAGGCCTTTTTTTGGCTGAAGACAGTCAATTTGAGGTGTGGGAAGGTTTGTGGGTGATACATGTACCCCTAACATCACAATGTTAGGTTATCTGACATTCTAAACACAAATTTGGAAGCAGCTTATATTATTCTGATATTCTCATTTCATTTTTAGATTTTATCTTCTCAAACACAAGGAAAGAGTTCGCTTAAGGTATTCTATTTAGACTTTCTCAGAGGGTGGTAAAACATGCATACACCAGCTTGTTTGGTTCTCAGTATTGCCAGAATATATGTTTGAGGGGAGGGTGTGCCTGGATGCATATGTGTGTTGGGTGCCTCTGTGCCTATATGCATGGCTGTGGTGTATTTGTGTGTGCATTCACATGTATTGAAGGATTTCTAGGTGCCATCTTCTTCTCAGAGATTGACGAATGTAATCCTGTTTAACTTTCAGCACAGCCCTGGTGGGAGGTATAGTTCTCTCCCTTTTATGGTTGAAGAAACATCAGTTCAGAGAGGGTAAGGTAAGGGGCAGACTTGGGATTTGAACCTAAGTGTTCTGATATCCCAGCTCTTTCCACTCCATGTACAATAAGTACAGATCTATTTATTTGTCCAGATAGGACATGATGATAATACAACCTGTTGGGGCAAATCTACACACTGACCACCCAGTTATAAAAGGCGTGAACTTCCCAAAAGATGAAGGGGGCTCTGGAATCACAGAAACTGTTTTATCATGCTATGGTTCGATGTTGATTGTGGTTTTGAGCTCACAATGGCACTATGAGTCTTTCTCAGATGCTGATGGTAGCGAGAATTGAAAATGGAACAGAGATAGAAACCTCAGTCTGCGAGTCAAAGACTTGGGTTCTAGCTTCAGGTCAGTCACTAATGAAAACACATTACACTGGTGTCATAGTTTCTAGAAACATTCTCTCATGTAATCATCACAACAACCTTATGAAGTATAAATCATTGTGCTCCTTTTACACATGGAGCAACTGAGGCCAGAGATATGGTGCCACTTTCCTTGGTCATGCATCTGGTAGGTATCAGTGCTGAGACTTAAACCTAGATCTTTAGTCCAAATACCATCTTCTTTCTATCATGTGAGCTGCCTTTGCCTCAGAAACTTTCACACAAATGTTTTTATTCACAGTAAACCCCTTCTTTTGAAATCTAGAGTCCAGGAAACACCACTAGTGCTTATTCACTTTCCCTAGTCTTGTTTTGCACCTCTAACAAGCAATATGTCATGAGTGAGGAAACAGGCATGTACATTAGAGGTCATAACCCTGTAATCTCAACAACCATTTGTTTCCCCAGTCGCAGTGGCTTCCTTCTCCCACATTCTGACCACTTCATATCAAGTTATCAGGCCACAACAATATTCCAGAGTATTCTAATGGTCATATAAAGGAAATAATTGTTGAGTGTTTAATTAATTAAAGATTTATTGAGTACCTACTACAATCCTTGCTCCTACTATGTGGGGTGGGGGTGGATGCAAGGCTGAATAAGACACATTTCCTCCCCTTCAAGAAACTTACAGCAATGACTGGACACCATTTTCACCACTTGGAAATGTTGGTGGAGGAATTGAAAAGACTTACTCAGTTCGGCCTGGTGCGACGGTGGTGCAATTTGCATTCCTATGACACGGGTTATCTGATTTACATATATCAGTCATACTGCACCCCACTCCAGGTACGAAATTCTGGTAATGCTCCTTACACTCGCAGTGAGACTTCAGTAGACAGGAAGAGAAAAACAAATAGGATCCTAGTTAGTTACTTCAGCTGGCATTCTTCTTTAATTTGTATTTTTATTCTTCCATAAAAACTCACTCAGAGTATGTCTGAAGTGTGGACTTAAACTAAAAATTTGTCAAAGTATCTAAAAGTAGAAATCATGTTTACACATGTCACCTGCTGGAAAGCTTATACTCCTTGCTTATAAAGTTTAGCTTCAATTTTCTTGTTTCCTAACCCTTGACCTCCCTAGCTCCATAAGTCCCAGTTTTAGATTGTCTATAGGTGAGCAGAAATTGATGTCCAAATGGGAGGTATTATTGCTTTAGAATAATGGTTTCCAACCAGGAGTCTCAATCTAGGACACACTGGACAATATCTGGAAACAAGTGTTTTTTTTTTTTTTTTTTTTTTGAGACAGGGTCTTACTCTGGTTGCCCAGGCTAGAGTGTAGTGATGCAATTTTGGCTCATTGCAGCCTTTACTTCCCAGGCTCATGTGATTCTCCCACCTCAGTCTTCCGGACAGCTGGGATTACAGGTGTGGACCATCATGCCCAGCTAATTTTTTGTATTTTTAGTAGAGACGAGGTTTCGCTATGTTGCCCAGGTTGGTCTTGAACTCCTGGACTGAAGCAATCCATCTGCCTCAGCCTCCCGGAGTGTTGGGATTACAGGAATGAGCCACCATGCCCAGCCTGGAAACATTTTTGAGTGCCATGATGGGAGGAGGCGGTGCTACCAGAGGTCAAGAATGCTGTTAAACACCTCACAATGCACAAGAAAGCCCCTTCCCACAAAGAATTATCCAGCCCAAAATGTGAAAAATGCTGAGGTAGAGAAACCCTGCTTTGGAATCATGCACGTGCTGCTTCTGTGTGAACAATGGAGAATTTCTAAGACTTGAAAATCTGTCTTGGAACCCATTTTCAGAGATAAAGCATATCTTTTATCTCACATGCGAGGTCTTGACATTCATGGCATAACATTAATTTTCCCATAAAGACCCTCATTTTGCAGATGGGAATTTAGCCCCTTGAATTTTTCTGCAATCCTTCCCCAGAAATCGATAGCAGAAAAATGTTGCATAATATATCCTTTCTCTTTGGAGGCAAGGTTGGGTGGATTCTCTGCAGGGAATTCTAGGAATATTCCCATCAGCTAGCATCCAGGTGATTAGACTGCATGGCTGTTTGGGTCAGGCACTGAGCCCTTCCTCCTACCTGTGCAGCAATACCCTTCTGTATGGACACATTTCCTTCACTGAAGGCTTGATGTGCAGTTATGGACACAGAAGGCATCCACTAAATAAATACTCAATGGACGAATGTGCTATTAGGGCCAAGGCTCTTTCCACTGGATTCCTCAGTGAGGGTCTCCTGACCAGATTTTTTATCAGTCAAGGTCCTGATGTCATTTAGAGGGACAGTGTCTCTCCCCAGAATATTCCCACTGCTCCCTATAATCTATCAGTGCTGCCTGACATTTTATCTGTTTCATTCGTTTGGAACAGGGTATTTTTGGTTCTAAGAGCACCTTTTAAATTAGAAAGCCATTGCAGAATGGAGGATTGCTGGTAAAAGTCAATCATATGTTCAACAGTTAATTTGTTAATCTAATTTTGAATTATGTGTATATTTTGCCAAACACCATATAGGACTGTGACAGGAGAGAACGTAAGACAATTAAGTTTGGATGGGGAGCTGGGAAAGTGTGAGTTTAAAGGATAGACTGGGTGAGCAGGCACTGATTTCAGGCTCTGAGCACATGGAGGACTGTCTGGAGGGGAAGACCAAGCGGAACATTGAAAGGGAGAATTGGGATGGCATAGAAGACAAATGATACCTGTGACACATAGTGGCTTGTCAAACTTCTAGATACATCAGTTCCCTGCATCATTTGCTCACCTGTCCAGGCCCATCATATTTGCACACTGTAGACTTTGTAGGGCAGTTTCCAAAGTTAATTTGGCAGGGGTCCACAGGCAAGCACACTTGGCCATCCCCACGGTAGCCTTCTTGGCATGTACAACTGTGCCGATTTGGTCCCAGGTACGTACAATGAGCATGAGGGTGGCAGATTTTTCGTAAACATGGATTGATGGCTTGAGAGGCAACAGCAAAATGAGAGGCAGTTAGTTAACGGGGATGGAGAAGGAAAACTGAACCGTGAGCAACAGTGGATCAAAACCTCAAAGGCAACTCACAGTTTTCAAAGACAAACATTTCCTTTCATTTCCCCCTGAACCAGACAGATTTATGTATGGCCATCAGAAATTGTACAGATATTGTGTTGATATATTAGTAGGCCATTTTGTGTGTGTAGTTAAATATAAAACAGCATGAAAGAAAACATTAACACTTACAGAATTTATAATATGTACTAAGCCCTGCTCTAAGAATTTGCTATGTATTAACTCATTTAATCTTTACAATAATCCCTGAAAGTAGGTACCATTATTATCCCCATTTCATAGACAGAAAAACTGAGACACGGCAGGTTAAAGGTCATGTAGTCAGTAGAAGGCAGATCTGGGACTGAACCCAGACGGTCTGGCTTGAGAGTCCATGTTTTTAACTGATACATAATACAGCTTTTTATAAAGTGAATAAAATCAAAAAGATAAAATAAGAAGCATTAAATGTTCTAACATTGATTAAGGTGATATGGAAACATAAAAATCTCTATATGTGCTTTCATAAGAGAAGGAGAAGCTGCCATTTATTGAGCATTTTGCTTGGCACCTTTTATATACGTTTCACTCAACTACACAGCGAGAAATAGAAATGGTCATTGTGTTAAGGAGGTTGTGAGATTTTTTTTTCCTGTTAAATAACCTAAACATCTCAATGAATAAACTAGCAGAATCTAAATTCTACTCACGGTCGCAGTATTTGCCATCGCCTCGGTAATTGGGAAGGCATTTGCATTCCAGTTTGTTTTCATCTTCAGTGGAAGGCGAACATCTGGAATTTTCTGGGCAGAGCAAGGCTGCACATTCAGGGATGGCTGCATAGGAAAATTGTTGAAGTACTTGCATTAGTAGAATAACCAGTTCTTAAGACCCCCAAACTGCAGTATTCCCTTTTATTAAAAAGCAATACAAACTCATTGTAATAATTTAAAAAATACAGAACACGTTAAGTTAAAATTGTCTTCTTCTTAGTCTCCCAAATTTACCGATATCATCAATCAATAAAATATATTAATTTATAACATTTATTTGTCTGATTTTGTAACAAAATAGAATCCTGTTAAAATATTTAGCAATGTAATTTTTAATTTAACGATATATTATGAAAGTCTTTAAGGATCTGCCTTGATCTCTAGTAACTGCATAGTATTTCAAAAGGTAGGTGTGACGTAGATGGCTGTCAAAAGCTATGAAGAGTCTGACATCAGCCAACTTGCAAAGTGAACAAGTTGGGCTAATAAAGTTTCATGGATGCTGGTAGAAGATACAAAACTTCTGGGTTAGAGTGAAGTACAGCTTAATACTTACAGCAGGGGCAGCAGCCAGGGTATCAGCATTTTGGCACCAGTTTTTCCAAACCTCAATTCCCATGGGGCAATTCAAAGAGGACTAGACTGAGACATGTACATGCAGTGGGTTTCATTATAGGAGGTGAGCCCTGATCTTAGGGTACCTATTTTTTTTAAAAAATGGGCAATGTATTATTTAGGGACAAGCAGGAGACAGAAACCACATAATTATTTGAACAGGGAAAGTTGTACTATAAAGGATTATGAACAATTAAAATCATGAAAAATCAGCTAGTGAGAGTTTAAAATAAAATAATTCTAAAGAATAAAGAAACCAAACACCGCATGTTCTCACTCATAGGTGGGAATTGAACAATGAGAACGCATGGACACAGGAAGGGGAACATCACACACCGGGGACTGTTGTGGGGTGGGGGGAGGGGGGATGGATAGCATTAGGAGATACACCTAATGCTAAATGACGAGTTAATGGGTGCAGCACACCAACATGGCACATGTATACAGATGTAACAAACCTGCACGTTGTGCACATGTACCCTAAAACTTAAAGTATAATAATAATAAAATTAAAAAAAGAATAAAGAAATAGCAGGTCTATAAAGAGCAACTACTGTACTAGGGCTGAGACAAGTACCCAACGTATAACCTTCTTCCCTCCAGGCTGAGATCTGAATACCACTGGAAAAAGCATGGCGTTAGTCACTGGATAGCAAAGTTGCAGAGATGCCTTGACAATATTTGCTGGAAATCTGCTCTCTGGGGTGGCTGGGAGGTCATGCATGGGGAGGTCACAAGCCTTGGAACTCACTAGGTGCCAAAGGAATCTGTTAGCCAGTGGGCGCTGCTGGCAGCAGCAGCTAAGAAGCCACCTCTCTGTCATGCAGTGCACCTCTGTGTGTGGTTCAGGCCTGGGCAGCTCCAGACCAGCTGTGTGGGATTCAGGGGATGTGTCCAGCTCTCCAGATGACCAGCTCTTCAGGGGCCTTGCTGTGCATGGGGCTGAGGAGAGGAGTACCGAACAGCCTTCCCCTGGGCTGAGGCATGGGCCTGCGCAGTCTGGGGCTCCTGGCTGTGCTGCCACTTCCTGAGTCAAGCACTGGACAGTGTGCAGTGGCCAAATGCTGGAGGGAGCTGAGCTCTGCAGGAACCCGGCACTGGAGAAACCATGTGGGGCTAAGAAACAGAGAAAAGCTGTTTTTCGGGAGCCTGGTGAGTGAGTCAAACCAGAAACAGGGAGAGAGCCCCGGCTTCCTCCTCTACAGTCCTTCTGGCACTCTTCATTGATAAGGCTTCACGTTTTGCTAGCTAGTGAAGGAGAATCATTTATAAAGCCCAGCTCCATTATCACGAGCAGGCAAAAAGGGTGGCTTTGGAGCTGAGAGGCACTGGCAGTGAGCATGCCTGCCCTTTGCTCCTGAGGGAGATACTATGTTTTCCAAGTCTGTTCAGTATACAAACATCCTTGAACAGATGATCTGGAACAAAGAGCAGTCAGTGTATTGCTCTCAAGATGTGCACACATGTGAGAGATGCATGGAGAATTGTCTCCCAACAGTGGCTAGTTGAGTAAAATAGTTCACAGAGACTATTCCCCCACCCCTTCCATAAACCCGAAGTTTTGGCAGAAAGTGGCTGCTCCTTCAGGATTACATTTTCCACCCCACTTTACGTCCAGGAAAGATCACGTGACTAGTTCACTCTGATGGAATATTGAGTAGAGGTTTTATATATTTTTCCTGGACTTTCATAAGCAGGTGCCTCTCCATCTTCTCTTTCCCATCTGTGATGGCAGGAAGCAGAGAACTCTGAGGTACTAGAGAATGACAGAGTCACAAGATGGAAAGATCTGGATCCCTAATCACCATGTAGGGGGAAGCTGGCGCCAGCCAGGAACACCCACATTGGACTGTTACATGAGTGAGAACTACACTTCTTTAGTGTCAAGCCAGAGGTTCCCAATAATTTTTTCATGGTATCCCGACATCAAAAGAAACACCGAAAAGATTCATTTATTTAGTTGTTAGAATCACTTAGCAGCCATTTGAAAAAGTGACATGCTTAATAGAAAAATGTCTATTCTTAAGTAACCACATTGACCTACGTATAAGATATGTGAGTGTGTTGGACACTGCACAACTTCTCAAACTTTAAAGTTTGATACAGATTGTAGACTGGCACCCTCATTTCAGTCACATTGATTTTCACACGGTACTTGCCTTTTATCATAGCAATCACTGAAAATGTACCTTTGCAAAGATATGATGTCACTGCAAGGAATTAGTGCGACCTCATGTTGAAATTGTGAACCAACTCAAGCTAGCAGTTCATGTGGTATCTGACAGATGTATCTCTGTGTTTCCCTCAGAAATTTAAAATACCAATAGTAGCCAGTAAATTTGATTGTAGTACCTTGGGACACCTTGGCGCACAATTTTAAAACCATAGTGTTAAGCCACTGAAGTTTTGTGTTTATTTTTTATAGCAACTAGCATTATCCTAACTAGTATAGGATGTACCACAACTTATTCAACCAATTTCCTACTGGTGGGAATTCAAGTTGTTTTCAGCTTGTTATCCTCCTACAAATAGCATTTCCATAAATTTATTTGATCATATATGCTTACCTTTGTCTAATTCCTCTCCTCTCCCGGGGTAAATTCTTAGAATTGGGGACACAGAAGCATACTATAAGCATACCTTCAAATTTAGTAAATAAATTTCTCCCGTAGGTTGTAGGAATCCACATTCTTACTGTCATTTTTCTCATACCCACAGATGGGTAAAATTTGTAACATAGTGGGCAAAAATAAAAAAACAAATGAAAATAAACCTCCAGGACTCCAAATATGACTGAATTTTAATAAGTATGTATGTAACGATTAGTGGACTTAGCACCTTTTTCATGTTTATTGCTGGTTTTCATTTCTTCTTTTTGAGACGGAGTCTCAGTCTGTCACCCAGGCTGGAGTGCAATGGTGTGATCTCGGCTCACCACAACCTCCACCTCCCGGGTTCGAGCGATTCTCCCGGGTCAGCCTCCTGAGTAGCTGGGATTACAGGCGCCCGCCATCATGCCTGGATGATTTTTGTATTTTTGTAGAGACAGGGTTTCACCATGTTGGCCAGGCTGGTCTTGAACTCCTGACCTCAGGTGATCCACCCGCCTCGGCCTCCCAAAGTGCTGGAATTACAGGCATGAACCACCAGGCCCGGCCTGTTTTCATTTCTTATTCTGAAATTTAGATTTTGGACTTTACATGAATCCAATTTTTTGTTATAAAAATGTATCTGCCATGTGAATTTTAAATATTTTTGTCCTAGTCTCTTGTCATTTGGCTGGACAGAATTATTATTATTTTTTTACTTGGAAGCATATCTATTAGGGTTTTCCCTTAGGCTGGCTTCTGGACTGGGTCTCCTGCCTTACTGAGAAGGCCTCTGCCCAGGAGTCCACTGCACACTGGCAGGAGTGGCCAAGGAAGGAGGCTGACTGAGGACCACAGAAGGCCTGTCCTACCCACTTGCCTTTGCATTTGGACTGGAGGCTTTCATGGCTGTCCCAGCTACAGGAAGAAGGCAGAGGCTGAGTTTATTCATCCTGTTACTACCACCGCTCACGGCATCTCAACCGCTTCCAATAAAATGAGTTTGCATTTGCTGACTTTCAATCTCACCCAACCCTTTCATTTTACAGGAGACTAAAGTCCCGAGGATAAGTTAAATGAGGCTAGTGGCAGAGGCAGAATGGTCGATTTCTTAACATCTCAGCTCCCCGGCTCTGCCATCCTGTGAGTTTCTCCTTCACAGGTCGATGTTAAGTTTTGCCAGTAGAGGGCGCTGGCGGGACACGGTGGGAGGCGGGAACTCCTCTTTCTGCCTCCAGGGTGCAGTGTGCTGCTGCTGCTGCGTGTTCCTTTGCTGCTGCTGCAGGGTCTGTTCAGGGATGCTCTGCCCCAGCGGTGCACCCAGAGTTCCTCAGTGGCTGACCTTGCATCCTTGGCCTGGACCTAGCGACTACCTTCCCACAGCCCTCTCGACATAGACATTGTGTATTCCAGGATTTTGCCTGAGAGGCCCCTGATTTCCTGTGCCTCACCCACCAGCCTCAGCTCCCCAAGGCCCTGGAGGGTTGCCCCATGCCTGCTAGGTGACTGTGGTCCAGTGCTGGCCTGGATAAAACAGCAAACTTCTCGGCCACCCACCACACCCTCTCCAACAAGGTTTAAATCCAGCCTTGGGGACGGCCACCCCATTCCAAATTTCTCCTTCCTTTGTTATGCTCCATCCTCTCTAGAGTTGTGTTTGCATTTTTACAGCTGCTCTCCTATCATAGCGTACTAATTATCCCTATTAAACTTCCCTTGTTTAAATCACCCCTTGGTTTCCAGCTCTTGATTGGACCCAGTATAATAGATTGTTTTCAGAATTTCCCATGGATTCAAATGACTTGAGTCCCAGCTCTCCTAGTTGTGTGGCCTTTGGTGAATCACTCAGCGTTGGTGAAGCACCCTTTCCTCTTCCTTAGGGCTGTTAATGTGTTCCGCCTTTGAGGCTCATAATTGAGAAGATGCTGTATCTCCTTTACTAGGTGACTCACTTGTTGAGATGGGTTGTGTTGGCTTCCCAGTCCCGGTGTCCCTCTCTCCATTCTACCCTTCACCTGGCCTCCAGTTCAACCTTCCTAAAACACAGCTATAGCCTTGACACCACATTGCTTCTGTTCTCTCTCTTCCTCCTCCTCCCTTTCCCTCCTCTTCTTTCCTTTTCTCTTCTATATTCTCTTTTTAATTTCTAGTTTCTTTCCAGAAAACTTTTGGTAGTACCTTGCCCCTGCAGAGAACCAGTAACAGATACAAAATTGAAATGCATACATTTGTGCCTGTTTGATCTGGTGTGGCATTAAGGGAACTAGCAGTACTTACGCTTGTCACACTTGGGGCCAGTGTACGCAGAGTAGCACTCACAGGTTCCATCGCCATCTAGTCCACTGTTGCACACCCCATGCACACAGTTGCACACTGGAGACAGAAAGTGGGGGATTTTTATTACCTGACATAGACTGTTGCTAAACATTCTGGAAAGCTAGTGTTTTTAGATCATCTTTGCTGAGACTCTGCATGTTGTTTGAACTTTGGCTCCTCTCTCTTTTATCAGCACCAGGTTTTTTTTTTTTTAAGTTTAACATATGGATAGGAATGCCTACTTCCTGGGATTTCTATAGAGTCAAGTAACATAATGTATATAAAGCATATGAGGCATATCATGTGCATTGGAGTTCTTTTCCCTGCTCTCAAACTATTTACTTCATCTTTGGATACCTCAACAAGAGAATTAATTTAGTGTCTTATATACACCTGTTACGTTTAAAAGAGAAAAGCTACTACTAACTCAGTCACTGTTGGTAGCAGATATCTATATAAATAAGTCCTACCTATTGATGGGGTGATGCAAGGATAAAAAAAGGAAAATATTCCAAAGGGTCTAGAATAACCATGCCATATTTTCTAGCTTGATGTTTTAGCCCAGTGACAGATCATTTCAGGGATGATAAATGAAGGGCATTTGAAATGAATGTGAATGGTCAACTCTTTAGTTTGTGGTTGGTTTGTAGCAAGATTTACTATCAGGCTAGGCCATTGTCATCCTATGGCCAGCCCTGTCTGCAGCATGTTGTATTAGTTTTCTATCACTGTCATAACAAGTTCCACAAACTTAGTGGCTTAAAACAACACAAATTTATCTTATAATTCTGGAGGTGAGAAGTCCAAAATGTACTCATTGAGCTAAAATTGATGTTTCAGTTGGGCTGCTATTCCTCTGGAGGCTTTAGTGGAGAATCTTTTCTTTTGTCTTTTCTAGCTTCTAGAGCCCATCTTTATTCCTGGGCTCATGAAACCCTTTCTCCATCTTCAGGGCTAACAATGGCAGGCCAAATCCTTCTCATGCTACCATTTCTATGGTTCTCTCTTCTGTCTTTCTCATCCACTTATAACAACTCTTGTGATTACATTGGACTCACCTGGATAATCCAGGATACTCTCCCTATCTTAAGCCAGCCAGTTAGCAACCTTAATTCTACCTGCAACCTTAATTCTCCTTTGCCATATAACCTAACATATTCATAGGTTCCAGGGATTAGGACATTTTGGGGGCTCATTTTTCTGCCTACTACACGTGTCTTCGGTGCACGTAAGCCAACTTAATGTTAGCTCAAATGAAACATAATTAAGAAGATGCACCTGCTTAAAAACTTAACCAGAAATACCAGCAAAGCAAGGATGAATAAAGTTTAAAGTATTCCAAACATCTAATAAGCCATCAAATCCTTTGTTTTCTCTGTCTCTGTCTCCCACCTTGATCTTCTGCTCTTCATCTCCACTGGTGCCATTCTTGTTGAGGCCTTTATCATGTTTTGCCTGGACTATTGCAGTAGCATGATACCTCGTCTTGCTATTTCCAGTTTCTTGCCTCTCCATTTCATTCATTTCATTTGATTAGCAAAGGCATCAGGGTGACCTTCCCCAAAATATCTCAATGACTCTCAATTACCAACCAAATAAAATTTAGATTTCTCAGTTTGGTAAACAATGGCCACTCCAACCTGACTCTAACCTTGATAAAATTTCATTTTCATCTTTCACCACTTTATTTTATACATCTTAGATTCTTAGCATGTGGGATGATTCATTCACTATTCATCTTCCTTCCTTCAAAACACTTATGGAATACATATTATGTTCAGAGTACTGCACTAGAGATTAATGCCCAAAAATAAACAGGACAAAGTCTCTGCCATCAAAGAGATCAAAATCTAATGGCAGAAGAAAACAGCCAATCACAATGCACTGGGATAAATGCTATGACATGACCAACCAATGGGAGCTGGCCAGGAAAAGATAAAGTGGGGTTGGCCCAGGGAAGACCATGCCAGGTGGAAGCAGCAGGAAATGCATCTTGCACGTTCACACCTCCAGGCTTTTCCTCTGCTGTGCTCCCTTTTGTGTGCTAACTGGAATCCTTCAAGGCCAGCCAAAGCCCCCACTTCTGTGTTGCCATCTCAGTGGTCTCCAAACAATCTGTGCTCCTCTGGCTCCAGCAGCACTTTCTTTGTTCCGTGTCCACTATTGCACCCTACGACAACTAGAGGTTTGTTAATGCCTGACAGCTGAAGACCACCAGGAGAGCACCAATGGTCAAACCAAGTCAGAAGCAAGGGTGAGCCATTCTGGGAGAAGTAGCAGTAGGCTCTTATATCAGCCAGGAGAGGCAGTTGCTGGGTAATTCTCATGGTTGTCCATTGTTGTTGAGTCTCTGTTCAGACATGATTATTCCCTGGCTTAGTTTTTGTCTTTTCCTCCATGGATATGGTGAGTCTTTTTTCTGATGGTGATATTCTGTGACATCGTTTATGCTCAGCAGCAGAACACCACAGCCTCTCTGGTAGCAACTAGGCCAGCAGCCAGGGGACAGCTGTCAGGGCTGCTGTTTTCTTTCTCAATCTGTGTATTTTTTCTCCCCTATTAGATTGGAACTGCTTGGAATGACCTCCCCACCTCTGTATTTCCCCACATCTTTTACGGTGCCCTGTAACAATACCAACAACTACACAACTAAATTTTAGATAAAGACATTGTCTGGCAGGGCCAGGATTAGGGTGAGGAGAGTGAAACAGGGTTGTGCAAGTGCAGAGCTGCATCCTGCTGTTATTTAGCATTTTGATGTTTTGTTCAATAATTTTTAAAGTATTATTGTCATGGGTTGAGTTTTGTCTCCCAAAATAATATGGTGGAGTCCTCATCCCCAGTACTTCAGAATGCCCCTATTGGGAAATAGGGTCATTGCAGATGTAATGAGTTAAGATGAGGTCATACTGGAGTAAGGTGAGCCCATAATTCAATTTGACTGGTGTCCTCATAAGAAGGGGAGATGCCACAGACATTAGGTGAAGAGGCATGTGAAGAGGGAGGCCGAGATTGGAGTGATACTGTCACAACCAAAAACAGCTGGGGCTACCAGAGGATGAAAGAAGCAAGGAAGGACCTTCTTCTAGAAGCTTCAAAAGGAGCATGGCCCTGCCAACACCTTGATATTTGACTTCTCGCTTCCAGAACTGGGACAATAAGTTGCTGTTGTTTTAAGCCACCCAGTGTGCAGTACTTTGTTGCAGCTGCCCTAGGAAATCAGTGCAGTTATTGGTCTTGATTACTGAGTTTTTTTGATGCCTCCTTAAATTTTGCACCCAAGGCCCCACACTTCTCTTTATTGAGTGCTTACTATCTATCAGGCATTTTGCCAAGTGTGTTGTCATGCATTATCTAATTTACCACATCCTTTGAGGTAGGTATCATTACTACCAGTGTATCACACATGAAAAAATGGGAGATAACTAGCTCAAGTAGTCCCTCAAATAACTGAAGAATTAAATTGGATTTGCAGTGTCATCCTCTCTTCAAAACTCAATTGACATTGTTTCTATTTTAGCCAAGCACTTTGATATCTACCTATGGCTGTGGATTTTTGGAATAAACAAGTTCTGGAGAGCAGTCAAGTTGGTTATGGAGATAAGTGGGGTGAGGAGGGAGTGTACTATGGGCTCAGTGGAGAAGATTCAATTCAATTCAAAAATATTTACCCAGCTCCTACCTAGTAGCAGGCACTGTATTAGGCACTAGGTATACAACATGTCAGTAATTGATAATATCTAAAGTCCAGGAGCTCACAGTGTAGTGGGAAGCCAGGCTCTAGGAGATACAGTGATGATTCCTGCCCTAATTGTTGTCATGCACCCAGTGGAGGAAGGTGAGGGGCACAGAGGGCTCCTGCTCCCAACTCAGATGCAAATTACAAGTGTTGTCCTTGTCACTAAGATTGCCCTCCTGGCTGTGTGGTATTGGCCCATGGCCCTGGCATGAGCCTCTCCCTTCATGCTATCTTCCACTACAGCCTCTATACTGGATTGACTGCCTGGCACTGGCAGCTTTTGGAAGCCTCTGACACTGCATTGCAGGCTGCCAGCTGCTGCCAGGAACATGCCCTTGGGAAGGAGACGTAAGTGGCAGAGGGTTTCCCAGATCATCATTGAAAGAGCCCTTGGTACTTGCTAACCAGTCTCAGCAAATCTCTAGAGACACATAAAACTTGGGTGGCGTGACTTTAAAGTGGTGAAAGCCATGGCCGTGCTGGTCAGAGGGATGGTATGCTCCTGTGACATGCCCCATAGCAGAGTAAGCTGCTCCCTCTCCTGTGCTCCCATAGGATCTGGTCTGGGCTGTGCACTCTGCATCATCACAGTTGTCACCCACATTTCCAGCTCCTTGGGACTGGGCACCTAATCTCATCACTCTTAGGATCCACTTCACCTGTCTGGTGTGTAATGTATGATGGACACTCACCAGAGGCAGACTGGGGCAGTGCTTAGGGGCCCAGGCTCTGGAGTCACATATGTGGGGTCAAATCCTGCCTCTGCCCCCATAATAGCTGCATGGCCTTGAGCAACCCTCTCTGCTTCTTCATCCGTAAAAGGAGAACCCCCACCTCCTTTGGAGAGTCATAGTGAGGATCCAAAGAAATCCCTCTGCACATGGTCTGACACACAGCAGGTGCCCAGCAAATACTAGTGACTCTTCTTAACAGTACATGGTTGTGTGATTGATTTGGGGATCATGTTAGAGAAAACGGGCTTTGCAATCTGGCTAGCTGGGAAGGAGGCACTGAGCAGGCTGGGGCACTGGCCACAGAGATGAAAATCTTTGGCTGGTGCAGCTCGAAATTATCTCTAAACCAACAAGCAGTCTGGTAGGAGAGTGCCCCCACAGAAGATTACAGCCAGTGTTAAAAATAAACTGCACCTAATAGAGCTGTCCTACTTACAGGCAGAATGGCCACCTCCCGGGACCAACATCTCATTGGATGACACAACACTGGCACCCAGTAGATGCCTGGATGAAAAGGTTTGCAGTCTCCATAGTCCTTGTCAGTGGGAAATGACCAGGCATCGCTGAGTCATTCATTCATCCATTCATTCATCCGTGACTTGCTTGCTGTTGGATTACTTTTGTCCTCACTTAATACTTCCATTGATTGAGTGCTTGTGACATAATACTAAGAGCTTTGCTGTGTTGTCAATCCCAAGAAATAGATGTTATTATTCCTGTTTTATAGATGAGAAAGGTTTAGGGAATTTAAATAGCTTGCCCTCGGTAACACAGCAATTAGGGTCTGTTTCAAACTATGGTCAGGCTGAGTTTAAAGCCTGTTCTCTTAATTGTTACGTCCTAGAACTATGATGTCTAATTTGGTAGCCACGAGCCACATGTGGCTATTTAAATTTGAATTAAATGATATTAAGTGAAATTTGAATTTTAACTCCTCAGTTGCACTAGCCCCATTTCAGGTGCTCAATAGTCATATGTGGCTAGTGGCTACTGTATGGGACAGTGCAAACAGACAATATTTCTATCATCACAGAAAGTTCTATTGGAATCCAGAGCTTGGAGGTTTTTCTCTTGGGTCTCAGTTTAAGTTTCCAGTTTTCTTATTTAAAAATTTAGGTATTGTCCAGTTAGAATGGCGATCATTAAAAAGTCAGGAAACAACAGGTGCTGGAGAGGATGTGGAGAAATAGGAACACTTTTACACTGTTGGTGGGACTGTAAACTAGTTCAACCATTGTGGAAGTCAGTGTGGCGATTCCTCAGGGATCTAGAACTGGAAATACCATTTGACCCAGCCATCCCATTACTGGGTATATACCCAGAGGATTATAAATCATGCTGCTATAAAGACACATGCACACACATGTTTATTGCGGCACTATTCACGATAGCAAAGACTCGGAACCAACCCAAATGTCCAACAATGATAGACTGGATTAAGAAAATGTGGCACATATATACCATGGAATACTATGCAGCCATAAAAATGATGAGTTCATGTCCTTTGTAGGGACATGGATGAAGCTGGAAACCATCATTCTCAGCAAACTATCGCAGGGACAAAAAACCAAACACCGCATGTTCTCACTCATAGGTAGGAACTGAACAATGAGAACACATGGACACAGGAAGGGGAACATCACACACTGGGGCCTGTTGTGGGTGGGGGGAAGGAGGAGGGATAGCTTTAGGAGATATACCTAATGTTAAATGACAAGTTACTGGGGGCAGCACACCAACATTGCACATGTACACATATGTAACTAAGCTGCACGTTGTGCACGTGTACCCTAAAACTTAAAGTATAAAAAAAAAATTTAGGTGTTGAGACCATCATTCTCCCTTTCACTTGCCCTTTCTCCACAACACTAAGTGTGAAGGGAGGATACTTCCTTTATTTGGAAATGTTGGGAATTTCCCTGCGCATCTGTGCTCATCAGTAACCAACACCAGTGTCTTGGAGATAACATGGGTCTTCTTCCTAATTTGTCATCTCCAGACAATTACTAGGCTTTCTTGGGAACTAAGCAACGCTGGATGCTTTATTTACTCCTTCCCATTTCAATATTTATTTAGCCTATGTGATTTAAATTCTTAAATGGCAGGGAAGGGTAAATTTGGGAGGAGACATGCTATTTCTATATAGTTGACTGATTACATTTTAGTTGCTGTCCTTTAATGTAATGTTTAACTTTAAAAACACACGGGACACCAATATCCTTTTTTTTTTTTTTTTTTTTTGAGATGGAGTCTTGCTCTGTCACCCAGGCTGGAGTGCAGTGGTGGCACGATCTCGGCTCACTGCAACCTCAGACTCCTAGATTCAAGTGATTCTCTTGCCTCAGCCTCCCAAGTAGCTGGGATTTCAGGTGCGCACCACCACACACGGCTAATTTTTGTATTTTTAGTAGAGATGGGGTTTCACCATGTTGGCCAGGCTGGTCTCAAACTCCTGACCTCAACGGATCCAGCTTTAGCCTCCCAAAGTGTTGGGATTACAGGCGTGAGCCACTGAGCCCAGCTCCAATATCTGTTTTAAATTTGCTTTTGCTAACAGTCTTATGAAATAATCTCTATGGGACAGTGGGTGAAGAAACACCTATGATTAGGGGATGCTAGGGAATAATAATCATAACATTTATTATGCACTTATCCCATTAAATCCTCTCTAAAGGAGGCAATATTATTTCTATCTTTACAGATGAAGTCACAGATAGCATGCTTCATAAACTTACCTATGTCTCCATGATTAGCAGGCCTAGAGCTGAAACCTTGTCTGAGTCTAAAGCCTGGGTTCTAAAACCATGCTTCTGGGTCAGGAGAACATCACTGGAGCAAGCTAGATAATTCATTCATTGATTCACCTAGTCATATACTCACTCACTCATGTATTCATCCAAAAACAGTGTAGTGAGTGTCTACCAGGCAGGCAGCACGTAGAAGGTACTGGAGATAAAGATACCACAGCACCTGCCTAAGAGGACCTTATGGATTAGAACAAGGCAATGCCTCTGCAATTGCAGATAAAACTTATTACAGAGTTTGCAAACTTATGGGGGTGGGATGTGTTGTGTGTGCATAGGTTTTCTTGCCAAAAATATTTGAATCGAAGCAGTTTTCCACTGAGTTTAATTTTTCCACGAAAGTCAGGGCCCAAGTGGTGTTGGCAAAAAGCTACCCAATATATTCCTTTTTGGGAGACGTGGATCTAGCAGACACTGTTTCTACCATGCCCACATTCTTTAGACCTTACTGACTGCGATTGTGAGCATTCCAGCTAACTTCCAGGATCCACAGCTCTTAGCCTGAGGGTTTTGTGTGAACCTTAGGACGAGCGCTTGGCCTGGGTGCTCCCTATAAACACTCTAAGTGGCAGGGAGTGAAAAACTCTCCCCACTTGACTATGTATATTAATTCCCTGTTGCTGCTGTAACTCATTGCCACACACCTAGTGTCTTAAAACCACACAAAGTTATTGTCTTACATTTCTGAAGTTCAGAAATCCAAAATCACTGTGCTAAAATCAAGGTGTTGGCAGTGTTGTGCTCCTTTTTGGAGACTCTGGGGAGAACATGTTTCCTTGCCTTTTCCAGCCTCGAGAGGCCACCCACATTCCTTGGCTCATGGCTCTTCCTTCTTCAAAGCCAGAAATTGGCGGATCGAGTCTTTCTCATATTTCGTAACTCTGACACTCCTCTTCTGCCTCCCTTCTCCATCCTTAAGGACCCCTGTGATTAACACTGGGCCTTCCCAGATAACCCAGGATAATCTCTTATCCTAAGGTCAGCTGATTAGCAACCTTAATTCTATTTGCTACCTTAACTTCTCTTTGCCATGTAAGGTACCATATTCCCAGGTGCTAGGGATTTGGATGTGGATGTGGACATCTTCAGGGAGCCGTTATTCTGCCCACCACACTATGGCTCCTTTCCCCTCAGGTGAGATGACTGAGCTGTGTGTTCTGCACCGACCCCCAGAGCTCCCTGGGGCATCAGGCTCCAGTGGTTCACAGTGGCACCTGGCTTAATAACATCCTGTTTATTTTCCCCATATTACTTCCTCACATCCTCGTGTTTCCTGGGATCACCATTCAAATAAACTAACTACTTGTTACTCAAATCTCTATCTCAGAGTCTACTTCTGGGGGCAGCCAAAAATAAGAGAGTGAACAAGCCAGTCTCAAATTTGTTTCTTTAATTTGGAGCAACAATCACTGACCACCTTAGGGAATTATTTGTGAACTCCCAAAAGGAAGGGAACCATTAGAATTAGGTGGGGCCCACGGTTTAATTGGAAGCCTATGGATCTATGCTGAGACCAGGATCCAGAAAGAGCCCAGAGAAAAGCTGGGCAGGCAAAGAACAGGCAGTGGTGGAATCCTAGAGCCTGGGGAGAGGGAATCATAAAGATGGGTGGAAGCATTTCCGGGGAGTAGCTGACTGCACATGCCAGGGCTGAGAACCTCAGGAAACACTGTCTCTGTTTTCAATGACTGCATTTAACAGCTTTGTTGTTTTGTTTTCTCTATGTAGACTTGGTTACACATGTTAAAGTGAACTAATCATGACTTGATAAGGACTCTGTACTTCCATATTTGAGTCCTTGTGGATGAATTGCAACCTAGCTTAATAGGTAGATGAGATTGAAAACCTAACTTAGGAGTATGCACCTGTAACAATAGCTGAGTTTTGGCCAATCCCAGCAGCCATACTTGGATCATTCATATACTGCTGAGTGTTCAAACCGTGTTCAAATAAGGCAAATGCCAAGCTGTAACCAATCCAGCCATTCTGTACCTCACTTCCGATTGCTGTATGTCATTTCCCTTTTTTTGTCTATAAATCTTCTTTCATCACATGGCTTCACTGAGTCTCTGTGAATCTGCTGTGATTCCAGAAACTGCCTGATTCATGAATTGTTCATTGCCCGATTAAACTCCTTTAAATTTAATTCTGCTGAAATTTCTTTTTTATCACACATAACTATTCAGTGTTTTCTCCTCAAGGAGCAATCTTTCTCATGGACTGTCAACCCTTACAAATGTGGTGATTACACAAAAATCAGACATACCTGATGAACAGCTGGGTCCAAATAAGTTGTCGTCAGCACAGGTTTCACAGGCTGTTCCACCAAACCCTTCCTGCAAAACACCCCAGGTGGTTGACATTAGACCCAAGGTGACCCATGGTACCAAGGAAGGCCTTGGATTTCCAACTCAGCATTTGTTTTTCAAATATATTTTCCCTCTGTGCCTATCCTGGAGCTTCTTCTTTCTGTTTATTTGTGTTATCATTGCATGCATTAATCCCCATGTCATTTTGTACTAAGGGTCTGAAGCTCTGCAGGAGAAAGCTGCTTTGTCAGTCCAAAGATATAAATAGATAGCAAGTGCTAGCAGCCATATCCCAACTTTGCCCAAGGGGGAAAGGAAAATGCTTTCAGTTTTGCATTTTTGTTTTGAGACTGAGTCTCGCTCCGTCACCCAGGCTGAAGTGCAGTGGCACGATCTCGGCTCACTGAAACCTCCGCCTCCCAGGTTCTCCTGCTTCAGCCTCCCGAGTAGCTGGGATTACAGGTGCACACCACCACACCCGGATAATTTTTGTATTTTTAGTAGAGACAGGTTTCACCATGTTGGCCAGGTTGGTCTCGAACTCCTGGCCTCAAGTGATCTGCTCACCTTGGCCTCCCAAAGTACTGGGATTACAGGCGTGAGCCACCTGCCCAACCTCAGTTTTGCATTTCTGAAGACAGTTGAGCTCAATCCTTTTCAGAAGGATTTCCTTGTATTTAAATCCCCCAGGGCTTGAAATGTGCAAAAAGTCACTTTCATGAGATAACGAAGAAATTCTTCAACTGGTAAAAGAAAATCTTGAACCGGTAAGCCTAACGGTTCACAAAGGATGCAGAGGATAGCACCATAAGGTTTGTCTGCTAATAGTGATTATTAATATTAACAATGACAGCAATTTCTATAGTCCTATATAGTGTCATAAAGTATTTTCACATATATGGCCTCATTTTACTTTTTCAACAAATGTTATTACATAGATACTGTTTCAAACTTTTTTTTTTGGGTGGGGGTGGACAGAGTCTTGCTCTTGTCACCCAGACTGGAGTGCAATGGCACAATCTCAGCTCACTGCAACCTCTGCCTCCTGGGTTCAAGCAATTCTCCTGCCTCAGCCTCCTGAGTAGCTGGGACTATAGGCGCCCACCACCACACCCAGCTAATTTTTGTATTTTTAGTGGAGACGGGGTTTCACCATGCTGGCTAGGATGGTCTCGATCTCCTGACCTCGTGATCCTCCCCCACTCGGCCTCCTAAAGTGCTGGGATTCCAGGCGTAAGCCACTGCTCCCAGCCTCAAACCCATTTTTACAAGTGGATATGCTTAAGACTGAGCAGTTAATTGACTCTCCTAAAGGCCCCCAGGCTATAAATGGTCATTTTGTTGCAAATTGCACATTTTTAAAAAATTAATACCTTCACTGCTTAAGAACTTCGCTGTATATGTGTGTGTGCACGTGTGTGTGTGTGTGTGTGTGTGTGTGTGTTTAAGGAGGATCAACAGGTAAGAAGATGGGGAGCAGAAACCAGGAAAGGAAGAACACATTTTTGAACTTACTTGGCAGGAGCAGGTTCCATTTCCTTCCATGCCTTCAGCACAACTGCCTCTGCCATTGCAGGGTGACCCCGCTCCACCTGGGCACTCTAGGGAATCAAACAGCTCAGATGTATTCATTCGTGACTGCACACAAGCATTCTGCAAGGATGCGCTTAAACACCTACTAAGTGTGCTAGTTGCCAGGGATAAGAAATAATTGCAGAACCTGTTGGTGTCATCTAGGGTTTTACAGAAAAGGCAGGAGTAAACACAGGTGAATTGCAATGTGGTCATGTGCTGTATTAGAAAGTATCACACTATCTACCATTTCTTGAGAGTTTGCTATACACTTCACAATGATCAAATTAGATCACTCCTATTGCAACCTTCAGGGGTGGTTGCTATTGGTGCTGGTTAGCAGATGAAAAGACAGTTTCAGAGAGGTTGCATATACTCACCCAAGGTCTCACAGTTTGTAAGTTGTAAAGCTAGGACTTTAAGCTCAGCCCTTGGCTTGACTAAGGCCAGGCCTCTTCATAGGTGTGCTAGACAGGGTATTGAGGGAGTCCAGAGAAGGGAGGTATTGATGCTGCCTTAGGGAGCCCGAGAGACATCCCTGAGGAGGAGTTATTTAAATGGGGCTTTTGAAGGTGCAGTAGGAATTGGCTATGCTTAAAAGGAAAGGATATTTCAGGAAGAGGCAATAGCAAGTACAAGGTCTTGGAATTGTAAAAGGGCATGACCTGTTCTGGGAATGACAGAGTTTTATGGGGCTGGGGACTTGGGAGCTGGGTGTGAGAGTTGTGGGGTGGCGGGGGCGGGGGGCGTTGCTGATGAGGTAAAATGGGACAGTTGGGGCCAATTAATGAAGTGCCTAGTATGGTAAGCAAAGGAATTTAGATTTTATTCGGAAGCTGATTCCTAATGTGCATAAATTTTTGTACTTCTGTGATATTCTAGATCTGAATTGTAGCTTTTATGGACATTTATTAGAGGACATTCACTAAACATTCAGGGAATATCCTAATATGTGCCAAGCATTATATTTCATGGTGGGGCAGGGGGACATTTAGCTAGAAAGCCAGAAATTACAATGCCCACAATCAAATAGAGAATTAAAAATTATGGCAAGTGACAGAAGTTTAAGGTACTATTGTGATGAGGATGAAAAGAAATTCTATTTCTTTTTATACTTGCTGTTGTTCTACACTTTGAGTGCTGAGTTGACCTGGGTTTATTGCCAATATGGATGAGCTCTGACTGTTTAAATTAGAAATCTGGACCTGCAAGCACCAAGCAGAAACCATGCAATGACCATGAAATGTGTCTGTGTGAATGAGGCAAGATGAAATGTTCCCCCATTTAAGTTAGCAAGGTAAGTGCCTCCCACAAGACGGGAAGTTCTAGATAATTGTATTAGTCCATTCTCATGCTGCTAATAAAGACATGCCTGAGACCGGGTAATTTAAAAAGGAAAGAGATTTAATGGACTCACTGTTCCACATGGCTGGGGAGGCCTCAAAATTATGGCAGAAGACAAAGAAAGAGCAAAGTGACGTCTTACACGGCAGCAGGCAAGAGGGCATGTGCAGGGGAATTCCTCTTTATAAAACCATCAGATGTCGTGAGACTTATTCACAATCATGAGAACAGCATGGGAAAGGCCCGCCCCCATGATTCAATTACCTCCCCCTGGGTCCCTCCCATGACACGTGAGAATTATTACAATTTAAGGTGAGACTGGGTGGGGACACAGAGCCAAGCCATATCAATAATAATAAAGGATGCATTTGTTTACAACTCACAG
This sequence comes from Homo sapiens, assembly GCF_000001405.40. Classification (NCBI taxonomy): domain Eukaryota; kingdom Metazoa; phylum Chordata; class Mammalia; order Primates; family Hominidae; genus Homo; species Homo sapiens. The sequence goes on along the minus strand of NC_000012.12, from coordinate 103,618,767 downwards.
CAATCCTCTGAAGTTAAATCTTATTTTTAGCCATACTTTCTAGATGAGGAAACAGGCACAGAGTGGTTAAGTGACTTGGCCAAAGTCACCCAGCTGGCAAGGGGTAATGATAGACACACTTAGCTTTCCTCTACTGAAGTGACCACCTTCCTGCTGTCCCTTCCCTCTCATCCCCATCACATAAGACCTTTGCCATAAGCTTTCCTGTGCCACAGCTCATTCTGCCATACATCTTCCCTGTGGCATGTGAAATCAGCATCCGTGGAAAATAAAAATGCAGTTGTCTTAGTCAATTCAGGCTGCTATAACAAAATGTCTTAGACTGGGTGGCTTATAAACAACAGAAGTTTATTTCTCACAGTCCTGTAGTCTGGGAAGTCCAATATCGAGGTTCTGGCAGATTCTGTGTCTGGTGAGGGCCTGTTTTCTGGTTCATAGATGGTGACTTCTCACTGTATCTTCACTTGGTGGAAGGGGTGAGGGAGCTCTCTGGGGTCTCTTTTATGAGGGCACTAATCCCATCCATAAGGGCCCTGTTCTTAGGACCTAATCACCTCCCAAAGACTTTTACCTTTTAATACAATCACATTGGGGATTAGGTATGAACATATGAATTTTGGGGAGACACAAACATTCAGACCATAGCAGCAGTTCTTGAAGAAAGAGACTTCTAAGCACTAAGAAATGCAGCTCTCTGAAAGAGACCCTGGGGGCTCCATTAAGTTACTAGGCTAGTTCTTTAGAAGAACATTCATAACATGCAGGTACTATGGAGGTGGGAGTCATATCCATCTGTAGATGGTTTTCTCTGGGGCTCCTTCCATTTCCTTCCTGCATCCAGAATATTAGTAAACGACACAGTCTAAATTGCCCATTTTGATCTGTGGTATTTCCACAGCAGTGGCAGAGCCAGGCTCAAAACCTGGAAAGATGCTCCAGAATCTACTGCACCATTTATCACTAACATCCACCATTATCAGGCAGGTATGCACCCCAGGACAACAGCTCAGGTAACAGGCATGTTTGTGGGGCAAGGGAAGGGGGAGAAATACTGATGGGTAGCTAATATTCATAAGTATTCGAAAAGCAAGACATTGGTTTGGGTTGCTCTCACCAACTAGGCTAGTAGTGGCATGAAATGCGATGCGATTGTGTCATGGGAGGAGCTGGGACATTGCAGTCAGAATGTTCTGGGTTCAAATCCCAGCTAAACTCTTTGCTTATAACCCTTTGCTTTTGGCAAAGTCAATGCCTGACTCTGAGATTCAGTTCAGGTGTATGTGGGGACCATACTGTCTTCTAGGTAGGTTGTAGTAGGGATTGGAAATATTAGGTGCTTAACGAATGATAGTTGCTATTATTCAGAGTGGATCTTCTTTAGGTTTTGTTTTTTCAGATTGGTATTGTAACAGTTAAAACACTCAGGAAATAAATTACTCGTACTTGTTTGAATCCGACCATCTAAGATCTTTGATATTTACCAGTGAGCATACAGACTTGGTTCTTATTTCCATGATCCTACCAGTCTAGTGCGGAGAGAGTTGTGGATTTAACAGACACTCCGGTAATACTGATTGATGGACTGGGATAAGGGTTGTCAGGGGAAGAGATCTAGAGCTCTCATCACTTCATCTACTTGATGTTACTTACCAATATTTACCAAAAATAATCTAGTTCTGAATGGCCCAGTTGGTTTAGATCTGATCTCAACAGATGGCAAAAGCTAGATCATGAAGAAAGGGCCTTGTTAAAGATTTTGGTCTTTGTCTAAGGATGAGCAGCAGGAGGTGAGGATGTAGAGGAAGGGAGAGAGCTGAATCAAGCAGGGACCAGGTAAACACTTGGGAGCCAATCTGAAAACCAACTCAGCCATTTGAGTTCACTCATATTGTTGAGCAAAGTGTGCTAAGAGAGCATCTTCATAAATCGTTCACCATCAAATAGTTCTTCTATTTGCTTTTTATAGGAGGCCCCTCTTGAGCTGAGATGGTGTTTTGGGAGCCAGGGCCAGCCCTGTGCAGAGCTAGGAAGGTAGTGACAGCTCCCCAACTATTTCCCTCTCTTGTTCCCTGTACCTCTCCCCAGAAATGGGTGTACAAGGAGCTCTCTGGGTGACACCCAGTTTGCCTTCTGGGCTTGCTCAGAACAACACAGGGCCTCCTGAAGCCTGAGACTCAGCAATCAGTGCCACCTTGCAGAAATGTCCTCCCAGGTATTTTTACATTTTCAGGCAATGATGCCTAAATCCCAGTCTCCCAAACTCACATTCCACTGAATCTGTTCCTCCAAGCATGGAACCAACTTATCTCCCCATCTTGCACTCTTTCCATGCAGCCAAACAGACTATTCCCTGCTCTTCTAGACAGGCCTTTCTCTCCATTCCTTACTTGTGCTTTTCCCACCTTCAAAGACCCTTTCCCTGACCCTGCCTCTGAGGCAGATTTGACTTCCATCATCTTGGTGCCTGTTCCACTCAGCTCATTCCTGTTATAACACATGTGGCAGAACATGGGGCAGAGTCATTTGTTGAGAATATAACCATGCTCTGGGCTACACTGATCAGAGAGGAATTGGAGAGCTTCCCCAATCCAAGCTCCCAAGAGTGTGACCTTGTGTTTAGGAAGTCTGGACATTCTTCTTCCTTAGGGACAGTTAATATACCTTTCTTTTAAAAAATTTAGGCAGGTGTTCCTCTAAGGGTGATTCACTGGACAAGGTGTTTGGAATCCCTTGGGAGTGGGGAACTTTTACAAAGGCAGATTTCCAAGGCCCTCCTCATTAGGTATATGATATAGTTTGGCTGTGTCCCCACCTAAAATCTCATCTTGAATTATAATCCCCATGTGTCAAGGGCTAGACCCTGTGGAGGTAATTGGATCATGGGGCAGTTTCCCCCGTGCTGTTCTTGTGATAGTGAATGAGTCTCACGAGATCTGATGGCTTTATAAGTGTCTGGCATTTCCCCTGCTTGCACTTACTCTGTTCTGCCACCCTGTGAAGAGGTGCCTGCTTCTCCTTTGCCTTCCACCATGACTGTAAGTTTCTGTGGCCTCCCCAGCAATGCAGAACTGTGAGCCAATTAAACCTCTTTCCTTTATAAATTACCCAGGCTTGGGTATTTCTTCATAGCAGTGTGAGAATGGACTAATACAGTATGCGAGCCATTAACAAGCACCTCTTAGATCTCCAACTTCAGAAGCATAATTACCTTGAAATCTACTATTTTTTCATGAGACTACACTTCTCATGACTCCTTCTAGTCCATGACTGAGCATGGTAGAGATGCCAGGGCAGGCCCACTCCTTTAAGATGCAGGCTTCCTCTGTGGGTGATTTTGGCTAGAGGACTCCCCATCAGCTTTACCAATTTTTCTCAGACCTACATATAGTCTAAAGCTTTTCCATCCAACTTTCCTTGACTCCCTCTCTTGTTCACAAGGGTCAGACCTGCATTGGTGTCTCCCTCTGCTTCTCCTGGCTTTCTTCTCATTTTTTTCATCACACCTGTTTCCTCTAAGTAATCTCTTGTATCTCTAGCCCTGTCTGACATCTCCCTTTTGGAAGCCCTGGACTAATATGCCAGGGCATAGACAGCCTTTGTGCAAATTAGAAAAATCATCCCTACCCTCACTGCTCTTGTGGATATATCCCCACAGACACTAGGCTTAGAAAGCAGATGAAACTAAAATAAATTGAAGGTGCCCCTTCCTCTTGGTATACCAGGCCCACACTAGAGTGTACGGTTTGGCAAGCTGAGAATGGGCTGAATTTCAGTCCAATTTCATCCCCTTGGGCAATAAGAACCTGCTACAATTTTATGCAAAACCTGACACTTAACACCTACCAAATAGGGATTCCCTGGTGTAAGACTCAGGAAAGAACATTTTAATAGGCATGGCAGGTAATTCCACTACACATTAATATTTGAGAACCACTGGGTGTGCTCGACAAATTTATGTAGAATGTCCTAAACAGAGAGGAAGTGAAGGTTTTTATGCCTAGGAGGCTGCTGGGAAGCAATGCCTATGAGTTGATGTGCCTTTGCATGGGATGGTTGTGTGGTGTATCAGCTGGACACTAGGCAATGTTTCTGGTGCTTCAGAAAGGTTCTGATGTGGATGAACTTAGCAAGAAGAAAGTTCCTGAACACTTAACTGGAACAAGACTTGCCTAGAAACAACAGAAGTTGTTTTCTAGTTGCCTAGAAAAACCTGTAGCACTGGGCAGCTGGTGGAAGGCCAGTGCTGTTCATAGGGAGATTTTGTACACTGACTTAAAGCCACTTTGACTAATCAGCAGTTAGGTTATTTTGGTAAAAAGGTATAGCCTCCAGTGGCTAGAGGTCAGCAGGAAACTTAGCTCCTAAATTGTACCACCAGGTATGTTGCAATGAAAGAAAATTCTGTAAACTTATCCACCAGGTGCTAAAATTCATATTATTTCTTCTTAAAATTCTCAAAGAGCTCCACTCTATGCCTTCAGCCCTCTGTCAATGGCAACAAATCTCTAACACAGGGTACACCTCAAAATGGACACAGAAAAAAGTTCAAGAATTTTTTAAAGTACAAGAATAAGAAGCACCCAACAAAGTAATATTTGCAATGTCTGAATTCAATAAAACTTACTAGGCATAAATACTGAGGGAAAACACCAGTTAATTGAAACCAACCCAGAGATCACATATATGATATTATTAGTAGACAAAGATTTAGAAATAGTTATTATAACTGTACTCTATGTATTCAAGAAGGTAGAGAAATAAGCAAGTTAAAAAAGAAGAAAGATATAAACAAAACCAAATTGAACTTCTACCAATGAAAATACAATGTTCAAAATAAAAATACAAGATATAGAATTAACAGCAGTTTAAAGACTGAGAAATAAAAGATTAGTGAACTTAAAGACAAGCAGTATTAACTATACAAAATGAAGAGGAGAGGGTTCCAAGATGGCCGAATAGGAACAGCTCCAGTCTACAGCTCTCAGCATGAGCGACGCAGAAGACGGATGATTTCTGCATTTCCAACTGAGGTACCAGGTTTGTCTCACTGGGGATTGTCAGACAGTGGGTGCAGGACAGTGGGTGCAGTGCACCTAGTGTGAGCTGAAGCAGGGCGAGGCATTGCCTCGCCCGGGAAGTGCAAGGGGTCAGGGAATTCCCTTTCCTAGCCAAGGAAAGGGGTAACAGATGGAACCTTGAAAATCGGGTCACCCCCACCCTGATACTGCGCTTTTCCAGTGGTCTTAGCAAACGGCACACCAGGAGATTATATCCCGCACGTGGCTTGGAGGGTCCTACGTCCACGGAGCCTCACTCATTGCTAGCACAGCAGTCTGAGATCAAACTGCAAGGCGGCAGCGAGGCTGGGGGAGAGGCTCCCGCCATTCCTGAGGCTTCAGCAGGTAAACAAAGTGGCCGGGAAGCTCGAACTGGGTGGAGCCCACTGCAGCTCAAGGAGGCCTGCCTACCTCTGTATACTCCACCTCTGTGGGCAGGGCATAGCCAAACAAAAGGCAGCAGAAACCTCTGCAGACTTAAATGTCCCTGTCTGACAGCTTGGAAGACAGTAGTGATTCTCCCAGCACGCAGCTTGAGATCTGAGAACGGACAGACTGCCTCCTCAAGTGGGTCCCTGACCCCCAAGTAGCCTAACTGGGAGGCACCACCCAGTAGGGGCAGACTGACACCTCACACGGCCGGGTAGCCCTCTGAGACAAAACTTCTAGAGGAACAATCAGGCAGCAACATTTGCTGTTCACCAATATTTGCTGTTCTGCAGCCTCTGCTGCTGATGCCCAGGCAAACAGGATCTGGAGTGGACCTCCAGCAAACTCCAACAGACCTGCAGCTGAGGGTCCTGATTCTTAGAAGGAAAACTAACAAACAGAAAGGACATCCACACCAAAACCCCATCTGTACGTCACCTTCATCAAAGACCAAAGGTAGATAAAACCACAGAGATGGGGAAAAAAACAGAGCAGAAAAACTGAAAATTCTAAAAATCAGAGCACCTCTCCCCCTCCAAAGGAATGCAGCTCCTCACCAGCAATGGAACAAAGCCGGATGGAGAATGACTTTGACGAGTTGAGAGAAGAAGACTTCAGATGATCAAACTTCTCCGAGCTAAAGGAGGAAGTTTGAACCCATGGCAAAGAAGTTAAACACCTTGAAAAAAGACTAGATGAATGGCTAACTAGAATAACCAATGCAGAGAAGTCCTTAAAGGACCTGACGGAGCTGAAAACTATGGCACAAGAACTACGTGATGCATGCACAAGCTTCAGTAGCCAATTTGATCAACTGGAAGAAAGGGTATCAGTGATTGGAAGATCAAATGAATGAAATGAAGTGAGAAGAGAAGTTTAGAGAAAAAAGAATAAAAAGAAATGAACAAAGCCTCCAAGAAATATGGGACTATGTGAAAAGACCAAATCTACGTCTGATTGGTGTACCTGAAAGTGATGGGGAGAATGGAACTAAGTTGGAAAACACTCTGCAGGATATTATCCAGGAGAACTTCCCTAATCTAGCAAGGCAGGCCAACATTCAAATTCAGGAAATACAGAGAATGCCACAAAGATACTCCTCAAGAAGAGCAACTCCAAGACACATAATTGTCAGATTCACCAAAGTTGAAATGAAGGAAAAAATGTTAAGGGCAGCCAGAGAGAAAGGTCGGGTTACACAAAGAGAAGCCCATCAGACTAACAGTGGATATCTCAGCAGAAACTCTACAAGCCAGAAGAGAGTGGGGGACAATATTCAACATTCTTAAAGAAAAGAATTTTCAACCCAGAATTTCATAGCCAGCCATACTAAGCTTCATAAGTGAAGGAGAAATAAAATCCTTTACAGACAAGCAAATGCTGAGAGATTTTGTCACCACCAGGCCTGCCTTACAAGAGCTCCTGAAGGAAGCACTAAACATGGAAAGGAACAACCGGTACCAGCCACTGCAAAAACATGCCAAATCGTAAAGACCATCGAGGCTAGGAAGAAACTGCATCAACTAACGAGCAAAATAACCAGCTAACATCATAATGACAGGATCAAATTCACACATAACAATATTAACCTTAAATGTAAATGGGCTAAATGCTCCAATTAAAAGACACACTGGCAAATTGCATAAAGAGTCAAGACCCATCAGTGTGCTGTACTCAGGAAACCCATCTCACATGCAGAGACACACAAAGCCTCAAAATAAAGGGATGGAGGAAGATCTACCAAGCAAATGGAAAACAAAAAAAGGCAGGGGTTGCAATCCTAGTCTCTGATAAAACAGACTTTAAACCAACAAAGATCAAAAGAGACAAAGAAGGCCATTACATAATGGTAAAGGGATCAATTTAACAAGAAGAGCTAACTATCCTAAATATATATGCACCCAATACAGGAGCACCCAGATTCATAAACCAAGTCCTTAGAGACCTACAAAGAGACTCAGACTCCCACACAATAATAATGGGAGACTTTAACACCCCACTGTCAACATTAGACAGATCAACGAGACAGAAAGTTAACAAGGATATCCAGGAATTGAACTCAGCTCTGCACCATGCGGACCTAATAGACATCTACAGAACTCTCCACCCCAAATCAACAGAATATACATTCTTCTCAGCACCACACCGCACTTATTCCAAAATTGACCACATAGTTGGAAGTAAAGCACTCCTCAGCAAATGTAAAAGAACAGAAATTATAACAAACTGTCTCTCAGACCACAGTGCAATCAAACTAGAACTCGGGATTAAGAAACTCACTCAAAACCGCTCCACTACATAGAAACTGAACAACCTGCTCCTGAATGACTACTGGGTACATAATGAAATGAAGGCAGAAATAAAGATGTTCTTTGAAACCAATGAGAACAAAGACACAACATACCAGAATCTCTGGGACACATTTAAAGCAGTGTGTAGAGGGAAATTTATAGCACTAAATGCCAACAAGAGAAAGCAGGAAAGATCTAAAATTGACACCCTAACAACACAATGAAAAGAACTAGAAAAGCAAGAGCAAACACATTCAAAAGCTAGCAGAAGGCAAGAAATAACTAAGATCAGAGCAGAACTGAGGGAGATAGAGACATAAAAAACCCTTCAAAAAATTAATGAATCCAGGAGCTGGTTTTTTGAAAAGATCAACAAAATTGATAGACCGCTAGCAAGATTAATAAAGAAGAAAAGAGAGAAGAATCAAATAGATGCAATAAAAAATGATAAAGGCGATATCACCACCGATCCCACAGAAATACAAACTACCATCAGATAATATTATAAACACCTCCACGCAAATAAACTAGAAAATCTAGAAGAAATGGATAAATTCCTCGACACATACACCCTCCCAAGACTATACCAGGAAGAAGTTGAATCTTTGAATAGACCAATAACAGGCTCTGAAATTGAGGCAATAATTAATAGCTTACCAACCAAAACAAGTCCATGACCAGACGGATTCACAGCCGAAGTCTACCAGAGGTACGAGGAGGAGTTGGTACCATTCCTTCTGAAACTATTCCAATCAATAGAAAAAGAGGGAATCCTCCCTAACTCATTTTATGAGGCCAGCATCATCCTGATACCAAAGCCTGGCAGAGACACAACCAAAAAAGATAATTTTAGACCAATATCCCTGATGAACATCGATGCAAAAATCCTCAATAAAATACTGGAAAACCGAATCCAGCAACACATCAAAAAGCTTACCCAGCATTATCAAGTGGGCTTCATCCCTGGGATGCAAGGCTGGTTCAACATACGCAAATCAATAATCATAATCCAGCATATAAACAGAACCAATGACAAAAACCGCATGATTATCACAATAGATGCAGAAAAGGCCTTTGAGAAAATTCAACAGCCCTTCATGCAAAAACTCTTAATAAATTAGGTATTGATGGGACGTATCTCAAAATAATAAGAGCTATTTATGACAAACCCACAGCCAATATCATACTGAATGGGCAAAAACTGGAAGCATTCCCTTTGAAAACTGGCACAAGACAGGGATGTCCTCTCTCACCACTCCTATTCAACATAGTGTTGGAAGTTCTGGCCAGGGCAATCAGGCAGGAGAAGGAAATAAAGGGTATTCAATTAGGAAAAGAGGAAGTCAAATTGTCCCTGTTTGCAGATGACATGATTGTATATCTAGAAAACCCCATCATCTCAGCCCAAAATCTCCTTAAGCTGATAAGCAACTTCAGCAAAGTCTCAGGATACAAAATCAATGTGCAAAAATCACAAGCATTCTTATACTCCAATAACAGACAAACAGAGAGCCAAATCATGAGTGAACTCCCATTCACAATTGCTTCAAAGAGAATAAAATACCTAGCAATCCAACTTACAAGGGATGTGAAGGACCTCTTCAAGGAGAACTACAAACCACTGCTCAATGAAATAAAAGAGGATACGAACAAATGGAAGAACATTCCATGCTCATGGGTAGGAAGAATCAATATCATGAAAATGGATATACTGCCCAAGGTAATTTATAGATTCAATGCCATCCCCATCAAGCTACCAATGACTTTCTTCACAGAATTGGAAAAAACTACTTTAAAGTTCATATGGAACCAAAAAAGAGCCCGCATTGCCAAGACAATCCTAAGCCAAAAGAACAAAGCCGGAGGCATCACACTACCTGACTTCAAACTATACTACAAGGCTACAGTAACCAAAACAGCATGGTACTGGTACCAAAACAGCGATATAGACCATTGGAACAGAACAGAGCCCTCAGAAATAATGCCACACATCTACAACTATCTGATCTTTGACAAATCTGACGAAAGCAGGAAATGGGGAAAGGATTTCCTATTTAATAAATGGTGCTGGGAAAACTGGCTAGCCGTATGTAGAAAGCTGAAACTGGATCTCTTCCTTACACCTTGTAGAAAAATTAATTCAAGATGGATTAAAAACTTAAATGTTAGACCTAAAACCATAAAAACCCTAGAAGAAAACCTAGGCAATACCATTCAGGACATAGGCATGGGAAAGTACTTCATGTCTAAAACACCAAAAGCAATGGCAACAAAAGCCAAAATTGACAAATGGGATCTAATTAAACTAAAGAGCTTCTGCACAGCAAAAGAAACTACCGTCAGAGTGAATAGGCAACCTACAGAATGGGAGAACATTTTTGCAATCTACTTATCTGACAAAGGGCTAATATCCAGAATCTACAAAGAACTCAAACAAATTTACAAGAACAAAACAACCCCATCAACAAGTGGACAAAGGATATGAACAGACACTCCTCAAAAGAAGACATTTATGCAGCCAAAAGACACATGAAAAAATGCTTATCATAGGCTGGGCGCGGTGGCTCATGCCTGTAATCCCAGCACTTTGGGAGGCGGAGGCGGGCGGATCACGAGGTCAGGAGATTGAGACCATCCTGGCTAACACGGTGAAACCCTGTCTCCACTCAAAATACAAAAAAAAAATTAGCTAGGCTTGGAGGCAGGCACCTGTAGTCCTAGCTACTCAGGAGGCTGAGGCAGGAGAATGGCGTGAACCCATGAGGCGGAGCTTGCAGTGAGCCAAGATTGCACCACTGCACTCCAGCCTGGGCGACAGAGCGAGGCTCTGCTCATCATCACTGCTCATCATCACTGGCCATCAGAGAAATGCAAATCAAAACCACAACGAGATACCATCTCACACCAGTTAGAATGGCGATCATTAAAAAGTCAGGAAACAACAGGTGCTGGAGAGGATGTGGAGAAATAGGAACATTTTTACACAGTTGGTGGGACTGTAAACTAGTTCAACCATTGTGGAAGTCAGTGTGGCGATTCCTCAGGGATCTAGAACTAGAAATACCATTTGACCCAGCCATCCCATTACTAGGTATATCCCCAAAGGATTATAAATCATGCTGCTATAAAGACACATGCACACGTATGTTTATTGCGGCACTATTCACAATAGCAAAGACTTAGAACCAACCCAAATGTCCATCAATGATAGACTGGATTAAGAAAATGTGGCACATATATACCATGGAATACTATGCAGCGATAAAAAAGGATGAGTTCATGTCCTTTGTAGGGACATGGATGAAGCTGGAAACCATCACTCTCAGCAAACTATCACAAGGACAAAAAACCAAACACCACATGTTCTCACTCATAGGTGTGAATTAAACAATGAGAACACTTGGACACAGGAAGGGGAACATCACACACTGGGGCCTGTTGTGGGGTGGGGGGAGGAGGGAGGGATAGCATTAGGAGATATACCTAATGTAAATGACGAGTTAATGGGTGCAACACACCAACATGGCACACGTATACATATGTAACAAACCTGCACGTTGCGCACATGTACCCTAAAACTTAAAGTATAATTAAAAAAAAACAGAAAAAAGAACAAAAAACCAAAATGAAGCATGGAGAGAAAAAAGACTGAAAGATAATGAGCAGACCATCAGTGAGTTGTGGGACAACTTCAAACATTTTAATATATGTATAACTGGAGTCTCTGAAAAGGAGGAAGGGAGAAAATGTATTTGAAAAAAAAATGTGGCCAAAATTTCCAAATTTGATGAAAAGTATAAACCCATAGATCCAAGAGCTCAAAGAATACCTAGCACAAATAGTATGAAGAAAACTACACACTATAATAAAATTCCTTAGAACCAGTGATAAAAAGTAAATTAAAAGCAGCCAAAGGGAAAAAGGATTTATTATGCTGAGAGGAACAAAGATAACAATGACAACAGATCTTTTTTTTCGTTTTTGTTTTTGTTTTTTGTTTTGTTTTTGAGACAGAGTCTTGCTCTGTTGCCCAGGCTGGAGTGCAGTCGCATAAGCTCAGCTCACGGCACCCTCCACCTCCCGAGTTCAAGCAATTCTGCTGCCTCAGCCACCCAAGTAGCTGGGACTACAGGTGTGTGCCACCACGCCCAGCCAATTTTTTGTATTCTTAGTAGAGACAGGGTTTCACCATGTTAGCCAGGATGGTCTTGATCTCCTGACCTCGTGATCCACCTGTCTCATCCTCCCAAAGTGCTGGGATTACAGGTATGAGCCACCATGCCTGGCCAGCAGATCTTATTAGAAACAATATAACTGAAAAGACAGGGAAACATCTTTAAATTACCAAAACCAAAAAAATTGTCAACTTAAAATTCTATATACAACAATATCTTTCAAAAACAAAGGCAAGATAAGGACTTTTTCAGACATACGAAAGGTAGAAGAATTAATCACTAGATATCCTGCACTACAAGAAGTGTTAAAGAAAATTGGTCAGGAAGAAAAAAAATACCAGATACAAATCTGTATCCACATAAAAGAATGAAGAATGCTGGACATCGTCATTATGTGGTTAAATGTAAAATATATTTTTCCAATATTTTAAATCATTTAAAGTATGGTTCATTGTTTAAGGAAAAATTGGTAACAATATAATGTGGGGCTTCTAATATATATAGAAGTAATATACATAACAATAATAGCACCAAGGATAGGAGTGTAGAAATAGAAGTATATTGTTATAAGATTCTTGTGCATAGAGTGGTGTAATATCAGTTAAATGTAGACTGTATTAAGTTAAAGATTTATTCCATAAACCTTAAAGCAAACATTTAAAAAATTGCCAAAAACAAAGGGTGTAGCTAATAAGCCAACAAAGGAGACAAAAGAGGATCCTAAAAAAGAATTAATTAATACAAAAGAAGGCAAACAAAGAGGGCAAAAGGAACAAAGAACAGATAGAACAAACAAAATAAATAGCAAGATGATGGATGTAAACCTAACGCATTAAATATAAATGGTTTAAACAACCTTAATTAAAAGACATGGGCTGTCATATTAGTTGAAAGGGCAATAACTAACTATATGTTGCCTACAAGAGACCCTAACTATATGCTGCCTACAAAATTGTATATTTTAAATATACAATTATGTTAAAGGTAAAGGAGAGAAAAAAGCACACTAACATTAGTCAAAAGAAAGCTGAAGTAGCTCATATTAATATTAGATGAAGTAGATTTCAAATTAACATATTTTTACCAGGTATAAAGAAGTTCATTTCATAATGTTAATGGAATCAATTCATCAACAGAACATAAATCATAAATATGTATTGACCTAATAAGAGATTTTCAAAGTACATGAAACGAAAACTCATTGAACTGCAAGGAGAAATAGGTAAATATACAGTTAGAGTAGAGATTTCAGTACCTCTCTCTCAATAATCAATAGAACAAGTAGTCTTAAAATTATTAAGGATATTGAATCATATTTCTTATAAAAATAAAAATAAACAATTATTAAGTATAGAAAAGACTTGAATGGCATTATTAATCAATTTGACCTAACTGACATTTACAGAATACGGCATCTAAAGGTGGCAGAATACACCTATTTTTCAAGAGCACATGAAACAGTTGCAAAGACAGGAGATATTGTAGGTCATAAAACAAGTCAATAAATTTAAATGGATTCAAATAATGTATGTGTTCTGACCACAATAGAATTAAATGATAAATTTCCTTCTAAGCATGGTATTAGCTTAACCTCACAAATTTGATATCTTAATTTGCATTCACTGAATAAAAGAAACATATTTGGAAACAATAGCAGGAATATATGTGAAAAATTATTCTATTTGGAAGTAAAATATTATACATAAAAGTAACCGATTTCAAAGAATAAATCAAGATGGAAATTAAAAATTACTTTGAACTGAATAAAATTGAAACACAACATTTCAACATTTATGAGATGCACTTAAAGCAGTGCTTACAAGGAAATTTATTGCACTAAATAAATACTATATGAGAAAAGAAGAAAGTTTTTAAATAATGACTCAAACTTACAACTTAAGGTAAAGAAGTTAGAAAAATAATAGCACATGAAACCCAAGCAAGCAGAAGATAGGAGGTATAAAGTGCAGTGGCTAATGAAATAAAAATTAGAAAAGCAATAGAGTAAATAAATGAAACCAAAAGCTGGTGAATGAAATGGATGAACTTATAGCCAGACTAATAAGAAAAAAAAGAGAAGATGAAAATTACCAATCACAGAAATGAGAGAGGGGACATCACTACAAATCTTGTAGACATTAAAGGGATAATAAATGAATATTATGAACAAGTTTATGCCAATAAATTTGAGAATGTAGATAAAATGGACAAATGTATTGAAAGTAAAAAACTAGGAAAGCTCACTCAAAGGAAATAGATAACCTGAATGTTCTTATATCCAAGAAATTGAATTTAAGGTTAAAATCCTTTACACAAAGAAAATTCCATGCCAAATGGCTTTGTTGGTGAATACTATCTCACATGTAAGGAAGAAGTTATATCAGTTTTACAAAAACTCTTCCAGGTAATCGAAGAGGGAATATACCTCAGTTTACTCAATATAGGGAGCATTATTATCCCGATTCCAAAACCAAATACATAACAAGAAAAGAAAACTATACACCAACATCCCCAATGAGTACAGACACAAAATTTTTAAACAACATTATAGCCAACTGAACCTAGCAATATACAAAACTGATAAATACATCATGGTAAGAGCAGTAAGGTTAAAAAATGACATAAAATGAATGCAGATTAGAAATAAATAAATAAAGTTGTCTATTCACAGACAACATTATTGTCTATGGAGAAAATTCCAAAGTATCTCCAGAAAGTTATTAGAACACATCAATTTAGTAATTTCTCAGGATATGAGGTCAATATACAAAATCAATTCTATTTCCATAAACTAGCAATGAACAATTAGGGATTGAAATTTCAAAAAACTGTTAGAAGTAGAACCAAAAGCCATGAAGAACTTAGGTGTGAATCTGATAAGAATTCTGCAAAATTTGTAAGCTGAAATTTATACAACAGTGATAAACAAAATAAAAGAAGTCCTAAGTAAATGGAGAGCTACGGGGTCGTTATGCACAGGAGGAAGCAATATTTTTAGATGTCAGTTCTCCCTAAATGCATCTATTGATTTAATGGAATTCGAATTAAAATCTTAGGAGGACTTATTTTGTTGTTAGAAATTGACAAATTGATCCTAAACTTGAATGGAAAAGCAAAGGTACTAGAATAAGCAAAATAATTTTGAAAAAGGTCAAGTTGGAGGACTTACACTACTTCATTTTAAGGCTTACTGTAACACCATAGTAATCAAGACAGTGTGGTATTCATGGAAGGATAGACATATACATCAGTGGAACAGAATAGAGGGTCCAGAAATAGACCTGTACATAGACAATCAATTAATTTTCTACGATGGTCCAAAGGCAATTTTATGAGGAGAGGATCATCTTTTCAAGAAATGTTGCTGGAGTTTTTGAAATTATCTATATGCAAAGAAATGAATCTTGATCCATACTTCAAACAATATACAAGAATTAACTTGGAATAGGCCGGTGCGGTGGCTCACGCCTGTAATCCCAGCACTTTGGGAGGCTGAGGTGGGCAGATCACGAGGTCAGGAGATCGAGACCATCCTGGCTAACATGATGAAACCCCGTCTCTACTAAAAATACAAAAAATTAGCCAGGCGTGGTTGCGGGTGCCTGTAGTCCCAGCTACTCGGGAGGCTGAGACAGGAGAATGGTGTGAACCCGGGAGGCAGAGCTTGCAGTGAGCCGAGATCGCGCCACTGCACTCCAGCCTGGGCAACAGAGCGAGACTCCATCTCAAACAAAACAAAACAAAACAAAAACAAAAAAAAGAATTAACTTGGAATGGATGATAGACCTGAATGTAAAGCCAACTACAAAGCTTTGAGAAGAAAATATAGAAAAAAATCTTTGTGATATGAGGTTGGTCAAAGATTTCTAGATATGATACAAGAAGCAGTATCTATAAAAGCATGATACATTTGAACCTCATCAAAATTAAGAATGTTTTCTCTTCAAAAGGCAATGTTACGAGACTGGAAAGACAAGACACAGACTGGGAAGAAGTATTTACAAAGCACACATCTAATATCTTAAATATTTAAAGAACTCTCAAAACTCAATAATAAGAAAACAAACAACCCAAAAAATATATAAATAGCAAATAAGCGCATGAAAAAATGCAAATTAAAATGGGTTAAAATGCAAGTCCACTACACATCCATTAGAGTGGCTATAAAAAATCTGATTATAGCAATTGCTAGCAAGGATGCCAAACAACTGGACTCCTCATACATTGTTGATAGAAATGAAAAATAATATAGATACTTTGGAAAACAGTTTGGCAGTTTCTAATAAAGTTGAACATATTTTTACTCTACAATCCAGGACACCCGCTCCCAGGTATTTACCAAAATGAAGTGAAAACTTACATTCACCCCAAAACCTGTGTGTGATTGTCCGTGGTGGCTTTATTCTTAATTGCCCCAAACTGGAAACAAACCCAGATGTCTTTCAGTTAGTGAATAGCTAAACAAACTGTGTCTAGCCACAGAATGGAGTACTGCAAAGGATTATAAAGGAAAGAAACTACTGATACAGGTAATGACATGGATGCATCTCGGATTCATTATGCCAAGGGAAAGAAACAAGACTTAAAAAGGTACATACTGGTTACATACTGTATGATTCCAATTATATGACATAAAGGCAAAATTATAGACACAGAAAACAGGTTAGTATTTTCCAGGGATTGGGAGTTGAAGGAGGGCTTGACAACACAGAATTTGGGGGGATATGCAACTGTTCCCTATCTTAATTGTGGCGGTTGCCACACAACTCTTCAGGTTTGTCAAAGCTTGAATAGCTGTATACTTAAAAGGTTGAGTTTTACTGTATGCAAATCATGATAATAAATTTTAAAAAATCTATTAGCACTGATCATGTGTCTCAAAGACTGGTGTGGAAAAGGCAATTAATATCCAAAAAATGATTGATTAAATTCCATTTCTATTTAGACCTTAGAAACATCCTTTTCTATAGTTTATTCTCACTGGAAAGGAAAACAAATTCAGACACTAGATTCATAAATGTCTATTTTTAAACACAAGGTAAGTTATATAATTTCCTACTTTCAATCGAGAAATCTTTCAATTTGAATGTTTTAATATAGTTGCAAGAAAATAAATGTTCAGGAGGCATTTCTTCAGGTTCAAATAGCCATCTAGCAAAGCATTGCTGAGCACATTCCAGAAGCCAGAGCTTGGTCTTTAAGGGTTTCTTTTTCTTTTCTTTTTGACATGGAGTCTCGCTCTGTCACTCAGGCTGGAGTGCATTGACGCGATCTTGGGTCACTGCAACTTCCGCCTCCCGGGTTTAAGCAATTCTTGTGCCTCAGCCTCCCGAGTAGCTTGGATTACAGGCACCCACGACCATGCCCTGCTAATTTTTGTATTTTTTGTAGATCTGAAATTTTACCATGTTGGCCAGGCTGATCTCAAACTCCTGACCTCAAGATATCTGCCCTCCTTGGCCTCCCAAAGTGCTGGGATTACTGGCGCAAGCCACCTCGCCCAGCCCCTTTAAAGGTTTCTTGACTCCCCCTTTTTTTTTTCCTCTTTTGTGCTGCCCTTGCTTTATTGTTGTTGCTGTTATTTTAGCAATGTAGACCCTGGGTAGCATGCCAAGCACATTACGTGCACTATCTCAGTATTTAATCCTCACAATAGCCTTATGAAGTTGTTATCTAAGAGGAAACTGAAGCCTAGCAAGGTTTGGTAACAAGGTCACAGCCACTAGGCTCAGAGATAAGGATTCCCATTCAGCTCTGGCTTGTAATTTTGTTTCTCTGTATGGACTACTTATAATATTTTGCATAGATTTTACATTCATTTAATTGATTCATTCAACATTTGTTGAATGCTTACTATTATCTTCAAAGCTGGCAATAATTTCTCTTCATATTTTCACAAGAAAGTGAAATAAAATTTAGCCAGGACAGGAAGGAATGTGCCTGTCTCTTGCTGTGGTCAGGAGTTCCACAGTTCTTCAGGTGTCTGCCTGTAGCTGTGCAAAGGGTGAAGGCATATGCTGGCTGGATATGCTATCTCCTGGGGGCTTTCTTGAGCCACAACATCAAATATTCTGCAATGGATGTGAGGTTTTCTCTATAGGAGGTGCTTCACCCTGGCCCAGCCCTCTTGCCTAGTGGCTTGTGACCCAATGGACGAAAGGCCAAGGTGAATACTTATTGTTATGGCCTGAATGTTTGTGTCTCCCTAAATTCATATGTTGAAGCCCCTGACCTCCAATGAGATAGTGTTTGCAGGTGGGGCCTTTGGGAGGTGTTTAGGTTCAGATGAAACCATCAGGGTGGAGTCTCTGTGATGGGATCAGTATCCTTATAAAAATAAGGAAAACCGGAGCACTAGAGTGCCCTCTGTCTCTCTTTCTCTCATTCAACAAACATCTGTTGTTTCAGCCACTCAGTCTATAGTATTTTGTTGTAGCAAACTGTAGCTGACTAAGAGATCACCTTCTTTACACTCCTCAAGCACAGGCCTTTGCTGTGGCCTGAGACATCAGTGTGACCCATTGGGTCCACCCATAGAAAGGCAGACAATCATGAGAAAAACAATACACATATGGGACCATAAGCTACACAAAGAAATGAGATGTACAGAAATGTCCTTACCAAAGTGCTGAAACTATGTAGGAAATTAGTTATCAGCTTAATGAGAGAATTTATTGAGCATGTACTATTGCCAACCACTTTTCATGTAGGTTCTCATTTTCACATCTAAATGAGGAAGGTATTATTATCTTCATCACTCAGATTATAGGTAAGAATACTGAAGCGAGGTAATTTGCCCAAGATTACATGGTCGTTAAGAGTTGGAACTGGCATTGCAATCAGGCCTAACTTAAGAATTTGAGTCCTTAAGCCTGAAGGCAGAGTATAACAGGTCAGCACTTTAGAATATAAAATCAAGTCAGTAAACACTCCCTGAAATAAAGAGGCCCACTGGTGATCTGAGAAACACAAAAGACAGAAATGCTAACCAACATGTTCTGGAGGCTTACCATCCACCAGGCACATCTTAAGTGCTTTCCACATACTAGCTCACCTCAGTGCAGTCTTTGGAAGGTGGGTGTGTTAGCATCATGAGGAAGATAGTACCAAAGAATAGGGTTACCAGGTAAAATACAGGATACCCAGTTAGATTTAAATTTCAGATAGGCAATGAATATTGTTTTAGCATAAGTACATCCCTAATATTGTTTGCAGATTAGTTAGTTATCTGAAATTCAAATAGAACTGGGTGCCCTGTATTATTATTTGCTAAATCTGGCAACCCTGCAGAGGGAGTAAGTCTCAGAACTGAAATAGAATAAAGCTGGGAATGGAAGCCAGGAAATCTGACTCTGGAGTCTGCAATCTTACTGTAAAACCATGCTGCCTCTCAGAAGGGAGCTCAGGTGTCATGGAACCAACCCCAGGCAGAGCAGGCACCCAGCTAATGGTGGAAGCAAGAATTCCAGGGGTGGGCTTTGGGCATCCTGACTTTCCTAATGCAGGAGGCTTTACCATTATAAGCTGTCAGCAAATCAGCTGGTCTGTTTCTTTAAAGGAAGATAATACACTTCCTGCCCCACAAGAGACCAGGGACTTCTCTGTAACTTTATCTCCTAAGAAACTCTAGAGGTGCCTATTCCATGTCACCACCTTTGTTTAAAAGCTTGGTGCACAGTGCT
Organism: Homo sapiens; assembly: GCF_000001405.40. Classification (NCBI taxonomy): domain Eukaryota; kingdom Metazoa; phylum Chordata; class Mammalia; order Primates; family Hominidae; genus Homo; species Homo sapiens. Next base: position 103,599,133 of record NC_000012.12, on the reverse strand, counting down.
AGGCAGAAAATATGTCCCAATATTCCAGGTATTTTGGAAAGCAGGAGAGAGTAATGAACTAGAACTGGGGTCTGCAGTGAGACAGTCCCTGTTTCCTGGTGTGTGGCTCCACACTTGTTAGCTGGTTCTCTTTGGGCAGGCTGCAAAACTCCTCAAAGTCCCAGTGTCCTCACCTGGGCTCACAGGTACAATTGTTTTTACTCCTCTGCTCCCATGTCAATTTCCCTCATTAGTCTGTGAGCTCCTTGGGGATAGGGACTTATCATACATGTGATTGGGAATGGGGTCTATCATATATCTGATTGTACGCAGCATATAGTAGGTGCTTAATAAATGCTTGATTTTTTATGAGCTGGCCAACGCTGGAAGGAACTTGGGAGAAAAGGTAGCAGGAATGTGGGGGTATGAGGAATCCTCATTTTATGGCCTGGATAGATTGTTTTAACAATTTATGAAAACAGCTCATTTGGTTTTTAAACAAAATTTTTAACGAAAAAGTGTAATTTATTTCCTGCTTTTCATATCATCTTCTATCATCTCAGGCCCCCATTAGAGAAAACTATGGTAAAATTGACATTCTTAGCAATGATGCTTGAAAGACATATTATATAATTTGCTATAAGGGCAGGTTTCCAATGCATTGTGATGCTCAAGAAGCTGATAAGACTATTCTAGGTCATTATCACATTTCCTTGGGTCACCACTACTCTGGTGGTCTCTTGCATCCTGACTTTCCTAATGCAGGAGGCTTTACCATTATAAGCTGTCAGCAAATCAGCTGGTCTATTTCTTTAAAGGAAGATAATACACTTCCTGCCCCACAAGAGACCAGGGACTTCTCTGTAACTTTATCTCCTAAGAAACTCTAGAGGTGCCTATTCCATGTCACCACCTTTGTTTAAAAGCTTGGTGAACAGTGCTAGGCAGAAAATATGTCCCAATATTCCATTTATAGCTCTTGTTGGATTTGTCTGCCTGGGAAACTGAAGTGAAATATGTTCTTTAAGTGAACTCCGCATTATTTGTCACTCAGAGCAAAAAAGGAAATGCCTAAAAGGATGGTTTCAAATCCTTGTGGTCTATTATTTGTAACCTGGGTAGTGAATGGCAAGAAAAATGCAGTGAGAAAGAAAAAGAGGCCTGGAAATGCAAATAACATGATATAAAAAATAAATTTAGATAATTTGATGACATTGACCTAAAAAAGAAAAATCAAGACTATTTCTTTTTGAAATAATCAGATTGTTTTGTCTACAACTGAGTTTGGGTGTAACTCCTTTGCACATGTTCATTTTCCATTACTTTGAGTTGTTACACAAATCCATTAACGTTCATGGCAGAATAAAAAAAAAAGTAAGATGTTCAAATTAAAAAATCGATTTCATCCCAAATAGAATATCGGCTGTTCAGACATGATTAAGTTTCAAAGTAGAAATGTATTTTTGTGCTAATGAGGAAAGATCTCCATGTGCACATTTGATAAAGTAGTATAAATTTTAATTAGGGAGAAGCAGGTTACATTCAGGTAGAAATACCTTCCTTATGTCAAGATAATATTATTTTTTTCCCCAAGTGAGAATTCATGCTTTATTCTTAATTTTAGAAGATGATAGTAATTTTTTTCATTGCGCTTCTTTACCTTCTCCAAGTTTTCAGCGTTGACCATAGGGTGATTTCCCAATTTGAGTGAGATATATTAATTTTTGAAATAACCCAGAAGTGTTACATATGAATGTATTTGTCAATGCATTAAAAAGGAAGTGGATGTTCCATTTGCTTTGGAAACAAGGCCATTCTGGAGCTTGGGAATGTGCTTCCTCAGAAAGAAGGATAGACCCACGTCAGCAGCTCTGAAATGGCCTTATCCTTACGGAAATGTAAAGTGATAGTCAAGGTTTTGCTTGTCATCACCACAAAATGTGAGAGGTAAAATATACTGCCAAGTAGAGGTTTTATCTTTTTCCCTAGCCAAAGGAAGGAAGCCTTTCGAGACATCTAGTGTGTTTGGAAGATGAAGATAAAGAGGAGTACCGTTTTGCCCCAGTGAAAGGACAGTAGAAATAATGTCCAGGCCTCAGTTTTCATGTTTTGCTTCCCTGGCTTTGAGGCCTGTTTGAAGGAAATGTTTGAACATTCAAAGAGCCCTTTTGGACTCTTTTTTTTTTTTTTTTTTTTTTTTTTGAGATAGGGTCTCACTCTATTACCCAGGCTGGAGTGCAGTGGCATGATCTTGGCTCATTGCAACCTCTGCCTCCCAAGTTATTCTCCAGCCTCAGTCTCCCAAGTAGCTGGGATTAGAGGCACATGCCACCATGCCCAGCTACCTTTTTGGACTCTTTTGGTTGTAGATGTGGACCTTGCCTCATTGGTCTGCACATAGCACAGTGTGATGGCATAAACCTGCTAAAAGATCTTGAATCCTTTTTGCCTGCTCATGCTTTAAGAGTTACCCACTGTTAAAAAAGGGTTCAGAGGAGTGTCATTTTATTCATCTTTCATTATCAGAGGTCTATTTTGACTTTGAGTCACCCATTCATTTATTCATTAAACACTTACAAAATTCCTTCTTTTTGTCATAGACTTTGCCAAGTCTTATCACCTAGGTTAGTGTTTTAAAATCTCAACTACAGTTTTGTAAAGTAGGACTTTTAGCCCCCATTTGACAGATGAGGAGAATAAGGAGTAGGCAGAAAGTCACTTGCCCCAACCAGTAAATGGTGGGATGAAGTTCTAGCTGCTGGCCCAGTGTTCTTTTGCCCTCCTGGCTGTTTTCTGACATTCATATGTCGGACATGCTGACTTTTGTACTGCATCTTTGACAAAGCCGTTCCTTGTCTTCAATGTTTCTGATTAGTAACTTAGCATCAGATTTGTTTTTGTGGGTTAGAAAGAGAAAAGCAAATCTAAAAGTTCTTTCTATTGTATCAAAATGTCTATGAGAACTAGACATGATCATGACCACATTTGGCACAAAAAATGTTCTTAAAATCTGGAAGTCGGAGTTAATTGCTTTAAAAGACACTGAATTTGATTAACAGAGTTAATTGCTTTAAAAGACACCTGATTCTTATTTGCTAAACTCTTAGAAACATGCTGTGCCAACATGCTGAGGTAAAACTGAGCATAGAGCAGCTAGTAGACAGAAGCGGCAGGATCTCTTGAACCCCAAACCTTGACCTTTCCAGGGCAAGGAGTCTAATCCAGGCATTTCCTGGGAAGGCAGAAAGGACCTGCCAATCAAAAAAGACATTACCAACACATTTTGAGGCCCTGCTTTTTGAACAGGTTTGCTCTGGACAGTAGGACAGAGCAGAAAGAGGTAGGCTTTGGTGCCAGGCAACTTTGAACTTGAATTTGCTTTATCACTTACCAGTCCAAAGGAAACTGGCAAAATATAATTTTAAAATCTGATTTCTCATAGGCAAAATGGGGATAAAAATGTCTAACTCAAAGATTTGTTTTAAAAATTACATCTGGTAATATAAGCTGAGTACCTCTCTGGTACCTAATGTCAGCAATATTGAGTAAATACAAGCATTTATTCATTTAATCGTTAGTTAAAAACACAAATAAACAAACAAAAAACCCAAAAGACATTATACATACAGTATGGATTCAACTATTTACAAGTTATATGGAAAAAAACCCAAGACTGAAACATGCCAAAATATTTAAGGTTTCCTATATGCGACAGAATACAAATTGATATTTTTTCTTTCTTTATACCTTTGTAAACTTTACAAGTGTATATAATTTGCTTGTATTACTTTAATCAGAAAAAAAAACAAAGCAAAAGAGAACCAATCTCTCCTTTTATGTGGATCCTAAGGAGATGTTTTCATTACATCTAAGAAGATGGGGAATGAATTGCAAATTCATAAATTAAAATACCTGATTTTTTCCTACCAAAAAAAGAAGACTTTACATAATTTCCACAGGTAGAAATGACTCAGTCACTATTTGAGTGTTAGTATCTATACTAAGGATAAAAGTTCAATTTCAGCTATCAAATGCTATGCTTGATTGCAGAAATCTAACTATACCATTGATTCAGACTTTGCTAGTAGTTTTGCTTACAGTAAAACCTGGTCAGAATTAATTTTTATGTATATGTGTATTTGCATCTCTACACAATTAACTTTACACAGTTTCTTTACCCTGATGTGTCTTAAATCTACCACTTGAAAGTTTGATATTCCATCCTAAGACAAATTTTTAGAATATTTAATTATTATTTTGGTTGCCAAACAATAACTACAGTCTTTGAGACATTGTAACAAAATTTCTTCTTAAAGAAAATTGTATTTGGGGGTCCTAATAGCCCAGGTTTTGACTTCCTTTCTTTTGCAAATATCTTTTAAAATAAAAATGGGTATCCTTTCAATTGTCCCTTTTTCTGGCTTATAAGGGAATTCTTTTAAAGAGAGATCTCTATCAGCAGTAAAGCAGATTGCTTTGTGAAAGCTAACAGGGCAAGAAAGATTTTCTACATATAGACTAACACAGAAATTTCTACAAACGGATGTTAACATTCTTCTTTTTATTGGGCTTCCTTCATCTCAATTTTCTACCAAATGAGATACCAAGAAGCAAGTCTCAAAGTCCAAGCATTGTGCCACTTACCTATACAGTCTGGGCCCCAGCGGCCAGGACAACACCGAGGTTGGAGATAGTCCTTCCTACAAATATGGCGGCATCCGGGGAGAGACAGAGAGTATGTTCTGACCTCAAAGGTGTACCTTGGAGGGTAAAGAGAGGACATTAACCCACGATAAGAGCAATGCAGTTACTCTAGGTGGTAGAATTGCCTTAGCTTTCAATTTAGGTCTTAATATTTATCTACAGTTAAAAATATCTAGATGGAACACATTTGGCTTTCTAGGTAGCATAAAACTTAATTATGATTATTTTTAATTGTAAGAACTGGATGAAAAAATCAGAGAACAATGAACATACGGGGGAAATATCTAAAGTGATATCAGAAGTGAAGTTAGTAGATGAAATAAATATTAAGGCTTAGGCACATGCTAGAAGTATACCTAAAACTTATCACTGAGTATCCTAGCAGTCAATGCAGGAAGGGAGAGATCATGAGTTACAAAATGCACAGTATGTGTGGATTTAAAGCAAACCCATTGCTCAGGCTTAGCATATTTATTGGAGATATTGCAGATGTAGAAATGCCTGTGGCAAAGGCAGTATAATGCAGCAAGGAACATTTCCCACAATATCCTTGTAGGAGATAAAATGATGAGTTCCTTAGAAGAGTTTCTAGTGCCAGCTGAGATATAGTTCTGGAATAACAATTCTATGGAGGTTAAACACTATTGTCTATTTAAAGGGATCTCTGCAGGCATGGCTTATTCTAGGATTAGACTTAGTGTATCTAGAGACAATCCTTCATAAATGTTGTTTCTTTCCATTTCTTTCAACTGGGCTGCTGTTAAGAATAACATGATGATGAATTCAAGGTTGTCCTCTCAAACCCATCCTTGAAATACAGCTGATTAATAGCACAGTCACATACTTTACGAACAGTCAAGTTGGGGATAGAGTTGACTTTTTTTGAATGGTTGAGAATACTGGCAGGGACACTTCTTCACGAAGGTGGGCAGAAGGAGAGTCCAAGGGCAGGACCAAATATCCCTTCAGGAACTAATTTTGAAAGAATACAAGTGGCCAATAGGTGTATAAAAAGGTGCTCAACATCACTAAACACCAGGGAAAGGCAAATCAAAACCACAATGGGATACGTCCTCACAACTATTACGATGGTTATTATAAAAAGCATGAAACAAAAGGCAACAAGTATTGGCAAGGATGTGGAGAAAAGGGAACAACTGTACACTGTTGGTGAGAATGTAAATTGGTATAACTGCTGTAGAAAAAAGTATGGAGGTCCTTCAAAAATTAAAAATAAAACTACCATATGATCCATTAATCCTACTTCTGGTTATATATCCAAAAAAATTGAAATTAGGATCTTAAAGAGATCTCTTCACTCTCATGTTCACTGCAGCATTATTCACAATAGCCAAGACATGGAAGCAACATAAACATCCATCAATGGATGAATGGATAAAGAAAATGTGGTATATACATACACTGAAATATTACTCAGCCCTCAACAAGAAGGAAATCTTGTAACTTGCGACAACATGGATGAACCTAGAGGATATCATGCTAAGTGAGATAAGCTAGACACAGAAGAACAGATACTATATGATCCCACTTATATGAGGAATATAAATAGAGTGGAATGGTGGTTGTTAAGGGTTGGAAGGATGAGAAAATGGGAAGGTATTGTTTGCAGGGTACAAAGTTTTGGTTATGAAAGATGAAAACATTCTAGAGATTTAGTGCCTAAACAATAACATAATATATGCTTAAACATTGCAAAGACAGGAGATCTTATGTTAAGCGTTCTTATCACAAAAAAGAGGGGGGAGAAAACTTTTGAAGATGATGAGTATGTTTATGACACTGATTGTGGTGTTGGTTTCATGGATTGTACTTATCTTCAAACTCATCAAGTTGTGTACATCAAGAATGTCCAGGTTTTTGTATGTCAGTAATATCTCAATAAAGTGATTTTCAAACAGAACGAAAGAACATAAAACAAAAGAACCAATCTTGAGTTTGTTCCAGCATAGATGAATGATAGACCAAAGTCATTAAATCTAAAACATTTCTGAATGCAAAAGTTTTATCCTGTGTGTGTGTGTATGTGTGTGTGTGCTTGTGTGTTTGTGTATTGGAACATAACCAAGTGTCCACCTTGGCAATGAACAAAAAAGTAGCCAGTACAAAAAAGTTTTCAGCTTTGGCAATTGAGTGTTAACTGCTGCATATGCTTGCTAATTTTTTTTTCTTTTCTTTTTTCAGAAAGAATCAGAAGCAATCAAGGTGTTACAAGTCCTGATTATGCAGAGACATTAATCACGTATCATACGAACTTCAATCATCGTATTAGAATCTAACCTCCAAAAGGAGGAACAGGTAAAAGTTATCCCATCTGATGATACCCACTGCTTGCTAATTCTAGGTTAGTTAATGCTGGGAAACTTTTATTTAAAATGATGATTTTGATTTTAGAATATAGTGTGGTCACATTAAGCAAATGTGAATTTAAAATAGTGTGATATAATAGTGTTAAGATTTCATTTCATGCAAAATAAAAAAAAAAATCCTTCCATCCGGAATTAAAAGCAAACTCATTGAGTACTATCTAATTTCTAAAGAAACAGGCTGCGCAAATACAAATTGCATTTGCAGTTGAGCCCCATGGCTGCACCCATTAGCTAGTGAGCAGAACCACTTGTCATCCTTTGCCAGAATTAGCCTTGAGTTATCAGAGTTTTGAATCCCAAGAGGTCTTCAAGAATGCAAAGTTTACATAAAATGCAACCATGCTGCAATTCATCTTTCCCCCTTCTTCGACTTCTAATTAGTATCAAGGTCCATAGCTGAAGAGATGACTATCACACTCAAGGCTTTTAACACATTCAAGACTAGAATTCTTTCCAAATTAAATAAAACCCAGATTTTCAAAATACAGGCAAAATGAAAAGAGAATGTTTATGTGCAATACAAAATAAGTCAATTTTGTATTAAAATGTGAATGAATAACAATATATATTTTATTTTTTGAGATATAGTTTCACTCTGTCACCCAGGCTGGAGTGCAGTGGCTTGATCTCGGCTCACTGCAACTTCCTCCTCCTGGGTTCAAGCGATTCTCGTGCCTCAAGCTCCTGAGTAGCTGGGATTACAGGCAGGTGCCACCAGGCCTGGCTAATTTTTGTATTTTTAGTAGAGATGAGTTTTCACCATGTTGGACAGGTTGGTCTCGAACTCCTGATCTCAAGTGATACTCCCATCTCGGCCTCCCAGAGTGCTGGGATTACAGGCATGAACCACCACACCTGGCCAACAATATATATTTTATATATTTTAGACTTAAGTTCATAAATTGTGAGTTACCTAAGTTTGGGCTTATTGTCTTAGAGCAAGAGAAAAGTCATGGAAATGCTTTGCAGTTTTTGAGACAGGGAGCTTCAAGTTGGATTCATAGTTCCATCACGTTTATTTTCTCATGAGTACCTGCAATCTCGAACCCCTACAGAGCCACTGGTAATCATGGTGTAACCATCCGGGCACTTGACTCCAAGGTTGAGAGCGCAGGATCGGCACTCGGTCCTAATTGTAAGAAGAGACTTCCTATCACATCTTCTTGCCTGTGTAAATATTAAAAAAAAGAACATTAATTCCTGTTATCAGAGTCTTGCAAAACATCTAGCATGGCCAATCTTCTCCACTGGAATGTCTCCAATCATCTCAATGGAACGTCAGGGATGGTGATAAGGTTGATTGGTAATGACTGGTTTGCTCCTTTCAATCTTATCTGGAAAGAGTATTGAGATTAATAAGCAATGTCTGCCATGGCTGTAGGTGAAATAAGAGCCACTGTTTGTACCATACATTTGCCATACCTGAGATAGAGTCTGAAATCTAGCAAGGTAAGATAATGTTATTACCCACATTTATCCAAGTGGGGAACCTGAAATATATGGCAGAATACACTCTCAAGTGAAAAATTTGTAAAGCAGGTTATTCAAGGTCAATTGGTCATAGATCAGCAGATCTCAAGGATGTTCTTTCATCATTGATTCCACAGGAATGTCTGCTCTGGAGCCAGCACTGTGCCAGTGCCGTGGAGGATACAGTTACTATTTCAGAGATATTTGCAATCTTTAGATTACAATCCAACTGAAAAGTAGGCTTCCAGAGAGCAGGGATCTTTCTCTGTTTTGTCCACTGTTGTACCTAAGCCCTAAAATAGTATCTGATGCATAGCAGTGCTCAGTGAATATTTGTTGATTAAACAAATGAATTGGGGAAATCAGATGTGCTAGAAACAGTTATTTAGCAACATAAGGTGGTGGATATGTAACTACTAAATTGAATGATCCAGACCCAATTTGGCACTCTTTAGGATCCCCTGTTGCTCATAATGCCGAGGCTGATCCTCCCCGAGAGATGCCTCCCTTTCCTCAACTTTTCTTCATTTCCTCATCAAGCTTAAGATGGAGCAGCTTTGTACAACAAAGAGAGACTAAACTTGGGGATCAAAAGACCTAAGTTTGGAGTCAAACTCTATATCTTGCTAAGTGTACAATCTTGAATGAATTGCTTACCCTTTGCCATCACCTATAAAGAGGAGATATTAATAACCACTCTTGAGGTTATTGAGACCTTTAAATGATGACGGTCACTTAAGCAGGTGCAAATTTCCTGGCAAAAATGTCTGAAGTATCACAGGTGGTGAATGCTGGCTGCTGTAACTCTTCACTCACCTTTGTGCCTGTTTCCTCTCCTAACTGCCATGTTCTCACTGGGCTGCTGAACCATATCCTTCAAGACCCTGTTTCACACCACCTCTTTCACAAAACCACATTCATTTTTCTTCCTTTTCTCAACTTCTACTCTTCCTGTGGCTGGCCCAGTGGAGCACATTTTGTTGGTTTTTGCACTCCATTAAAAGACACCTGATTCTTATTTGCTAAACTCTTAGAAATATGCTGTGCCAACATGCTGAGGTAAAACTGAGCATAGAGCAGTTAGTAGAGAGAAGGGGTAGGATCTCTTGAACCCCAAACCTTGACCTTTCCAGGGCAAGGAGTCTAATCCAGGCATTTCCTGGGAAGGCAGAAAGGACCTGCCAATCAAAAAAGACATTACCAACACATTTTGAGGCCCTGCTTTTTGAACAGGTTTGCTCTAGGCCATAGGACAGAGCAGAAAGAGGTAGGCTTCTTCTTGGGCAGGATTGTGTCTCATGCTTCTGTATTATCCCACAGCTCATCCACGGGCCTAATAATAGGTTGGTCGTGGTGGAAATGTCACCACTGCTTCTAAGTTCATTGAAATATATAAAGCCTGCATAAAAAGAAACTTTACATCTTCAGAACGATTATTGGTTATGCATCCATTCAAAGGTATTATCTTATTTGATCTTCACTGCTCTGAAGATAAGTAGGGCAGGTATCATCATCCTCATTTTAGCTGGAAGAAAACTGAGGTGAGGGGTGTTGCAGTGACTTGCCCAAGGTCACCCTGTGAGTTACTGGTCTTGTGATTCCTTGATTAGCCCTTTCTCTTTCCTGCACCTGAGTGGAGTATAGAAAACTGAAATTTCTATTTTTACCAGGAGTTTTCATTTGGTGATCATCATGAACCAAAATAGCACTAGAAGGTTCTTTATTGAGTAATAACAAAAGCTACACTTAGATAGAGTTTGAATTAACCTCCTTTAATTGTCAGGACACCTTCACATTTTTTTTGAAAGCAAGCTTTTCTTTACATGAGGGTTTCACATTTGGATAAGTATGTGGGGTTACAGTACTTTGTCTTTTCTTTCTTTGTGGGCTAGATTTAAAACCCTCTTCTTAAGAAACATCTTGACCTTCAAATTGCCCTTTTCAAATGAAAAGGCTCATTGTCTGTCTCATACAGTATTGACAAAGTTGTCCTCTCTGAAAAGTAAATTCAGCTTATTTAAATTAGTTAAGGTCTGATTTCTGTGTGAATGCAAACACTTGGTGATAATGATGATGATGATGATGGTGATTAAGAAGATGATGATGGTGATGATAATTACTACCATTTGTGGAGCACTGTCAGGGGCGAGACTGAAGCTTGAAGAGATTAAAAAACGTGCTCAGGGTCAAACAGCTGTGGACGATCATGACTGATCCTCAGACCTATTTGTTAAACAGAAAAATGAGATCCACAGTTCAAACTCACCCCTACCAAATTTCAAAGCTGGAGCACTTAGCCATTAGGCCATCTTCCCATATTTTCATGAAAACATTATCAGAGCATGCAGCCAACTGTAATAAAATTGGTGTTGATAAAAATTTGCCTGGCACAGGTGCAGAATCATGGTTAAGATTCATTCTTGATGGATCAGAAATCACATGGTGTCTCACTGACAGCTGGCCTCACTCTGTGATGACACCTCGGTGAGCTTGCTTGAGGGTTCGGTGTGCTGATGTACTTCATAGGGGCTACTGGTAAGACCTCCCTGGGAACTTTTACTACAGCTCTGTGGAAGGCAGAAGAGATGAAAGGGTGAAGGCCTGATGATTTTGGAAATATTTCTGATACTTGTGTTCCTTAGTGAGATATCCACCCTGGAATTCCCCAGACCATCTCTCCACAGCCATAGTTATTTTCTAGTCAGGAAGATGGGATGGTAGATATTCACAGTAATGAGACTACTAGAACAAATGAAAAACAAGACGCCAACAGCTGCACTGGAAAGAGGATCGTTAGCACTAAGATTAGAGGTCCCAACAGCAGCGGGGCGCTTCAGTACAGGAAGAGCAACAAGTGGGTTAGCACACCTTCGGAAAGATGGTGCATCACAATTAGGACTTAGTCTCCAAAAACATTCTCTGTATTTTATAAAGTCCAGATTTCACCCTTTACCCATAACAACAGAGGAAAACGACAAGCTTTTGAACATATCATGACAATTAACAAATGAAAAAAATATGTAAGTCTCCTCTTACCTGCCCTGTGGTTTCAGCTGGGGAGCAGAAATTTTGTACAACCAATCCAAGACAAAAAATTACTAAATGTTGTAGCATCATGAGGAAATATTTGCTCCTTCTCTGTGCCAAGCACCTGTCAGGCTGACTTAGCTATTTTAACTTAGTTTGATAAACTCCCAGTGAATTCTTTCTCATTTCACTGTTTACTTTTAAATCCCTTCCTTTCCTTTTTCCTAGATCGAACCAGGAGATAGGTGAGACCTGCCTTCAGAAAGGAAAAATGGCAAATCCAGGAGTCTTGGTGAAATTGGCCACTGTAAATGGTCTATATATCCTGCTGAATGACAGGATATCCTGCAGGGGCTGAGGCAGAGGCTTGGCCCGGGATTTTTGTGCCTGCGAAGCTCTCAGAACGGTCCTGCCTCTCCTCTACTCTGCCCCCTCCTCTAGTCCTGCCTACTGCTGCCCTGCGGCCCTGTCAATGTTTCCACAACCACGCCATGGAACACTGCAGGCCTTTTGGTGCCAATGCAAAGGTCCAAGCTTGCTGTCGAGCGGGGTTGGGGGAGTGCCCATAAGTGAGCACGGTCCCAGGTATGGAATGAATGTTGCAGAAACCTTGCAGGAGGTGGTGGCTTCACCCTGGATAACCTCTACTGCAAAAAAAGTCTCCTTGCAGATGCTGACAGGTGGGTTTTTGACTCATTCTTTCTTCTTTTCCATGCCACTTCAGTAACAAGTGACTGAGCCTGTAGGTTCAATCTTACCCTTTAAGTTCCAGATCTAAAGCCACCCCTTCCAGGAAGCCTTCCTGTGCTGCCCCTCCACAGGACCCTGAAGATGCTCCCACAATTTTGCACATAAAGCCATGAAAGCCGAGGTCACATCTATCTGTCTGTCTCCCATGCCCAGCTATGAATGCCTTGAGGACAGAAGAATATAGCCTCATCTTCTCTGTACCCCTTGATTCCTAGAGCAGAGACCTGCACTTCAAAATAATGAAAACAGTTAAGGATAGTAGCCATCACTTTTTGAAAACTTACTACATGCTAGTCACTATTCTAGGCCTCTCCATGGATTTAGTTGTTTAATTCTCACAGTACTTGGTAAAACAGGATGATTCTTCTCATTTTACAGAGGAGGAAACTGAGGCAGAGAGGTTAAGGAATTTATCCAAGGCCACACAGCTAATAGGTGGTAAATCTAGTATTCAAACTATGTGGCTCCAGAGCCAGTACTGTCAACCACTGCCCTCTGCTGCTGAAACAATCAATATTTAATGAATAAATAAATAATAGATGGTATTCTCAATTCTATTGGAAACCATGATGGAAACGTGTCAGACCCAGCACCAGGAAGGATAAGGTTTGGACTTATTAACAAACCAGGGCATGTCTCATGACACTAAATTAAATGGGAGATTCATGCACTTACAGATACTAATTTTGGTTAAATGATCCTTTATTTCTCTACAAAGTTTCTCTCTCTCTCTCTCTCTCTCCCCCCGACTCCTTTCAACTTTTGAAACAACATTTATAATGACCGATAATCTAGGAAACTTTTCCAACATAGGCCCCTCAGAGGCCAGCCCAGAAACCTGGGTGGGGAGCTCAAAAAAAAAAAAAAAAGGCCTAATGCTTAGCTCCACTCCAGAATAACCAAATCAGAATGCCTGGGAGTGGCGCACAGGAGAATTTTCCAAAGCTTCCTGGGTGATTTCACTTGCGCTGGACTGTTGCTTGAGGAGAAATGGATTATGATTGTGTGAAGCCAGTGAGACTTTGATATTTATCTGTTACAGCAGCTGTGTTACCTTAAAAAATATAACAGGGACATAAATTGGATGCTTCTTTCTGATTCTTTTCTTTCTAAAGGATGTAGATAAAAATCTGGGGCTTGGAACAGGCTCAATTCCAGGTGAAATAATAAAATGAGCCCATACTAGCATTTCCTAAATAATGTTTTATTAAATACAATTTAGTTATGGAAAATGCTGTAGGGGTAGTGGGGAAGAATTCTCTCGCCAGATAATTTGGGACGCCTGTCTCTCATGTCCCTTTCTCATGGATTGGCCATGTTTGTTAGTCCATTGAAAGTTCTGAGAAGTCCTTTAAAACAACGCAACCAAATGAAACAAAAAACAGTTCAACTTTGCTTAAGGCAGCATTTCCCAAGCTTTTTAGACTAAGGGTTGCTTTCTGTTTTTGCAAATTTATATTGGCAACCTCCAGATTCTGTGTTCTATCAGTGTCTCTAAGGGAAATGCCATGTTAGACTTTAGCAGGTAGATTATTTCATTTTTCAGTTCCTAGAAGTGGAGGTTAGCCTGCCAGTGGCCACAGAGACCTGTGCATAGAGTTTATCAATTAGTTGCATTAAAAAATGCCTATAACGCACATGGCATCCTTTAGAAATTGTTTGAATAGGTGTGTTAATTAATTTTGTTTCTGCTAGGCTCTTTTGATTGCTATAAACAGGGATTCTTCATGTTATTTTAAATCCCTGTCCCCTCTCCCTAAAATGTGCCTGCAATTGACAAGTAAAGTGCTTAGACTGGTACCTAGCACACAATAGGTATTCAGTCACCCTTAACTATTACTCTACAGTTAAAATATGCAACAGACAGCAGCTATACAGACCTCTATCCTGAGCCCACTGTAGCTCTGAAGTAGGTCTGGATTTTCCCCTGTCCTGGGTTGTCTCAGTTTTGCTGATCCATGTGTCTGTGTTGGGTGAAATGTCACTTTCTTTATTGTCGTCTATATTCCTTTTGAAGGTTGTTGTAATTTCTGTCTCATTTCAAGTGGTTTTTAATCAGCAATATTCCATGGGCAGTGTGCTCCCTCCAGTTTCCTCCTTGTGCTGTGGACAGTCACATAAGACTGCGTGCGGCTGTCCTCTCCCCAGGACTGCTGTTTGCTCTCTCACTGCCTCCTCTTCATGCCATCCTTGATTAGCACTCACCTCCTTTGCCCCTGTGATCTGTCCTCAGTGGCGACAATGTGAGAGGTTATAGTTTCCTCTTGGGTGACAGGAGGAATTTTCTGATTGGAATCTGAAGAGACTTTTCCTGTATTGGAAAAGGAAAAAAATTGGGAAATGTTGGAAAGTTCCTGGGTAACAATGTGGAATATCCTCTGTGGCTGTAGGATTCTGTTACTTGTTAGTGTTTCACTGCTCTTTTCTCTATGTCATGCTTGTCACTGAGTTTTTAGTCATTGATCAGTTTGGGTAATAGCATGGTTCACGTGTGCTTTGAGAAGGATTCAAGAAAGAGGAGTCACCACCTTCATCATCATCATGATCACCATCACATCATGGCAGACTCACACATAGCTTTCACCATGTGCCCAGCACTCTTCTGATCTTTAACTGATAACTTATTTAATCTTTTAAATAAATGTCACCAAATCTTCATATTGATTTAATACATTTAAATTTTAACACATTGAATATTCACCATAAGCCTAATGTGTAAGTATTCCTATTATTTATAACTTGCAGATGAGAAGACTGAGACAAAGAAAGGATGAGTAACTAATTACATAAGTATTACTATTATTGCCATTTTTCAGGTGAGAAGACTGAGGCAGAAAGACCATGAGTAACTTGTCCGAGGTCACAAAGCTAGGGAGTGGTGGGTAAGGATTTGAATCCAGGCAATGTGGATCCAGAGGTTGATGCTGAGACATCCACTTGACTTGCTTTGGTCTTTCATGAACCTTGAACAAGGTCTTCCCGAACCTTGTGAGATGGCCAATGGGATTGGAGTTTATTGTTATGAAGTAGAACAAGTTTAGCTGTTTACGTCGTATCTTTTACTTGCAGGAGAAAAAAGACTAGAAATTGCAAATCTGAGGTCAATTTTCTGGTTAAAAAAGGTTTTTTAAAAAATTCTTTTGGCAGCTTTTGACCAACTGAAGAAGAAAAAGATCTCAAAACGGCAGCTAGGTATAGATCTTTCTTGAATAGCTATCTAGATAATTGAAAATTTGCATCATAGTTTCAACAGATCCAACAACTCCTAGAATTTTTCCAACAGAAAGTGGTGCTTTGGGAAGTGACAATTTTAGAAAAGAGATAACAACAGTAAGTCCCTAAAAACTTTCAGTAGGATAAATCAGTGAGAACCATTTGGAAATGCCTCCATGGACCCCGCCATGACTAATGGGGGACCTTGATAAAATTGATTCTGGCCAAGGTGGAGCAAGCAGAACTAACAAAACAAGCTTTCAAAATACCCGTTTATGATTTCTAGTAGTTAAAAAAATGCTCTCCCAGTGGGAGAGAGAGGTGTTTCTGCTGCACCCTGTGGATTTCTTGCTGAGTAGGCATTTTTAATGAAATCCAGCTTTATTCTACAAATAGCTTGGTGTTAGATTCAGCTGAGCATTCCTTTTGTCTACTCATTGGGCAGAATTCCTGGCACCTGAAACATCTTGGCTAGAGGCCAAAACACTTTTTATCTCTCCTTTACATCTTATTAATGGCTATTTATATTCCAAATATTGAAATTATTAAAAAGGAATTATCTTCCTCCTCCTCTTCCTTGTTTGATGTCTTTTTTATACTGATCATCTGAGCAATATTGCAATTCTTTTTTCTTTGTCCTTCTCTTCTTCCTGGTTGGGTAAGGCAAAGGACTTAACAAGCTAAACTGAGAGTAGTCTATAGTTTTCTATCATGTTTTGAAATAACTCCTGCTTAAAAAAAGTTTCAAGTGAAAATCTAGAATAATATATTATTTGGCTTGATTTATAAAGGTAGCTATGCTAAATATTATCTTTATTTTGATTGTGTAGACATAGGTTATGTCCGATGGGATGACTTTTTTTCTTGGTTGTCATCACACAGTAAGTTTTACTTGTCTGCTTATTTACTCAAAAAACACTTATGGAATGCCATTCATTATGCTGTACTCTGAGGGCATAGAGATAATTAAGCCATATTGCCTTGTGCATTATAGCTTCCAGCATACTTTCATACTTATTATATCATTAAACTTAAATATTACTATGCTTTTGTGAAATATACTGAGCAAAGGGTATTATCTTGATTTGGCAGATGTGAAAAGTGAGGCATAGAGAAATTGAGCCGTTTATTCAGCGTCGATAAGTGAGTATGTGATTGAACTAGTAATAGATGATGAGTAATCTTACTCTAGTCTTATGCTTTGCCTGCTGTGGCAGCCACCATTCTGATATTTGATACCTAAGCTAATGAATGGATTAACTGTGGTTCATTGGGTTCAGTCATTAAAACCCTTACCTGAGCTGGGGGCTCTTTGTTGTTACACTGAGAGGTGGCCATGGCCACAGAAGCTCTGAAGAGTGAATATAAAGGCCACAGCTGAGATTCACACAACCACAGCATACTTGGACCACAACCAAATTCTCAAAGTTCCATTATATGGATTTGTCGTCTCTGGCGTAACATAACGTGGACACATTGGATCACTCAAGGCTTCTTATTATATGTAAAAGACTTGGCCATGCTGTAGAAACTGGGATGACACCAGCTCTACAGAGCAGGTGGTAACACACACACCTGCCCGCCACATCTCTGCCTTAGTGACCTGTCAAGATCTCGAACGCTCTTCCCCTAAACAGCCTTCATTTTCTTCAAGCCCTTATTCAAATCCACTCTCTCAAAGAGACCTGCCCAGACTACACTACTAAAAACCTCAACATGCATCCCTCCTTGCTCACGGCTCCAGCTTCCCAGTATCCTGATCTTTTATTTCCCTCGGTACATATCACTTTCTAAGTGACCATACAATTCACTTGTGTTTTATGTTTATTGTTTGTTGTCTACCTCCCCAGTTAGAATATATGCTCATTAAGAGCAGGGATTTTTGTCTGTTAACCGATATATCCAGATACCTGGAAGACTGCTGGAGATACAGTAGGCACTCACTACAAATGTTTCAAAGAATAACTCATGGAAGTGAAAATTTCCCAGCTGCATAAATAAGCAGATTATATAATTCTGGTAAAATACCACCATCCTCAAAAAAGCATTTATCTAAACATGCTGCTTTTTTCTTTCAATTCCCCGAGCTGCTTATAAAATCAGTTCTTTCTGCTCCTGCCATTCAGTCCTGCCGTAGTAGCTTCTTCTAAATGCACCATTCTAAAATCTCCGTGTTTCTTGGTGAGTTTTTTTTTCACATCTTATTCTATTGGGTTATTATTTTGATATCTGGGAAGTCAAATTCTTGTAACTTGTGTTTAGCATTTTTCTACATCTTACAAATGAAATTATTTTCACCTGTAAAGTCCTCTTACCTTTCCATACATGGTGTGTGTTGATTCAGAAAATGGTTAGTTCAATATACATGATAGGTCTGGCTCCAGTTCTGCCTTGAACTATTGGCCCTGACCTTGTGCAAGCCCCTTAGCTTGTATGATAAAACAAGTGAGTTGGACAACATAAGCTTCACTCTGCCTTTCCACATTTACAGGATTGTAAAATACTCTTTTCATCCTTCCCATGCTAAGGGGATTTCTCCCCCTCTGAATTTCTTTAAGCTTTGAGCATCTGATGGTTGGTTTGAATGCTGGGTACATCATCGAGGAATATAGTTGTTATTTTCTCCCCCAGGCAATCAGAAATTGCTTCAATCCCCCAAAATTACTTTCTCAAAGAACACATAGAAACATTCTAGGATTTGGAGATAGAAGGAGTAGTGGGGATATATTCAAGGTAAGATTTATTGTTATGGTGGTATTTTGTCCAAAGCACTTCATCAGCCTGCAGAGACAGAGATCAGGTTGAACCACATGAAATAGTTACTCTTTTAGATAAAAAATGGACTAACCCTAGCAACTTCCTATGGTTTACCCTAACACATACCTGTTTAGCACTGTTCATGATTACAAAAATATTCTAAACGTTTAGAAGATTTTTAGAAAATCTTCTAAACGTTTAGAATAGTTTTAGAAAATCTTCTAAACTTTTAAAATATTTTTAGAAAACATTCTAAAGTTTTAATCTTCATAGAGAGGCACTCTTTCAGTCCATTGCCATTTCTTGGGGACTGAATTTTTTAGGAGGGTTATTATTGTGAGAATCAGATACCGGGTTTCAAGAGACTGTCAGTTTCAGTTGAAATGTTTCTGTCTCTAGGTAGGATGTACACAGAGCCAGTGTGCTGCCTCTGTTTAATGCTTCCCATCCTGCAGAGAGGGCCAGATGGGCCAATGAATATATGTCCATGCCTTTACTTGGCCCTGGCACCCTCTCTGGTTCCTCTGCTTCATGCTTTGAGAGGAGACATAAATGCACCCGGTTGTTAGTAGGAACTGACAGGGCAATAGGGTTTCCTGCACACTCATCAGATACTGGTCTTTTCAGGAGTCAGCCTTCCAAGCAGGGGATGTGTCCAAACATGTGTCTCCCTGCCCTCATGGCCCTTTCCTTTTCCTTTGTTAGTTTAAATCTTTCCACACAGCAAACTTTCTTTTCTGGTGATTTTTGTTTTTCCTTTTTATGGAGACCAGTCAGCAGGTCTGGCTCTAAGCAAAATTGTAAAGTAGGCAAAGTTTCTCCTCAGCTCCCCGCTCAACTTCCCTTTCAGCATCTTCCCTCCCCCATTCATTCAGTTGTTCAATCAATCAACATGTACTGGGGGCTCACCATACCCAGGACACTTTTCCGGTTAGGATGTTATTTCATAGTGGGCAGAGATTAATGATTTGGTATTTACATAGTCATAGTGAACATTTATCCATCCAATTGCTCAAGAGTGATCTATTTTTCTCACCACCAATATCAGAAATTCCTATTGATTTTACCTTCAATAGGTAGAATCCTATCATGAATCCAACCACTTCTCTACATCCCTGCCCCTCCCCCCTTGGTCTAAGCCATCATCTGTTGCTTATATTATTGCAGTAGCATCCTACTTGACCTGCCTGCTTCCACTTTGCCTCCTAAAATTCATTCTGCAAACAGTCATCAGAATTATCTTTAAAGATACATGTCAGACCAAGTGTTTCCAGCTTAAAACTCTCCCATGGCTTGGAATCAAGCACCAACTCCTTGTCTGTGGTTTTTGGTTTTATCAAACCTGAATCTTCTCTCTGGCTTCATCCTGAAACAGTTTATAAGCTACTCTGCTAGACCCACCCTGCCTTTATTCTGTGTCTTTCAAACGCAGAGTTAATTCTCATTTTGGGCATTTTCACTAGCTGTTCCCTATGCCTGGAATGCTCTTCCTTCTGATTGTTGCATGATTGATTCTTCCTTCCTTGGCATCAGTTATCATTTAAGTGTCACCTCATGGACCAGTCACTCCTGATTACTCAAGCTGATGTGGTCATTAAGCTGCTGCATTGCACCCCTCCATTTTCTCCTCATAGTACGTATTCTATGTGATAGAATGTAATGGTATCTTGTTACTGTCAATCTTCCCTAACGGAAGTGTAAGGTCCATGAGAGGAACTTTCCACAGCATTTCTCCAGTGCTTAGAACAGTGCCTGCTCCACAGTAGCCAATCAACACATTGTTGTTGGGTAAATTTAGAAGTAATTGTCATGTGCTCTTCAGTTTCCATCTATTTTACTATTTAATCTTCTCAAATCTCCTATGGGGAACCTACTGCTAAAAGAAAAACCTTAGACAAATTAAATTTAACAGTTTAATTGATTCACGAATTGGGCAGTCTCCCAAACCAAAGTAGGTTCAGATCAACTTCATGCTGCTGCATGATCAAAAAACATTTATGGATAGAAAAAGGAAAGTGATGTGTAGAAGACAGAAGTGAGGCACAGAAACAGCTGAAGTGGTTACAGCTGGACATTTGCCTTATTTGAACATGGTTTAAGCAGTTGGCTCCCTTCGATTGGTTAAAACTTGATGATTGGCACAAGAGTAGATCACACATCTAGTCAGGTTATAGTTCACTCTGTACGAAGAAACCTTTAGGCCAAATTAAAAATACATAGGGAGGCAGCTTTAGGCTTCATTTAATTTAACAATATTATTATTATTTTTGTTTTATAAATCAGAAAACTGGGGTAAGTAGAGATCTCTAAGCAGGCTGGCTACATAACTTGGGCCCAGTGCAAAATGAAAAGGTGAGCTGTGTAACCTTGGACAGGTCACAAAACTGTAAAGATCCTTGGATTCTTCAACTCAAGCCGATTATAGTTTTGACTTCTTAGGATTGTAGCTTTTCTGAGTCTTTGTGGAGAAAATTTCTTTCCTTTTTTCATTTTTCTTTTGTTTCTCTCTCTCTTCGAGGACGATTAACCTAAGAAAATATAATTTAAGGATACATAAGTCAAAAAGCAATTCATTTTCTTTTCTATTTCTATTGTGGTAAAATATATACAACACAGATTTTACTATTTTAACTATTTGTAAGTGTACAGTTTGATGGCATTAAAAACATTCACATTGTTGTGCAACCATTGCCACCATCCATCTCCAGGTTTTTTTCATCTTTCCAAACTGAAATTCTGTACTCGTTAAACAGTAAGTCCTTCTTCTCCCTTCCCCCAGATGCTGGCGACCACCATTCCACTTTCTGTGTCTATGAATTTGACTATTTGAGGTACTGCATGTAAGTGGAATCATATGATATATGTGATTTTGTGTTCTTTTACTTCACTTAGTAGAATGTCTTTTTAGTTTTGTGAATAATGCTAGAACACTGGTGTACAAATATCTCATTGCATTTCTGTTTTCAATTATTTTGGGTATATACCTGGAAAATGGAATTGCTGGATCACATGGTAAGGATATGTTTTGATTTTTGAGGAACCACTGTACTGTTTTCCACAGTGGCTGTACCATTTTACATTCTCACCAACAGTGCACAAGGGTTCCAATTTCTCCACATCCTTGCCAACCTTTTGTATTTTGAAAGTAGCCATCCTAATGGATGTGAAGTGGTATTTCACTGTGGTTTTGATTTGCATTTCCCTAATGATCAATGATACTGAACATCTTTTTATGTGCTTATTGTATATCTTCTTCAGCAAAATGTCTAATAAAATCCTTTGCCCATTTTTTAATCTGGTTGTTTTTTGTTATGGGAATTCTTTATATATTCTGTGAATTAATCCCTCATCAGGCATATGATTTACAAATATTTTCTCCCATTTTGTGGGTTGCTTTTTCACTCTGCTGACAGTGTTCCGTGTTGCACAGAAGTATTTAATTTTGATGAAGTACAATTTATTTTTACTTTTGTTGCCTCTGCTTTTGGCATTGTATTCAAGAAATCATTGCCAAATCTAATGTCACAAGACTTTTCTGTTATGTTATGCCTAAGTTTTATAGTTTTAGCTCATACATTTTATTACTTTGGTATTTTTTTTGTGTCTTTACTGTAGAAAAAAGTTCCACTAAAGCAATTTCTTAAAGAACAGACAATATTACATTTTATTAAATAAATACATTGATTAAAACATTTCAGTTTAATATGGCTAACAATCACAGTAGCAAAAAAATTGAAGGATCAAGAGGGTAAAAAGAGTAAAAAAATGAGAGAGGAAGACAGAACAGTAGAAACTGTGGGAAGGATAAACAAGAAAAAAACCCTCTCTGGTAGCTGAAAAAGCAAAAATCTGATTAATCAATCCTACTCTTAAAGAATACATCTACTTCAAGGTCCAGGCGCAGTGACTCATGCCTGTAATCCCAGCACTTTGGGAGGCCGAGGTGGGTGGATCACCTGAGGCCAGGAGTTTGAGACTAGCCTGGCCAACATGATGAGACCCTGTATCTACTAAAAAACTAGCCAGATGTGGTGGTACGTGCCTGTAGTCCAGACACTTGGGAGGCTGAGGCAGGAGAATTGCTTGAATCCGGGAGGTGGAGGTTGCAGTGAGCTGAGATGGCGCTACTGCACTCCAGCCTGGACGACAGAGCAAGACTGTCTCAAAAAACAAAACAAAACAAAACAAAACAACACTGATTTCAAGCATTTAATATAATACCTTGCATATTTTAATGATTATCTAAATTTTGTATGCATAGAGGTTATTGAAAAAAATATAATGGGAAAAAGCACTTACTTCATGCTTTGGGAAACATTAGGCAGAAAACAAAAGTTAAAAAAAGATGAAGTGTCTTTGAGTAATGGCTGATTTTGCTCTTAAAGGCGTACGAGCCACCCCTAATAGTCCACACCCCAGGGGATTGTGCAGTCCAAAAAGGAAGGTCAATAGACTTTAGGAAAAATAAACACAAAAGTTATATTTTCTTCCTCGTCTTGTACTTTTAGTAAAATTAAACCAAGGGATTCTATCGGCAGGCACAACAATCTTTTTTTTTTTTTTTTTTTGTGGGCGTTGCGGGTGGGGGAGGGAGTCTCGCTCTGTAGCCCAGGCTGGAGTGCAGTGGTGCGATCTCGGCTCACTGCAACCTCCACCTCCCTGGTTCAAGCGATTCTCCTGCCTCAGCCTCCCGACTAGCTGGGACTACAGGCGTGTGCCACCACACCCCGCTAATTTTTAATATCTTTAGTAGAGACGGGGTTTCACCGTGTTAGCCAGGATGGTCTCCATCTCCTGACCTCGTGATCCGCCTGCCTCGGCTTCCCAAAGTGAACAATTTCTTGGAGTGAGAGCCCACAGACAAAAACCATGGGTGTGGCTGGGGGAGCAGAAGTCGCGCTGCAGATGCCTCATTCCCTGTCCTCTCTCACTTCCCTTTCTGCCCAGGAGGAGTTAGCAGGAGACTGACTACCATGTGGTGGGACCAGCTGCCTGATTTTAAATGTGTTGTTTTCCTTTCTCTGTAGCGGGACAGGTGCCTCCTGGAACCACAGAGGGCAATGGCCCGTCGAAGGGCACTTCACCCTCAGGGGGGAAGGGGGCTAGAATGCAACCGCTTTTTAAAATGGTAAAGTTGTCAGGGAAATGGTGGACGGTGATTCTGTTCCTGCAGAGTTAGTTGAAAGAGTGAATCCTGATTTGGTGAGCCTGGGGTTGGCGGACGTTCTGGAAGGCGGCGCTGCATGTGAACTGAAAGCGCCCATCCGAAAAGCAGGCGCCCTTAGTTACACTTGGCACAAGGGCGGGCTTCCCTCAGAGAACCAGGAAACCTCCAGTGCTGGAGCGGGGACCAGAGGGCACTATGGCAGCATCTGTCCTTAACAGTGACCTCGTGTGGTGGCAAGGGGCAATGACAGCACTCCACCCCGTTTTTCTCTCAGCCTTTGCAGGGGAGCTGTATTGAAACCCCTTTCGGACTGTACAATCCCTTAGGGTTTGTCAACTCTCCAAAGGTGGGGTGAGGTGTACTTGTCTAAAAAGAGGTACTGAATTTCTTGTCAAATAAGGTTCATGGGGCCTAGGGAGGTGATTTAAGACAATAAACAATTGCCTCTGGTTTGTGGAGCAGTTCATGCCAGTTACATTTTAGTAGCATGAAGAGGGCATTCTGAACTTTGCACTTGGGTCCCCTCCTGTCACCTTCCAAGGGAGAGTTTTCAGTTACACCTGGGAAATGTGGCTTTGGGTCTTTGATTGTCTACGCTTGTGTGTCTCTCTGGTTGCTAATACATGGCATCTCTAGGGTCCAGAAAGTTCATTTTATCCAGGGTGAGCCAACCAATTTGTTTTGGGTAGTGAAATAATAATTTCCTCCCCACAGTCCATGCCAGTAAGATAGGAGGAAGAGCAAGCGTGGAGGAAAAGAGGGTTTGAGAGGCAAGAGAAGGAGGGAAGGAGGAGAGAGGTGAGGGGAAACATCACAGAGCTGAAAAGGGAGATGCCTTCTTTGGCTGAAGTGAGGGCAAAAGAAGCAACATAGCTCTGGTTCATCTGCATAGTAACAACCGTAAGTATTTCTATAGTTGTGTTAAGTGTCATGCATATTCTCAGCACTTACATAAATTGCCTCATCCATCTTCAACAATCCTATGAGGTAGGTACTATTATTATTTCTCATTTATCTATGGACAAATGGAGGCACAAAGATATGACACGCCTAAGGACAAGCGCTGTAGTTTGGGGTTCAAATCTAGGTTCTTTGGCTGCAGATTCTGAACTCTTAATCTTTCCTTTTGCTGCCTCTTTGCCATCAACAGAATTGGGAGGAGAGGAGGGTAGAGTTCATTGATGGCTGACAATAATGATATAACTCAGACAATTTTAGTAGCAAGAGAGAGAATACCCAAGTCACTGGCATAAACCAAAAGGGAATTTATTGATTCACACAAATGAAAAATTCAGAGATAGGTCTGGCTTCAGGCACGGTTTGACTCAGGCTTTGAATGATGTCCTCAGTATCTGTGTCTCAGCTCTGCTTCTTCCAGGTTGGCTCCATGCTCAGGCTACTCGATAGCCCTCAGGATTTAAGGGACACTTCCTCCCTTCACCCAATCAATGGGAAAAGAGAGTTTGCAAATCTGGGGAAAATAATCCCTAGTAAACATATTTTCATGCAATGATTATTTTCCCCAGAATCCCCAGCAAACCTATCTTCATGCATTATTGGCTCTGATTAAGTTTAATGCCCATCTGTGGCACAGACTAACTCACTGTTTACCAAATCAAGTTATCCTTCCTTCTGCAGAAGCTAGACTGCATTTCCCAACCTCCCTTGCAGTTAGATTTGGCCATGTGACAAAATTCTGGCTAATAAATGTGGGCAGAAGTGACATGATCCTGATGCTTTCTTTCCTTTCTGGCTGACTGGAGTGAAGATGACTCCCAGGGCATACTTGGAACCATAACCACATGTTTAAGATGGGTGGATCAACCGAATAGACGGAGCCTGGGTCCCAGAATCACTGCATGGAACAGGGTCATTCAATTGGGATCCATTCATATGAATAAGAAATAAACACCTATGATAATAAAGCCATGCAGATTATGGTGTTTTTCTTGTAAAATAGATTACCAATGTGACTAGAGGGATGGGATATATGAAAACCAATTGGGATCCATCTCTGGGACTGGAAAGGAGTGATTAGCCAAACCACACAGCTGAGAATGGCAAAGGGGCTAATTATCAGACAAAATTTAAGTTACTAATAAGAGAAGGTGAGAGAGTTGCTAGGAAGTCAATGACAAATTATTAGGGCAAGTCATGAAGCCAGGAGTCAAACTGCAGACTTAGGCAAAGACATCATCAGACATTGACTTTACTGCCCAGTAGTCATCTGGGACAGCTGGTCTACCACTTCTTTGACGCCTTTGAGGACTTATTCCAGTTGCTCATTCATCTGGTCTTGCTCAAGGCCCCCTGTGTACTAGGCGATGTGTTAAGCTCTGTGGGTAGATACAGAGATCAAAGGGAGATGGCCAGGCATTCACGTTTGAACTAGGAACTTTGGCAGAAGTTTCAGCAGACAATTATGTTCTAAGAATATAGTCCAACCCAAACCCTAACCAAATCTGAACTCCAGCTTTTTTCTTGTTTTTGTTCTTTGCTCATTGATTGACCTCTCTGAATGTAGAGGTCCACTTTTTAAAATTATACTCTGTAGAGTTAAGCAGGATTGGGATCAGATATATCTGTTTCCTTTGCGACAACTAGAGACAAATGTACTATTTTAGAGTCTTTGACTACGGTCTGTCCCCTTTGCTCTCTACTCTTCATATTATCTCAATATAAAGTTCAATGTATTTTCTGCAATTACTAGCTTCCTCTCTCCCTCTCCTGCTTGAATCAGGCAAAGCATGCAACACTTGGAGCCGACTATCAGGAACTCAGTACCATTGTGTCTGATTTACAAGTGATATTTATGCCCTATTCACTCCCAACAATGGCTCAAAGAATTCCCCAGGACAATAATAGAGCTGACACATCAGTATGAAGTGGTCGTAACTTCATGAAGACCTGGATAGGTCAGAACCAATGATAAATCAGCTGTTTCCTGCCTAGTCATTTATTCAATTTGTGAATTTTTAAAAACAAATAGTTACTGATGACCTACTATGTGCCAGATGCTGTTTTAGGCCTGTTTATTTCTTCCTAGCCTAGGGCTCAAGAACCTTTCTCTGTAAACAGTAAGAGAGTAAATATTTCAGGCTTTGTATGTCATAAGTCTTTTTTGCAATGACTCAACTCTGTAACTATAATGCAAAAAGCTTCAATAAAACTTTATTTACAAAAATAGGGAGTGGGCAGGATTTGCCCTCTAGGTGCTAGTTTGTCTGTCTCTGGTCTAGCTTATTGCTGACCATACTCCATCTCCATTCCTTGTAAGGTTTCATCTTCCTTTTCCTCTCAAAATTTCAGAACCGAGAATTCCATTAGTTAATCAAATGGGTCAAATCAATTCAGTTCTGATTCCAAAGGCTCTGTAGTTTGTTTCTTGTTCAATAATAATAACAACAACAACAATAATAGCTGACAATTATAAATCATTTATCATGTGCCAATCACTGCTCTAATCACACTTTCCAAATAGCAACTTATTTTCGCTGACCTGGTACAGAAAGGCAAAGAGGAAGTTTAGGTAATAGTGATACATAAAATCGTTTTGGGCTATTGTTTTTCAGTATCACATATATTTACCAGGAGCCATGTTGAGTGTTGTCCATTTATTATCTTAGCCTTCCAGTAGCACTTTGAGGAAGGTATGATTTTAATATCCTTTTTATGACTTAGAAAATAGAGGCTCAAAGTGGCTTAATAACTTGTCACAAATCGCAGGTGTGAAGTCAGGACTTGTTTCTGTCTCCAAAGTTTATACTCTTATTTGCCATAATGACTTGTCTGGACCAGAGGAGAATTAATAAAATCCACCAGAGGGTAATGTGGGTGTTACTATGATTATATTTTATTTTTAAATTAAAACAAATTTCTTTTAATGGTTCAAGCTTCTCAGAGGTCAGAACACCGAGATGTCTGTGTCTCTGGGGCTTTGGCATTATGATGACTGTCATTTACAAACACAGTGCCTGAGAGGCCTCATTAAATCAACAGTACAATGGGACGCGTTGAAACCTAAGCGCAGCTGCCTCGCGGAGGAATGCCGCCTGTAGGACGCAGAGCCTGGCCTTTATCAGGCTGAGGTGGGGTGGCTCTGGGCAGAGGGCACACGCTGCTGCTCCACCCTGGAATGCAGTCCCGCGGCCGGCCGACAGCTGACAGCCTCCCCGCTTGCCTGGGAAGGGGTGGTCTTACCCATAGATTATATCTTGAAAGCTGCCTCTTTTCGTGTCTTTTTGTTGTGTGGCTCAAAAGAGTCGCTCAGCTGGCGCAATTGCTGTCAACAAAAGGAAGCTCTATTTGAACAGAAGCAGGGCAGGCTGCCTTGGGAGGCGTAAGTGCGCCCTCCTCAACATGGATGTTGAGTATGAATTCTCCTGGATTTTGCAAATGAGGGTTGTAGTGGGTCATAGGCATGTTTTGAGGAAATCCCTGGCCTTGAATAAGCAAATCGTTCTGTGAACGCATTGCCTTTCTGGTGGAGCATGTATTTAGTGCTACATGGAATGGCAGGGGACTTCTTTCATCTCAATTTAAAGTGCTACAAACATAAGTCGGCCCCAAATGACTTTCTTCTGCATGCTATAGCAAACATTATCAGTGAAATAGTGGACTTTTTAATGACTAGGTTTTAGAAAACCTGAGTTTTAGACTCAATTCTGTCCCAAAAAACTGTATAACCTTGAATTGGTCTTTTCAGTTACTTGAGTCCCAGCTCCTTTATCTGTTAAATAATGAGGCTGATAGAGATTACTTAAATTTTCCTCCTGGTTCTAAATTTTATGCTTAAGCTGCTTTTAAAAAACTATTTTGTTTTAGATTCAAGGGGTACACGTGCAGGTTTGTTACATGGATATATTGTGTAATGGTGAAATTTGAGCTTCTGGTGAATCCATCACCCAGTCAACATTCTACCCAAAAGGTAATTTTTCAGTCCTTCTCTTCCTTCCTCCCTCCACCCTTTTGGGGTCCCCAGTTTCTATTATTTTCATCTTTATGTTTATGTATACCCAGTGTTTAACTTCCACTTACAAGTGAGAACTTGTGGTATTTGATTTTCTGTGTCTTAGTTATTTCACTTAGGATAATAGCCTCCAGCTCTATCTATGTTGCTGCAAAGGACGTGATTTCATTCTTTTTCATGGTTGCATAGTATTCTAGTATACACACCACATTTTCTTTAACTGTTGATGGACACTTAGATTGATTCCATGACTGCTATTATGAATACTATTATGATACACATGGAAGTACAGATAACTTTTTGATATAACAATTTCTTTTCCTTTCGGTGGATACTCAGTAGTGGGATTGCTTGGTCAAATCGTAGTTTTAGTTTTAGTTCTTTGAGAAATCTCTATACTGTTTTCCACAGGGGTTGTACTAATTTACATTCCCACCAATAGTGTATAAGCATTCCCTTTTCTCTGCATTCTAACATCTGTTATTTTTTGACTTTTATTAATAGTCATTCTGATTGGTGTGAGATGGTATCTCATTGTGGTTTTAATTAGCATTTCTTATGATTAGTGATGTTGAACATTTTTTCATGCCAACAAGGCCTCTTGCATGTCTTTTTTAGAGAAGTGTCTCTTCATGTCCTTTGCCTACTGTTTAATGAGGTTTTTTTTTTTTCTTGTTGATTTGTTTGAGTTCCTTATAGATTCAGAATATTAGTCCTTTGCTGCATATATAGTTTGCAAATATTGTCTCCCATTCTGTAGATTGTTTGTTTACTCTATTGATTGTTTCTTCAGCTGTGGTGAAGCTCGTTTAGGTCCCATTCATCTATTTTTGTTCTGTTGCATTTGCTTTTGAGGTCTTAATCATAAATTATTTGGCGAGAGGGCTGCATTCAGGGGTGGAGCAGTATCTTGTGCCCTCTGCCCAGAGCCACCCCAGCTCAGCCTGATAAAGGGCAGGCTCTGCATCCTAGAGGCAGCATTCCTCCGTAAAGCAGCTGCACTTAGGTTTTAAATGCTGACCAACGTCCAGAAGAGTTTTTCCTAGGTTTTCTTCTAGGGTTTTTATAGTTTCAGGTATTATATTAATTCTTTAATCTATCTTGAGTTAATTTTTGTATGTGGTGAGAGATAGGAATCTAGTTTCACTCTTTTGAAAATAGCTAGCCAGTTTTCCCAGCATTGTTTATTGAATAGGGCAGTGTCCTTTCCACATTGTTTATTTTTGCTGACTTTGTTGAAAATTAGTTGGTTGTAGGTATGTGGTTTTATTTCTAGGTTCTCTATTCTGTTCCATTTGTCTATTTTTGCACCAGTACCATGCTGTTTTGGTTACTATACCTTGTAGTATAGTTTGAAAACAGGTAATATGATGCTAGCTTTGTTCTTTTGCTTAGGATTGCATCGGCTATTTGGGCTGTTTTTTGGTTCATATGAGTCATAGAACTGTTTTTTCTAATTTTGTGAAAAATAATATTGGTAATTTGATAGGAATTGCATTGATTTGGTATATTGCTTTAGGCAGGATGGTTATTTTTAAATGATATTGACTTCCAATACAAGAGCATGGGATGCTTTTTCATTTGTTTGTGTCATCTACAATTTCTTTCATCAGTGTTTTGTCATTCGCCTTGTAGAAGTCTTTTACTTCTTTGTTTAAATATATTCCTAGGTATTTTTTGTATGTGGCTATTATAAATGGGATTGAGTTCTTGCTTTGGTTCTCTTCCTGAATGTTGCTGATATATAGAAATGCAACTGATTTTTGTATGTTCATTTTATATACTGAAACTTTACTGAACTTGTTTATCAAGTCTAGGAGTATTTTGGAGGACACCTGTGGCTTTTCTAGGTATAAGATCATGTCATCAGTGAACATAGATAATTTTACTTCCTTTTTTCCAATTGGATGCATTTTATTTCTTTCTCTTACCTGATTGTTCTGGCTGAGACTTCCAGTAGTGTGTTGAAGAGGAGTGGTGAGAGTGGACATCCTTGTCTTGTTCCAGTTCTTAGAGGGAATGCTTCCAGCTTTTATCCATTCAGTATGATGTTTGCTGTGGGTTTGTCATATATGGCTCTTATTATTTTGAGGTATATCCCTTCAATGCCTAGTTTTTTTAGGGTTTTCATCATGAGTGGATGTTGAATTTTATCAAATGCTTTTTTCTCCATTTATTAAGATAATCATATGGTTTTTGTTCTAAATTCTGTTTATGTGGTAAGTCATATTTATTGATTTGTATATGTTGAATCATCCTTGCATTCCTGGAATAAAATCTATTTGATTGTAATAGATTATCTTTTTGATGTGCTATTGGATTCAGTTTGCTAGTATTTTGTTAAGGATCTTAGGATCTATGTTTATCAGGGATATTTGCCTGTAGTTTTCTTTTTTAGTTGTGTCCTTGCCAGATTTTGGTATCAGGATAATATGGATTTCATAGAATGAGTTTGGGAGGAATTCTTCTTCCTTGATTTTTTGGAATAGTTTCAGTAAGATTGGTACCAGTCCTTAGTATGTCTGATAAAATTCAGTTGTGAATTTGTCTGGTCCTCATTTTTTTTATTGGTAGATTTTTAAATTACTGATCCAATTTCATTACTCATTATTGGTCTGTTCAGGATTTCCACTTTTCCTGGTTCAATCTTGGGAGGTTGTATGTTTCCAGAAATTATCTAGTTTCTCTAGTTTTTCTACTTTGTGTGCATAGAGATGTTCATAGTAGTCTCTAATGATATTTTGCATTTCTGTGGTATCAGTTGTAATGTCACCTTTATCATTTATGATTTTTTTAATCCTCTCTCTCTCTCTCTCTCCTTTTTTGGTTAATCTAGCCAGTGTTCTATCAACTTTGTTAATCCTTTCAAAGAACCAACTTTTCATTTTGTTGATCCTTTGTATGATTTTTTTCATCTTAATTTTATTTAGTTCTGCTTTGGCGTTTGTTCGTTTCTTTTCTTCTGCTAACTTTGGGTTTGGTTTGTTCTTGTTTCTCTGGTTCCTTTAGATGAAATGTTAGGTTGATAATTTGAGATCTTTCTATCTTTTTGATGTAGGCATTTAATGCTATAAACTTTCCCCTTAATACTGCTTTTCCTCTGTCCCAGAGGTTTTTGTATGTTGTGACTCTGTTTTCATTTATTTCAAAAAAATTTTTAGAATTCTGCCTTTATATTATTGTTTACCCAGAAGTCATTCAGGAAGAAATTATTTAGTTTCCATGTACTTGTGTGGTTTGGAGATTTTCTGTTGGTATCAATTTCTAATTTTATTCCACTGTGGTTTGAGACGATATTTGATATAATTTTGAATTTTTTGAATGTATTGAGACTTGCTTTATGGTCAAACATATGGTCAATTGTAGAGAGTGTTCCATGCAAAGGTGAGAAAAATATATATCCTGCAGTCATTCAGTGGAATGTTTTATAGATATCTGTATTAGGTCATTTGGTCAAGAGTCTAGTTTAAGTCCAGAGTTTGCTGATTTTCTGTATTGATGATCTGTTTGGTGCTCTCAGTGGGGTGCTGACGTCTCCCACTATTGTGTGGCTATTTATCCCTTTTTCCTAGGTCT
This sequence comes from Homo sapiens, assembly GCF_000001405.40. NCBI lineage: Eukaryota > Metazoa > Chordata > Mammalia > Primates > Hominidae > Homo > Homo sapiens. The sequence goes on along the minus strand of NC_000012.12, from coordinate 103,567,134 downwards.
AGTAGTATTTGTTTTATAAATTTGGGTGCTCCGGTGTTGGGTGTGTATATATTTAGGATAGTTAAATCTTGTTGAATTGAGTCCCTTATTATTATATAATGTCCTTCTTTGTTTTTTGTTGTTGGTTGGTATCTGTTTTATCTGATGTAAGAATATCAACTCCTGCTCTTTTTCGTTTTTCATTTGTGTGATACAACTTTTTCTATCCCTTTACTTTGAGCCTGTGGGTGTCTTTACCTGATAAGTGGGTCTCTTGTAGACAGAAGGTGAGTGCTCATTTTTAAAAACAAATTTACCAATCTATATATTTTAAGTAGAGCATTTAGGCCATTTATATTTGAGGTTAATATTGATATGTGAGGTTTTTTTTTCCTCTCATAATGTTATTAACTAGTTGCTTTGTAGTCTCAGTTTTGTAATTGCTTTATAAGATCTATGAACGTTGTACCTATGTGTGCTTTTATGAGTATTTTCCTTTTGTTTTCATGTTTAGACCTCCTTTGAGCATTTCTTGTAGTTGGTCTAGTGGTGATGAATTCCTTTAGTGTTTGCTTGTCTGGGAAAGACTTTATTTGTCCTTCATTCATGAAGCTAAATTTGGCAGGATATAAAATTCTTGGCTGGCATTTTTTGTTTCCTTCTTTAAAAGGCTAAAAATAATCTCTTCTTGCTTGTAAAGCTTCTGCTGAGATGTCTGCTGTTAGTGTGATAGGATGTCCTTTATAGGTGATTTGACACTTCTTTCTAGCTGCCTTTAAGATATTTTCTTTAGCGCTGACCTTGGATAGTCTGACAACTATACACCTTGTTGATTTTTTTTTTTGTGTGTGTGTAGTATCTTCCAGGTGTTCTCTGTATTCCTTGTATCTGGATGTCTACATTTCTAGCAAGATCAATAAAATTTTCCTAAATTATTCCCTCAAATGTGTTTTCCAAATTGCTTACTTTTTCTTCTTCTTTCGCAGTAATGCCTATATGTAGTAGATTTGGTTGCTTTAAGTAATCCTAAATATCTCAAAGACTTTGTTCATTTTAAAAAATTCTTTTATCTTTATTTTTGTCTGACTGGGTTAATTTGAAGGACCATTCTTCAAGCTCTGAAATTCTTTCTTCTTCTTGGTCTAGTCTATTGTTAAAGTTTTCAACTGTATTTTGAAATTCCATTAGTGAGTTTTTCTTTTCCAGGAGCTCTGTGTGAGTTTAAAATCTATCTATCTATCTATCTATCTATCTATCTATCTATCTATCTTGTTTTTCATATCCTGAATTGTTTACCTGGTTTATTGGTTTTGGTTTTCAACTTTGTCTTGGATCTCATTGAGCTCCTTACTATCCATATTTCAAATTCTTTATCATTTGAGAATTGTCATTTCAGTTAGGGTCCATTGCTAAAGAGTTAGTGTGATCCTTTGGAGGTGTGAAAACACTTTTTTTTGGTAATGCTAGAGTTTTTATGCTGATTCTTTCTCATCTGAATGGGCTTTCACTTCTTATTTTTGAGTTTGCTGTCATTTAGATGGGACTTTTAAATTTTTAATTCTTTTTTCCCTTGAGGGTATAACTGTGGTGTATGTTGTGTATGATCATTTGGATTTATTTCTGGGTGTTTTGGGGACCCAACACTCTGTATATGTTCCTTGGTTATGGATAGCTTTAGGGCAGTGGCTTTCTCAAGTGCTGCTTGTTATAGGAATGCACTGGACAAATGAGCAACACACTATCTATTGTTGGACTGGGAGTGTCTAAGGAAGCTTATCTTATGCACTAGCATTATGTCCTTTGGACAGCAGGTTTATAATTTGGTGGTGAGGTTCAATCTCCAGTTCAGTAGGTGGTGCTTAAGAGTAAGAGCTTCCTTGCCCTTGGGTAGCCCAAGGATGAGTGGAGGCACCCACCCTGGGGGCTGGTCGGGGGAGTTCCTGTTGAGATGCACTGAGGTCTCAAGGGTGTACTGGCTCCTCATCCTGGTTAGGCAGGAATGTGATCCATTTTCCTATCATGCCCTTGTTGCAGGGCTTGTGACCTTTAGTATATATAGACATTTTGTGTTAGTCTGTTCTTGCACTGCTATAAAGAAATATCTGAGACTGGGTAATTTATAAGAACTGAGGTTTAATTCATTCACAGTTCTACAGGCTGTACAGGAAGCATAGAGGCATCTGCTTCTGGAGAGGCCTCAGAAAGCTTCCACTCATGGTAGAAGGCAAAAAGGGAAGATGCACGTCACATGGCCAGAATAGGAGCAAGAGTGTGAGAGAGGGAGGTGCCACACACCTACAAACAGTCAGATCTCACAAGAACTCACTCACTATCATGAGGACAGAACCAAGCAGATGGTGCTAAACCGTTCATGAGAAATCCACCCCTATGATCCAGTCACCTCCCACCAGGTTCCATCTCCAATACTGGGGATTACAATTCAACATGAGATTTGAGTTGGGACTAATACACAGACTATATCAATGTCCTTTGGCTCCTGAATGCTGTGCAACAGAGGTCTGCAAAATGCCCTTCTGGCAGCTACCATTGAAATAGCCTCAAGGCAGAGCCTCTTTTTCTAATCCAGAGCAAGACAACTCTGTGGCTTGTCTGCCCTCTGTTGCTGGTATGCTGCTCTGTGTAGGGAGTGGGAGATGAGCCTCTTTCTTCGTGCAATTCTGAGCAGCAATGAGCTCACTTTCAGTGGGGGTGCAGCCACCATGAAAAAACATTAAGCAGGCTGTCTCCAAGTGTGGTTTTGCACCAGCCCCCAGTGGGGAAAGACTCTGCTGTGTTCCCAACAGTGATTGGGGGGAGCAGGAGATAACCTCCTCTCCATTTCCATTCCCAGACACTGGTGTCATCCCCTTCAGAGATGAGCACTGCACCTGTGTTTCTTTTGTTCCAAGGGGCATTTTGGCAGGTTGTGTTGCCCCCTACCCTGGGGTGACTTGTGCCAATGGCTTGATCTCCAGGGATCCCACAGCTCCTTATGAACCTGCTGGTCCTCTGTGGTTGCCAAAGTCAGAGTATATTCTGCGGTATATTTGTGGGGGTTGTGGTGATGTGGTGACACAAGGGCTGAGGTTCCTTGAGGAGGGCAGTGGCCCACCATGGGTGCATAATCAGTATGGCATCTGCTGTCTCAGTGTGAGTCTGAGGGGAGTGTGAGCACACCTGCCCAAGGTGGTCACTTGGTGCTCTATCCCCAGGAAGATCGAAAATTGCCACTGACAGCATTGCCTAGGCCTGCAAGGGCAAAGAGGCTCCCTGACATTTTGGCTGTCAGCAGTTTATCACAGAGGTGAGGGGAGTGGAGAAACACCCCTACCTACCTTTCCCATGGTATTCCAAGTTCCTTGGGGATCAATCTCTGCCCGACTCTTGCTGCTTTCCTTTTCTGTGTCCCAACTTTTTTCCATGTGCTCTCCAGCAGGTCCTGGATGTCTTCCCTCAGTTTTTCATGTGGATCATGACCTGCTGGAGGATGATAGCCTTGTGGAGCAGAGGTGAGTCACCCCAATAGTCTCAGCTGAAGCTAGTCTAGATTACCTAACAGTCAGTGGACTCCCAGCTGCATGAGTGAGCTAAGATGAGATAGCAGAATGCCTAGGTCAAACCCTAGCTGAACTCAAATGTCTGAGCAAGAAATGCCTATTTTTGTATCACAAAGAGATTTGGAGACATATTTGTTATGCAGTGAAAACTTACTGATACATAAAATCAGGGAATTTCATTTCTGTTCTACCCCTTAAATGCTAGGCTTGTTTATTGTGCAACTGGGACCACCAAAACAATTCTAGATCTTGTCTAGGGTAGACAAATGATCAATTGGCTGTAGCATATCATGGTAATTGACAAGGGGATCAGAGGACATCTGGGCTTAGTCCAGGATACACATTCCTGGGCTAGACCAGAACCAGATTGACCTTGAGGCAGGAGTCCTGGAGATGCACTTAGAGATGATTCACTGCTTTGCTGGACAGAAGTACCCATGAAGACTTACTTGTTCAAGGAACCTGAAGAGCATAGGGATACCCATCAGTAGCACAAACTTGGTACACTAGAAGCCAGGGATTGACTGCTAACTCTTAAAAGAAACCCTCCAGATAGCTTATTCATCAAGCGAATCCAAACTATTTGTTCATTGAAGTAAGGGATCTCACTGCATTGACATATTTTAAGTAGCTTCACAGAAGGGAAGGTGTTATGTCAGAGGCAATGGTTAAAATGTTTTAGGGGTCCGGTTAATGTGAGTCTTTCAATGTAGGGGCCAAAATGATACAGACACACTCTGATACATAATGGTGTGGGACTGATGATGTCCATAGAGAGGTGAGGTGTGGAAGGGAGTCTGAAAAGTAAGCAGTTATTTCATGAGCCCCACTGAGAATTCTGAGGAAGGGCCTATCCCCCTGATGTGGGCTTGCTGAGTCATCTGTTGTTTGGATAAATGGATTTTCAGAAAGTTCCTGAAACAAACAATGCAGTATTTGGATTTTCATCTTCTTGGCAAGAAATTTCTGAAATGGTAAAATCATGTTGGTGCTGAGTGTGGGACAGTAGGGTCATGTCACTGGAGGCAGTAAGCCATGCTGAGGTAAGGATTTCTGTTCTCTAGAGTCAGGGAAACCTATGTTCTTCCTGTGTGGACTGGGAAATTGCATGACTTCTCTGCATGGCCCCCTTTCACTGGCAGAATGAGGATAATGATAATTCATTTGGCAAAGTGTTGCTGTGAAGACTGAAGGAAAGAGAGCAGGGGATGTGCTAACACAATGGCAGGTATACAGGAAACGATCAATTGATCAGAGTTATTCCCAGATTCCAATGGCCAGAGACTCACACAACTTTAGCAGAAGTTCTGAGGTGTAAGATTTTGGTTATTCCAACCACTAGCATGAGAAAGGGAAGAAAATACAGCAGCCCCAACATGGAACAGACACTCCAGCATCAGTAATTGAGTTTGAAAGGTGTGAGACCCCTGGAAACTGTAAAAAGGTGGAAATTATAATGATGCATTTATAGCTTTACGGAAAGGAACTGTTAGAATAATAAATTGATTTTGCCAGCCCTGACTCAGAAATCCTCCTGCAGCAGAACATATAATCATTACTTGCTTTCAAGCCTACGGAAGGAATGCAGCTGTACTGACCTGCCTTGGACTTCTGACCACCACACTGTAAGGTAATAAATTTGTGTAAGGCACAGATTTGTGGTCATTTGTTTCAGCAGTAACAGGAAACCAAAACAAGAGGAGGCATAATACTTTTTTAAAAGGGAAAGGGGTCTTGAGATCAAAACATTTGAAAAGTCCCAGATCATCTAGTGTAGTAATATCGGCAGAGAGGAGGGAAACACGATAGTGAGACAAGAAAAGACACACCAGGAGCCAGGTGGCAATGGTGCCTTGGACCTTATCTTCCATTTTTGTAAAGGGTAAGGGTGCAGTTCTTTGTCTTTTTGTTTGTTGTTTGCTTTAAGCAGTGCAGCCCTGGAATGGACTGAATGTTTCTGTCCTCCCCAGATTCATACGTTGAAATCCTAACCCTTGATGGGATGGTATTAGGAGGTGGGGTCTTTGGGAGGTGATTAGGTCATGAGGGCGAAGTCCTTATTAGTGAGATTGCACCCTTATAAGAAAAGGCCTCAGTGAGTCAGCCTGCTGTCCTTCTGCTGTGTGAGTTTACATTGATAAGTTGGATGTCTGCAACCGAAAGACTGCCCTTACCAGAACCTGGTCATGCTGGCACCCTGATCTTGGACTTGCAGCCTCTAGAACCGTGAGAAAGGAATGTTTGTTATTTAAGCTACCCAGTTGATGGTAATTTGCTATGGCAACCCAAACTAAGGCAAACCCTTTCTTCAAACTGGAAGGAAGCCTCATGTACAAAATCCACAAAGCTGGGGCTTGCTCTGGTTCGTGTGAGAATGTCAGGAGCTCCTGCCCCCTCTCCACAGCCACGGAAGAGGCTCCTTGGAGCACAGTGTGAAGACCCCTGCCTTGGGGTCTGAAGTCACATTAGCATTGTAGTGCCTAATAATTCACCCTGGGGGAGAGAGGATTCCAGAGTGATCAAGCAGGGAGATATGCTGGGATAGGGCCTGATTCCATGAGGTAAAAGTCTCAATGAAAATGAGGTGAATAAATCAAGAAGTATTTCAGGTAGCAAGTCAGCCAGATTTGATGTGGATTGAATGATGTGGGTGAGGGAGAAGGATGACTCCCAGTGACGCCTAGATATGCTATTGTGGATGAAATATGTGAGAACAATGACAGCAGCTAATATTTATTGAGATGGCACCATATACTGTGTACTTTGCAGGCATGATCTTGTTGAATCCTCAAAGTGACTAAGAGGGTATGCACTCTTTCACCCCCATAAAGATGAGTCATGGACTTTGCGTATGACTAGCAAATAGCTGAGCCAGATTCCAACATGGGGAGTCACACTCCAGGGCCTGTATTCAACCATTGCTTGTCCTGTTGGTGACTGACCACTGAAACAGATAGTGGCTGTTTCTTCACTGCTTTGGGCTCAGTAGGCCACTTTGAGAATTTAATGAAAGCTATGTATCCTTGTACCAGTAAAATGTACACAGAAACTTATACATGAATTTTGCTTATGGTTTCAAGGAGTTCTGAAGTGAATCCAGGGATCCTTACATTATCCCCAGATTAAGAACTAGTACTTTTGGATAAGTTTTATTATCCTTATTTAAAAGATGAAGACACTGAGTCTTGCCAAGGTCAATGGATGTGGCCCATGTGTGCCCCACTTGGCTAGTAAGCATCAGAGCCTGATCTTGCATCCACTGTCTCTGGCTTCAAGCCTCATTTCCCTTCCTTTCTTCCAAGTTTCTTTTCCCTGAAGGTAATAGGTTCTGTTCCACAAGCATTTAGAAATCCAGAATTGTAATCTTTGCTCTGCCACTAATTTGTTTGTCACTTTGGACAAAGCAGTCAACCTTGTAGTTTCCCATCTATAAAATGGGGACATTAATGACCAGTATATTTAACTCATAGAGTTTGAGAAATTATAAAGGGCTTTTATTATTTACATAAATTTACAGTCTAGCCTGCAGATAAAGTCTACATTTTCTATAAATTACTGCAATATATTCAGGAAATTATCTAAAAACTTCAATTGATTTGAAATGTTTTGAGGCATTTTTCCCCCTAGTGCTTTAACTGTCTTGAGGCAGTGGTGTCATACAAGTAATTAAACAACTTTGAAGCATTCAGAGAGATGATCATGGGAATAATAATCAATAACAATTACACTTGCTGTAAGATGTAACATAAAGCTGAGGATCATTCATTCCATTCACTCATTTGCTTATTTATAATTCATTTATTTAATGGATACTCTTGGGCATCAATGACATGCCAAGCATAATGGTATGTGGTGGTGATGCCAACAGTGAACAACAATCACAGGTGTCCATTCACCAGTGAAGAGAGAATGTGGACACCTAGTGTCACACACCTGCTTTCTCTTCCATTCCCACCTAACCAGCTTTTGTTACACTTCTCATGTCGAGATGCTCAGGGATGTCACGGGGTTTTTGAGTCTGCTGTTTTCTCTGCCTTAAACACTCTCTTTGGTGCTGTGTCAGGGTCCCTGAGACCATCCTTAGGCTTAATGATTTGCTAGAACTCACAGGACTCAGAAAAGCTGTCATGCTCAAGGTGGAAATTTCTTACAGTGAAAGGATACAGATTCAAACCAGAAAGGGGAAAAAGCACTTGGGGCAAAGTCCAGGAAAAAACAGGCCCAAGTTTCCAGGTGTCCTCCTCCAGTGGCGTCACATGGGCACACTTCATTCTTCCAGCAATAGTGTGTGACTGCCTGAGTAAAGTGCTACCAACTAGGAATCTCCCCTGAGTGAGTGTCCAGAATTTTTAATTGGGGGCCAGTTGCATTGGCATGTAGTACCTGCAGGATTGATGTTGGCTACTCAGACTTCAACCTCCTAGAGCAAGAGCAGGCATTCACCATAAATCTCACTGTTAACATAAACTATGTGATCAAACTGGTACCGTGTTGCCCAAGGCTTTGGGCATAAAGACACACTCTTATCAGGCAGGGCATTCCAAAGCCTCAGAGCTCTTTTCCCAGGGTCATTCCTGAAGACAGGCTTTTCCTGAAAATGTGCAGGGTTTGAACAACCCAGGTTTGCTGAGTTAACCTTTGCCTACACAGGCCCCAGCTCATTGTTTACTTCCTTGGGGATGCCATCCCTAAGTAGGCCAAAATTTTCTAATTTGACTTCTCATAGGGCTCTGTATATAACACTTCTTACAGTGTCAGCTTTAAAACTGCATATGTTATTATTTGTTTAACATCAGTCTCTCTCACTAAATTCTCTCCCTAATGTAGGTAGGGTCTGTTTTTGATCACTGTGTACCTCCCGCACCTGTCAAGGGTCTAGGCCTGGCCCACCGTAGGGATAATAGGGACTGAGTCTATGTGTTTTTGAATGAGTAAATAAACAAAAACCTGAAACGATTAGAATTTACTGTAGATTCTATGAAGGAAATAAACAGAATACAGTGCTAGAGAATGACATTTGGGGTACATGAAAAGATGATATTAAATTAAATCATTGGGGAAGCCCTTTTGCAAAGGAGATCTGAGAGATGAGGAGGAAGTAGACACACACAGAGCCAGGTCAGAATATTCAGGAAGAGGGAAGAGCAAGCACAAAGGCCTGGACAGGCTGGATCCATTCTGGGAACAGAGAGGACATTAAGGTTCCTGGAGTACCGTGAGTGAAGGGTACAGTGAGTTAAAACAGAAGTGGGAGAAGTCTTTTAGTCCACAAGAAGGACTTGGGATTTCATTCTATGTGCAATGGGAAGCTAGGTTTTAATGAAGGAAGTGATATCAATTGATTTATATTTTTAAACATTTTTCTTAGTTGCTATGAAATAATAGATTGGAAGGGTCAAGAGTGGAATCGGGGATGGGCCAGTCAGGAGGATTTGGTGACAGTCTAGCAAGTGATGACCAGTCTAGCAAGAGATGGCATGGGATGGACTAGGGGGCTGGCAGTGGAAATGGAGAGTAGAGGACTGATCTAAAACATATTTTGGAGTCAGAACTCACCACTTGATGGAGGGATAGCAAAAAAATAGAGGAATTCTATAGCGCAATGTATGTATCCTTGGAGTAACTGTGTCAAATGTTGAAGTCAAGCAAGGCCAATTTAACATTTTCAATCATTTTCTAATGTTAAAATGAAATTGGCAGACAGTTCAGAATGAATTCTTAAAGAAGACAAAAGCTTATGTTAGGCTTTTTGGTTTTGAGTCACTTCCAGCTTAGTGCTTTAGCAATCTTAGTTTGGGTTCTTCAAGGAACAGCTTGGGGAAATTCTTAGTTTTGGAGGTGGTCCCAGGAAACACGGGTAGGGAAATGGGGAAGGGGAGACAGGATGGGAAGTGTCCATCATTAAGCAGTTTAGTGTTTTGGGTATGTGGGGCTGGGTCCTGCCAGGGAACCCAGTTGTTTGGGAATCTCAGCCCAGGGTTGGGAGGCTAGGGCATATATACCTCAACTCCAGTCCAACACTGCTTGAGGGATACTCCTGGGGGCTTTTGTTCCTCAGCACATCACCTTGTCATGTGGCCCAGGCAGAGTAGGATCTGGTGACCAGAGGAGACCTCCAGGCAAATACGTGCAGATGTTAGCAACTGGGAGTGGTAAGTCCCGTATGGTGTGGCCTGGACAACAATATCTGCTATGCAGAGGAAATAACATCAGCAGTTAATCAAATGCTCTGTAAACAGAATGTACCATGGCTTTCTCTCAAAGGATTAGATAATTGCACATGTGAACACTCATAAATTAATTTCTGAGCTTTTTTGAGTTAAAAAAGCTTTTGGACATATTTTCTGTGGTTTCTAAACCTTGTGTCCTCTAATGAGCTCAAACTTTCTTCCTATTATTTTATTTTTCTCCTTGCATGGTTCTGGATGAATTCAAATAGTTTCTTGGAATTGAAGATTGTTTCGTTTCCTCTTGGACACTGTACTAGTTTCCTAGGACTGTTGGAACAGATTACCACAAATCTAGTGGCTTAAAGGAAAGCAAATTTATTCTTTCACAGTTCTGGAGGCTATTCAGAAGTCAAGGTGTTGGCAGGGCCACACTCCCTCCAAAGGCTCTGTGGGAGGATCCTTCCTTGCTTCTTCCAGGCCTTTTTTTTTTTTTTCTGCATAACTACAATCTCTGCATCCATCTTTAGATGGCCTTCTCCTCTTCTCCCTCTGTCTCTTCTCTGTGTGTCTCTTCTAAGGACACTTACCATTGGACTGAGGACCCATCTGGTCAATCAAGGATGATCTCATCTTAAGATCTTTAACTTAATTACGACTGCAAAGATGCTTTGTCCAAATAAGGTCACATTCACAGGCTCTGGGGATTAGAACAGGGACATGTCTTTTTGGGGGATGCCATTCAACCCATACAGAACCTGTGAAGATTGTTAGTTTGAACCCTCTGACAAGAATACTCATCTAAATGTAGCTAATGAACATTTTTGAAGACCGATTTGCATGATCTCTCCATAACCAGGTTAATTCTACTAGATTGCTCCCTTTCTGTCCTTCCTCAGAATGATTGCTCCAAAAAATAGGTTGGCACTTTACATACCGAGGAAGCAGCCTCTGAGAAAGTAACACTCAAAGCCAACTTCCTGAAGAATTATTTTGCTGACATGGTTTCTTGAGTTATTGCCTTGATATTCCTTATGACTAAGCCCCGATTTTCAGTCTATGATATTTCAGTGTCAAGTGATGTACCATGAGAAGTTCATGGCTTGGCAGAAATAACAAAATAATATTAGGTATCATCTTTGAGTGCTTATACTGGTCCAGACAATAAGAAATCAAGGAAGGTATGAATATCTCCATTTTCAGATGAAGAGCAAAACTCAGAGAGGTCATGTAACTTTGACGTAGGAATTTTAATGTGTGACAGTCAGGCTTTGAACCCAGGGGTGGGTGACTCCAAAGCTTGTGTTCTTCCCACTATTACATGCTGTATCTGAAGGCAATACAGGACACTCTGTCAGAGTATGTCTTTTATTGATGGTAGCAGATCCTGCTGGTACTCCATCCACATCCCTGGATCTTGCCACATCAGTGTAGGGGACTGACTTCCAACTGCTCTATCTGTGTCTTTTTGCACTGTAGCTTTCTCCCAAGCTGATAGGAGCTGCTGTCCTGCACACAGGACAGGTGAGAAGTGTGGAAGTGGAGTGGGGTGGGGTGGCAGGTGGGGGTGAGGTAGAGGGCAGGAGAGGGGATTAACCACACCCTCCTAGTAGTTCTCAACCAATGACTGGTGAGAGTTGATGTATGAACACCTTTGCTCTCTGGAGGTATAATTCTGAAATGCATGTTCTACACCAGGGCTTCTTAAGCCTCCATGTGCATACAAACACTTGGGGTTTTGTTCAAAATTCTGATTTGGTAGGTCTAGGGTGGCGCCTGAGCTTTGATGTTTCTAACCACATCTCAGGAGATGCCCATGCTGCTAGTCTGCTTTGTATCAGAGCTACTCAAAGTGTGGTCCTCGGATCAGCAGCATTGGCAGGCCCTGGGGGCTTGGTGAAAATGTCAATTCCTGGGCTTCAATATAGACCTACTGATATGGTTTGGCTGTGTCCCCACCCAAATCTCATCTTGAATTTCCACATGTTGTAGGAGACCCGGTGGGAGGTAATTGAATCATGGGGGCAGGTCTTTCCCATGCTGTTCTCGTGATAGTGAATAAGTCTCATGAGATCTGATGGTTTTATAAAGAGGAGTTCCCCTGCACAAGCTCCCTCTCTGCCTGCTGCCATCCATGTAAGATGTGACTTGCTCCTTCTTGCCTTCCACCATGATTGTGAGGCCTCCCCAGCCACGTGAAACTGTAAGTCCATTAAACCTCTTTTTTCCCCCAGTCTTGGATATGTCTTTATTAGCAACATGGAAATGGACTAATACACCTACTGAATCAGAATCTCTGAGGGTGGGACCCAGGAACCCGTGCTTTAACAAGTTGCCCAGGTGATTCTCATGCTCACGCAAATCTGAGAAGCTCTACCCTGCTATTTTCCAGAGATTCCCTGCAGGGTGAAGCCTACCATGACAGGGGGCTTGAAAAACACTCTGTTTTGCCTACCGTCCTTTCCCAGGCTCACTTCCCAGATCCCCTAAGGATATTTCACATTACCTCCCTGATATGGTTTGGCTCTGTGTCCCCACCCACATCTCATGTCAAATTGTAATTCCCAGTGTTGGAGATGGGGCCTGCTGGAAGGTGACTGGATCATTGGCATGGTTTCTAACAGTTTAGTAGCATCCCCCTAGTGCTGTCTTGCGATAGAGTTCTCAGGAGATCTGGTTGTTTGAAAGCGTGTAGCACCTTCCCCTTCTCTCTCTCTTTCTTGCTGGACATTTGAAAATGTGCCTGTTTCCCCTTCACCTTTTGCCATAATTGTAAGTTTTCTGGGGCCTCTTCAGAAGCAGAAGCCTGTACAGCCCATAGAACCAAAAGCTGATTAAACCTCTTTTTTTTTTTTGTAATAAATTACCCAGTCTCAGATAGTTCTTTATAGCAGTGTGAAAACAAACTAATGCACCCCCAAATGGACTATTTGCCCTTAAACCCTGGTCTCAGGGTTGGCTTCTGGAGAACTCAAACTGGGAGAGCAGTTTATTAGTTTGCATAATTATTGGTCTTTAGCATGTTTAAGCTTTGCTTAAATGCTTTTGGCTGACTAGCACAAACCTTTTATTTTTAACTCTTGGGCTACAAGCTGGATATAATCCCTTTTCTCCCCACCACCTGGTTTTCAGTTTTTCCCCTTTTCTTTCCAGGCTACTCTTATATTTATATTGGCCAAATGTCATTTATATCTGGGGTAGGAAAAGCATAGTGCCCTGATTTTGTTAACATAGTTTTTTGGAACCCACCATGCCCATTTGCTTATGGATTGTCTATAGCTGCTTTGGAGCTCTATCCACAGAACTGAGTCTTTAAGAGAGATCACATGGCCTGCAAAGTCAAAACTTTCCTCTCTGGTTCTTTATAGGAAGGTTTGCTGATCCATGACCTATATAAAAATAGGTGACTTGCTTTAACCCACTTCTCAGCCCTCCTGCCACCCCACCTAGGCTAGTCTGTTTCTGAGACTTCCTTCTGAGGGATTTGCTGGTTCTCTCCTCCCTCAAACTGGTGCAAAGGAAAGAGCAGTGGATAAGGTGTTGGGATACCTGGACTGAGTCCTGGGTCTGTCCCTTTCCAGCTGGGGGATCTTGGGAAAGTGACTTCCCTAGAACTCCTCTGTCTCCTCTGGTAAAATGAAGATCAGCATTGTCCAAACTTCACTGATCATAGGAACCATCTGGGCACTTACTAAAAACAGATTCCCAGGCTTTACTTCTGAACACAGTGAGCAGGTGGGGCTGGGGTGGGGACTGGGAGGCTGCACATTTGCCAAGCATCAGGGGAATTTAGGAAACTGACTCAAACGATTTCTAACGAACTTTGGATGCTAAAATACTATGGTCTTATAAATAACACTAATGAAATTGTTTTTTTCCTGTTGATATACAATGTTGCTGGTGAAGACGGTTGAGATTTCATGGTCTCTTTGAACCTTTCAGGAGGAGGATGGGAAAAATCTTTTCTGGAAGTTGGAATGCTTCCTTGTAGACTGTGTTGCTCAGAGAAGCTGTTTCCTTGTTTTAAGGGCTGCAGTACTATTAGGACCATCTCCAGGGGAGGACGGATAACTAAGTGAGCCTGCGAGTCATATGCCTTCTTATACTAATACTTCTCCAAACCTTCATTTTTGCTGTTAGAAAGAGAAAAGGTAGGATTCGACCAGTGGCTCTCAACCAGGGGTGGTTTTTGCTCTCCAGGGGATATTTGGCAATGTCTGGAGACTTTTGGTTTTCAAACTGAGAGGAGGAATGCTACCGGCATCTAGTGGATGGAGGCTACAAATGTTTAACGCCCTGCAATGCACAGGACAGCCCCCGCGACAAATAATTACTCAGCTCCTGATATGGTCAGGCTTTGTGTCCCCACCCAAATCTCATCTTGAATTGTAATCCCCAGGTGTTAAGGGAGAGACCTGTTGGGAAGGGACTGGAACATGGGGCTGGTTTCCCCCATGCTGTTCTCATGATAGTGAGTGAGTTCTCATAAGATCTGATGGTTTTATAAGGCAGTTTCCCCTGCTCTTGCTTGTTCTCTCTTGCCTGTTGCCACATAAGATATGCCTCTTCCCTTTCCACCATGAGTATAAGTTTCCTGAGGCCTCCCCAGCCATGTGGAACTGTGAGTCAATGAAACCTCTTTTCTTTATAAATTACTCAGTCTTGGGTATGTCTTTATAGCAGTGTGAAAATGGACTAATAACAGCCTCAAATATCAATAGTGCCAAGGTTGAGAAACTCTGGATTAGACCCATGTGCTCACCAGTGACATTTGTGAGGGTGTAAATGGACCCAGTATTTGTACCAAATACCCAGTATTTCTACCTCAAGCATTGTCTCTAGGGTGAAAATGTCCCAAATTTCATTTGATCCCCATAGAGATATTTCCTTTTCACCATTCCCTTGTAGCAAGTACTCACTTCTCTTGTGAAACCAATTAAATTTTACAGGAATTAATTATTTGTCTTTTGTTCCTATCAACTATGGCTTCCTAAAGTCAGTATTGATGAAAATTCCTTTTGTGTTTTTTTGTTTTTAATAAATAGATTTGATAGCATCACCAAGTTTATTCTCAGACAGGCTTAAAGGGAAAACTCAAGGAGTTTCAATGCTCTCTGACTAACGGGGGAAATAGAGCCACTTATATCAAAGTGAGGTTACAGAGCAAAGCTGGAGAGGCTACAGATAGTGAGTCAGTCTTCATATCACCAGTGTTCACACTACAATTTAAATGAGCAAACCTAATTTTCTACAGCATGTCACCTAACAAATATAAGTTCCTATAACAAACACAGAGTGAGTAAATGCAATTTCTCATAACAAAATGCAAACAAGCAAACCTCAAGGTCAAGGTTCATTCCATAAGAGATCACAATAAACAGTTTAAGTTAAAAAAAAAAGGTCAACATATCACAGAAGTGTTTCTTGTGAATAAATGAGCCAAGGCTCAATTTCATGATGACTGGATAAAAAAGTCTGTATAAATCTCACTTGAAGGAATCATCACCCTAACTAGACTAAGGTGATTCTCTTCCTCCTCCTCCTTCTACTTCTTTTCCTTTTCTCTTCTTCTTCTTGTCATCTTATTATTTTATTATTATTATTGTTATTAGTTTGAGACAGAGTCTTGCTCTGTCACCCAGGCTGGAGTATAGTAGCAAGATCTTGGCTCACTGCAACCTTCACCTCCTGGGTTCAAGTGATTCTCCTCTCTCAGCCTCCTGAGTAGCTGGGACTACAGGTGCATGTCATCATCTCCAGCTAATTTTTGTGTTTTTAGTAGATATGGGGTTTTGCCATGTTGACCAGGCTGGTCTTGAACTCCTGACCTCAAGTGATCCATCTGCCTTGGCCTCCCAAAGTGCTGGGATTACAGGCATGAGTCACCAAGCCCAGCCTTTAATATTATTTTTTGAGAGACAGGGTCTTGCTCTATCACTCAGTCTGGAGTGCTGTGGCATGATTATGGCTCACTGCAGCCTCGAACTCCTAGCCTCAAGCAGTTCTACTGTCTCAGCCTTCCAAAACATTAGGATTACAGATGTGTACCACCATGCTCAACCATATTATTATTATTTTAACTATGTCTGAAAGAATAAACAGTTATAAATATCTATAGAAAATGTTGAAAAAGAAGAGTAATAGACACTTGCCTGCTTAGATATAAAATATATTATAGAGCCATGACAACTAAGATACATGGTATTGAATCAGAATCAACAATTCCTGAAATAGATTCTTCACTTATGATCAAGAAAGAAAAAGAAGTGGAGAAACAAGCAAGGGATTGATTTCTAAATACTTAGAAGAGAAGTTATTCAGGAAAAAGTGAAGCTATAACAGCTAACATCATACTGTAATAAAAATAAGTTCTTAGGTATTCTATTTTAAATATAAAAATAACACTATAAGTGATAGAACAAATTGTACATAAATATGTAACTGATTCTAGACATTGGATTTCTAAGAATAAAAAAAGAAAACTATAGATAATCCTCATTGTAAATATAATTAAGGGCAAAAATTGAAAAAGCATTGCTTGCAACAGATATAACAAGGGCTAATATCCATAATGTGTAAATTAATAAGACATTAATAAGAAAGCAACAACATCCTAATAGAAATATGAGGCAAGATACATATAATTTACAAATATAATACCATGTTATTTGATACATATGATGTTTTCTGAAAAACGTACAAAAGGCTAACTTTTTTTAGCTATCAAAGAAATAGAAATAATAATGAGATAATTTTTCAACTATAAAATTTTGGGCAAAGTTTTAAAGATAATTATGATTTTAGCAAAGATGTAATAAATGTATGTGCTTGCACTTGGCATAAATGTAAATTGTAACTACCTTTTTGGAATCCAATTCATCAGCAGAGGCTTGTATCAAGAATCTCAATGAAATGAAGAAAATTTGACCCAGTTGTTAATTATGCAAAGATGCTTATATCAAGTTTATTCCTAATAGCAAAAAAGAGAAGAGTAAATGTTAAAAATATGGAAATAATGAAATATATAAACAGTATATTAGGACGATGGAATACTCTACAAATATTGAAAGAGTATTTCATGAGCTTTGAGACAGTTTTAACAGGAAAAGTTACCACTCAAAACTTAGGACCCCATGACTTTGAGTATAGTTTTATTCTGAATTAAGTGAATATATTCTTTTTGCATGTTTATATGTTTATACAAAAGTAGATGAATGGATGTAGGCACAACTGAAAGAAAAGGAAATTCGTTAAAATATTAATATTGTATTATTAATGGATGAAATTATAGGTGATTTGAAAGTTCTTTTTTATATTTTTCATTATCTTTGTTACTTGCAAATATTTATTATATTTATATGTAATAAAAGGAGTAGTTTCAAAAAGAAAACTCTGATATCTTAGAGCCATGGAGTTACTAGAATATAATTTCTGACAGGGAACTTTACCATTTTTGAGATGGAAAAACTGAGACTCAAAGAGTGTGGTTGCAGCCTAAAGTAAAACAGGCTGTCAGCAGCACATGAGAAATAGCTTTAAAACAAAGAAAGGAACAGGCAAAAGTGCTTGTTAGGGCCTCGTCAGCCATCTGAACGAACAGCGGCTGACAACTCCAAGAGTCTGTAATTTGTATGAATGTCATTTGTATAGATGTCTGGAAGATTGGTATATCAAGTGATCTATTGGGTAGTAATTTAAAAAAATGACTGCCATTGTGAGTGAAAAGCTGGGTTTTAACATTGATCTACCATGTTCAGAAAATCCACTTAAGCATTACCTTTTTAAAACACCACTTTTAATTTATCAATTGTTTGATAAATTCTTCTTCCCTTACCTCCCTTTATCCTCTCTTCCTTTCTTCCTCTCTGCCTGTCTTCAGCAACATATAAAGAAAGTCATCTATCTGTCAGGCACCGTACTAGAAACCAGGGACTCTAGAATGACAGAGACATGAAAACGATCTGCACACACACAAACAAGTGCATGTAAAGCTGGTGAAGTCTGAACAAACTCTGTGGGTTGCATTCATTTCAGTTTCCTGGTTTTGATCATGTACTGTAGTGATGTAAGATGCTACCATTGCGGAAGTCTGAGACACGCATGGGACCTCCCTGCACATTTTTAAATAAAACTTCTAATGTATCTACAATTGTTTAAAAATAAAAAGTTGAGAAAAAAATAACAAACCAAACCAACCCAACCTAATAAGTACTGTAAAAGATGTATACACAATGTGATAGAAATAGAGAAGGAAGGACTAACTCTGTGAGACCTTATAGATCTTCATAGAATAAAAAATGAAAACACATAAAGGGTTTAGAAGCTCATAAAGTCTGAACAGTGACACTTAGTAACATAGATATTTTAGAATTGGAAGTGTTTTTGAAGTTCAGCAAGAGTTGGAAAATCAAGTTTATGGATGAATTGACAGGTCCATAGAGGTGAGGTTACCTGAAGTGAGACTAGCTCGGGTCATGACATTTTCCAGGTGTTGTAGCAGGAAGTGACTTTGTCGTGAGAACTCAGATTTTTTTCTTGGGCTTTTGGATCCTCAGAAGTCCAAACTGGTTCTCCCCACTGTTCCAAGATGCATGTTCACAGAATGCCCACCACGAGGTGGCAGTAGAACATAAGCCATCCCCATCAAAATTACTCAGAGGATGTGTGGTCGGAGATGGAGTCATTTCCACATATCTTTAATTGTATACGTTAATCACGACTGTTATGCTCATATGTTATGTTCATTATAAAATATGCCCCAAATCTAAATATTAAAAGTTGATGCAAAGATGAAGTAAGCAATTCACATGTGATGTCTTCATTCTATCAATAGCTACTATCTTAAAGCAAAATATATACTTATTCTGTTCATAGTTCATAATTAAAGAGAGTGGATGTATGTCCTTATTTCAAATGGCCTTTTCATAATTTTACCTTTTTGAGCTCTATTTATGTCGAGTTTCATTAGATGGTCATTGTTTTTATCTAAATCGTGGCTGATTAGTACTTGGAGGAGTGGCATTTAATATAATTAGTTTGAATTATATTCAATTGCTATCTTTTAAATATAAAAACTGAGCAAATATTGACAGTTTCATGTAGTTTAACCTGTAGCTGCCTTATCTGCGTTATCTTCAGTCCGCATTTTCTTTGGCAGAATTCTTTTTTAAACACTTGTCCATTTTGGAAGAACTGATTAATTTTATGTTAATTAGGTAGCAAAGGGCTATCTAAGCAAAGGGCTGCGGCACCTCCACGTTGGGGAGCTCTTGCTCCTCACTCAGGATTCCTCACTTACCTGGTGTGACCACAGACCCCTGACGCAGGCCCCAGGCCAGAGCCCAGTGTCAATTCAGATTAGTAAAACCTTATTTTTTTCATCATATTTTCAAGTAAAAATACATATAAACTGTTTGAACAAGATTTTCTTGCAATGCAGTGGATTATCTTACTGTCTAACTTGCTCATTTTACAAATGAAGAAATAGGCCACGAGAAGCCTATTACCTTAGTTTCACACAACACTGAGCCATGTTGCACCATGTGACACCACACTAGCACTCTCCATTGTACACTCAAGGTGGGGAAGGGAAGAGAGCTTTAAAAAAATCCCAGTCTTGGATTCGCTGTTAGAGACCTGTGTTGTCACAGTGTGCAAATCTTATTTCATTGTCTCCAGAATTCTGGAAACCTTCAGTTCCACACTGAAATTGGAGAGTTTGGAATGTGGTACCTTTTACAATACCTGCCTTGGAAGAACTTCGTGCTTAAGGAAAAGCCTCCTGCGTTCTTTCAGCCCCTGAAGCAGATCACATATCTTTCCCCCTGTCTAGCTTATAAACTACTTGAAGGCAGTAACCATGTCTAATTTGTTTTTCTATTCCCTCAGGGGTTGGTTCAATGCCTGGCACACAGAAGGTTGTTTAATAAAATGTTTACTGAGTTGGATGGAATTTCCATGTAAGACATTTAAATTTAGACAATCACGACCTGATTGAAGATTGTATTTGTACAGGTATAGTAGGACACTATTCAGGGCTTTTCTGAGTTATAGCTCTCAGCTCGGTCCAATAGAACTTTCTACAATAATGGAAATGTTCTGTATCTGAGCTGTTCAATGCATTAGCTACTAGCCACAAATGTCTGCGGAGCCCTTGAAATATGGCTAGCGAGACTGAGAAATTTAATCTTTATTTAGTTTAAATGTAAATAGCCATTATGTAGCCAGTGACTACCTCATTAGACATGGGAAGGAAACATACTGTTTGCTTTGACCCTACTGAGTTTTTGGCTGGGGACCCTGTAACAAAAGACAGATTAACAAAAGAAAAGCATACATACATTTATTTAATGGAAGTTTTATATGACACTGGAGCCTTCATAAGGAAATGAAGACCCAAAGAAGTGGTTAAGTCTGAGTGTTTTTATGCCAGGTTTGATGAAGACTGGAGAGTCATGGAAGAATGTGGTTGGATAAAGGTACAAGCTAAGGGTAATAGAGTGGAGGAAACTTAGCAAGGCCTGTTCATCATCTCCGTGTCCCTGTGTCTTTGGAGACAAAGATGTTCCTTTTCTCTGGGCATAAGGAGGGTACTTCTCATGTGAGGGTTTTATAGCCTGCATTAGGGGAGGGTCAGAAAATCTTTCCTTCACCTGCTGTTTCTCAAATTCCTTCAGCTTAAAACATTTTATATGCCAAAGTGCCATATTTTGGGACAGCATGTCCTAACCCCTGTCATTCAGTTGGAAAATATAGATGATAAAGTATTAAGTTTTAGTATCTTCAAGCTTCAACGTCTTTCATTTTTTTTCTACAATGACTTCCATCAAAACACCTGACCCTTTTTGTAACTTCTCACCATCAGGCGACTGAGGTTCTATTTTTCCCCATTTTCTTGTATCTTTTAAGATTCCCAGGAAATATTCTTTCTGCTAAGTGTTTATTTTGTTCAACCTGTCATCTAAGCAACCAAATTACACACAACATAAAAGCAACCACAAAAGGAGTGATAATTAAAAAACAGAATTGATCCTATCATCCCCTTAGGGAAGATGTGCCCTGGATCCTTTCAGAGGGAACACTGACAGGACCATTTGTCCAGACACTCGAGCTCAATGAGACAATATTGGTTTTTCCATAAGGACAAATCTGTAACCTCATTTTCAAAAAATCTATATAATTTACTTTGCCACTTAAAGAAGTTAGTATTGAATCATTACATGCTGAGTTTCCGAGATTCAATTCCTTGGCTATGTGGTCACCAGTTTAACTCCTACCTATTCTTCAGTGATTGGCGTCATCCCCATCTCCTCAAGGCGACTTCCCTCACTAATCAGATCTCCCTAGGATACTTTCTCTCAGTGTTTAAACTTCTCTCAGGGTTATCATGAAGGCAAAATAATGCATAAAAACCACCCACTTAATATCTGAAATATAGAAAGTGCTCAACTAATATTAGTTGTCTCTATTCATAAACTAGAGGCATTCTGTCCAGATGGAGAGTCTGAGCCATAGTGAAGTTCATTAAATTGAGCTTTGGGATTAAGACTGAAGGCCAAGTCATACAGAGAGGAAATAATTCCAAGGTTGTGAGCAGTCCAAGGTGGGTACTGTGAGTGGTCTGAATGTGGAATATAGAATGATGCAGCAGAAGTGGTTCAGGACTGATCTGGGAAAGAGAAGAGAGTGCTATAGGTACATTATCATCCAGAGCTACCTGAGTGGCAATTTAAGGGACCGGTGGAGGATCATTGGGCCAATTTCTTTATTGCTGAGCAAGGTAACACCTAAACCATCAATGCATTTTTTCTGTTACATTTTAGTCTTTGCCATAGACTTATTAACGTTTACAAATTTGGAAGAATATTTTATTGCACATTTTATTAAGTTGTATATTTTCCCTCTTAAATAGTTTTTTCCCCTTATTTTCTCCCACCATCTATCTTGCCTTTCTTAGATATTCTGAAGTGACCAAATACATAGTTGCATATGCAACTCTTTACATCTTTGTTTATGCTCTTCTACTTATACAAATATATTTAAATGTTTTTTATATTTATTTCTACAAATATTGGGTTATATTATATACATTTATTTGCAACTTGCTTTTATACATCATGTATACCCAACATCTGCTTCAACTGTTCACAAAAAACTTGGAATGCGTGCTAGAGTTGGTATCTAGTCTTATTCCCAATTTAAAACAAACCTGTTTTCTATTTCTGAAAGAATGGTAGATAAGATTTCCTGAATTACCTGCCAGTGAAATCCTCAAATTCAGAATTTAAAAAATCCTAAGATGTACTAATGAGCTGGTAGGAAGGAAAAAATCCAAAGAGGTAATCAAATTACTAAAGACACTTTCCATTTGAGGCTACTTGCTGAAGCCCCAGCTAAGTTGAGTTTTTATTTTCATGGTCTTTTAGGGACTGGAGAAAGTGGGGGAAAAACTGGATTCCATTCAAAGTGGGAAGTGTAAGGAGAGACCTGAGATAGTGCTGGGAACCCAAAGTCCTGCACAGGTTGAGCGTGTTGAGGTAAACTAAAAATAAAGCTGTCCACCCCTCCTAGCAGGGAACAGGAAGAAAAACTGCATGCCTTGAAAGTTGGTACTAGATAAAGCGGGAAAAAAAATCAATAGATGGATTTAACAGTGGATTAGACATAGTGAAAAGAGAATCAATGAACTGAAAAATAGGTCTGAAGAAAGTATTCAGAATGAAGCACAAAGAGACAAAACAATAAAAATATTTAAGAAAGGTTAGGAGACACATAAGATAGACTGAGATGGTTTCATATTTGGTATTGTAGAAGAAGAGAAGTGAGATATGAGGGAAAGGGAATGTTTGAGGAAATAATGGCCAAGTATTTTCCAGGACTGATGAAAAACATCAGGCTTCATATTTAGGGATCCAATCCATCCCAATCAGGGTGAAGGAAAAGAAATACACCACCTGGAAACGTCATAGTCAAATTCTGGAACACCTGAAGAAAGAGAGTGTCTTAAAAGCAGCCAGAGAACAATAGACTATCTACAAAAGAATGGCAATTGTAACAGAACTGACTTCTGGATAGCAATGATGAAAGTCAGAAGACAGTGGAAGTTTGTTAATGTACAGAGAAAGTAACTGTCAACTTAGAATTACCCAGCAGAAAATCTTTTAATAGTTTAAGTGAAATAAAGACATGTTTAGGAATAATAAAAACAGAAGAAATTTGCTACCAAGAGACTCTTATTATAAGAATTCTAGGCCGGGCACGGTGGCTCACACCTCTAATCCCAGCACTTTGGGAGGCCGAGGTGGGTGATTGAGACCAACTTGGCTAACACAGTGAAATCCCGTCTCTACTAAAAAAAATATAAAAACAAAATTAGCTGGGCGTGGTGGCAGGTGCCTGTAATCCCAGCTACTCAGGAGGCTGAGGTGTGAGAATGGTGTGAACCCGGGAGGTGGAACTTGCAGTGAGCTGAGATCGCGCCACTGCACTCCAGCCTGGGCGACAGAGCAAGACTCCATCTCAAAAAAAACAAAAAACAAAACAAAAAAAAAACCCAAAAACCAAACAACAACAACAACAAAAAATTCTAAAAGGATGTACTTGTGGCATAATAAAGATATTCCCAGATGGAAGATTCTTAGATGAAAGACAGACTGATTAGTAAGAAAGTTGTAAATATACATGTAAATCTAAAACCAACATAAATTGTATAAAACCTTTATGGTGATAAGCTAAGACAGAATTAACTACATCACACAACAAAAGCAGGGGCACTGGGAAGTGGGTGATTGGATTAAAGTGTTTTAAGTTTTTTTTTTTTGAGACAGATTCCCATTTTGTTACCCATGCTGGAGTGCAGTGGTGTGATCATGGCTCACTGCAGCCTCAAACTCCTGGGCTCAAGTGATCCTTTCACCTCACCCTTCCAAGTAGCTGGGACCACAGGCATGCACTACCATGTCTGGATAATTTTATTAAAAAATTTTGTAGAGATGGGGGCCTCCCTATGTTGCCTAGGCTGGTCTCAAACTCCTGGGCTCAAGCAATCCTCCTGCCTCGTCTTCCCAGAGTGCTGGGATTACAAGTGTGAATTACCATGCCTGCCCGGCCTAAGAATTTTGCACTGTATAAGAAGAGAATAAATAGTCATGAGTTGCTTAATAGTGGGAATACATTCTGAGAACTGCATCAGTTTCTTTTTCTCTGGCCTCTTCTCCAGCTATGCATTTCTGTTGCAGTTCCAACAACTCCTCATTAGTCAGCTCCTTAAGAGCCACCTCTAGGAGCTCCTCAATGTCATCCTTATTCACATCCAGGTTAAAGTTCTTTGTCATCTCAACCACAGCCTGGTTGTTTTTACAACCTCCTCATCCTTGGCAAATCCTTTTTAATCATGGGCAGTCCTCTTGAGTGTCTTCTTCCAGATACCATTCACACATTCCTTGGTGACATCACCCCAAACCCAAGCAAGGTTCCTGATGCAAGGTTCTGGTCGTAGATGTTGTAATTCTTTCAGAGTTGCATCTGTGTCTTCTCAGTGTCTTTCTCTGCTGCAGCAATAGTGCAGGCAAAGGTCCTCCTCAGATAGTAGACCTTAAAAGTGGCTATAACTCCTTGATCCATTGGTTGAATCAAAGAGGTGATATTTGGAGGGAGAAACACTGCTTTGATGAAGATCACACATAAAAGGAGGATGTGCAGGAGCATCATCAACAATAAGCAAAATCTTGAAGGGGATGTAATTCTCCAAATAGTACTTCTCCATCTCTCTGGCATAGCAATTCAGGAGGGCTTCTTGGAAGGGGAGCTAGATTATCTACAACTTCTTATTGTTCCTGTAGTACATTGGCCACATGCACTTGTTCATATGCTTGAAGGCCCTGGAGTTTCCACTGTGCCAGATCACAAAGGGTTTCAGTCTGTAGCCTGCAGCATTGCCCCCAGGCAAGACTTCTGTCTTTAAAAGCCTTGAAACCTGCATCGATGTGGCCTTCTTATGGGTAAAGTCTTTCCGGGCATCTGTTTCTGGAATATGGAGATTTCATTTGTACTGGAGACTTGCTCTGGCAAGTGATTTTGCTCCACATTCAGCTTATCTAGAATTTCCAAGAATTCTTCAGCTGCCTTCACATCAGCACTCACAGACGCACCACTCATGTTCATACTATGTAATGAATAATGATTCTTGAAATGTTTAAACCACCCAGAGCTGGTAGTAAATGCAACACTATAGTCAGGTCCAGCTTATTCTTTCAACATCCCAAGAAAACTTTTTCTTTGACTGCTATTGTCATGGTGCTGACAGGAATATGCTTCTGTATCTGCTCCTCAATGCAAGTCATTAGAAGTTTCTCCATATCTGATGTAGGCCTGTCTCAATTTTTTGTTAGTCTCATTGCCTTCAATGAAGCAGATCCTTTAATAGCTCCTGTGACTTTGTTCATGTTCTTCAAGATTGTAGCTGTGGTGGAATGGGCCATGCCTGACTGGTGAGCTGTGGTGGAATGGGCCATGCCTGACTGGTGAGCAGTAACCATCACTGATTTTCCACCTTCATAGTTCTTCATCACTTTTAATTTTGTTTCAAAGTCAATAACTTGATGTGGCCTCTTACCAGCAACATAAACCATGGCTTTTGTACAATTAGGGGCCATAATGAAAAAAAAAAGATTAAATCAAGCACGAGATAAAATAATACAATCAAGAGACATGGTAAACATGAAATGTACGAAGCTGCTGCCAGAATACTGTTTCACAGTAAACTTTTTTTTTGTAAGTACACAAGTACACTTTAAAATAATGATAAAAACATAGCATAGCAAATAAATAAACCAGGAAAAGTCATTAATTAACATGATCAAGTATTATGTACTGTATATAATTGTATGTGTTATACTTTTATACAACTGGCGGCACAGTAGGTTTGTTTATATTAGCATCATTACAAATTCATGAATAATGAGTTGCACTGTGACATTAGGATGGCTATGACATCACTAGATGATAGGACATTTTCAGCTGCATTAAAATCTTATGGGACCACTTTCATATATGCATCCTACCATTGACCAAAATGTCATTATGGGGAGCATAACTCTATGTGATTAATTTGAGATAAAGACAACTTAAATGGGAATTCTGTAATTTATATGGAAATCTTTAAAATAATAGAAATAGTGATTGTAACTTCTAAATCAGTAGAAGAGAAAGGAGAATAAAGAAAAAAATTAGCTGGGCGCAGTGGCTCACATCTGTAATCCTAGCACTTTGGGAGGCCGAGGCTGGTGAATTGCCTGAGCTCAGGAGTTTGAGACCAGCCTGGGCAACATGGTGAAACTCCATCTCTACTAAAATATAAAAAATTAGCCAGGCATAGTGGCATGCACCTATAATCCCAGCTACTCGGGAGGCTGAGACAGGAGAATCGCTTGAACCCGGGAGGCAGAGGTTGCAGTGAGCCAAGACTGCACCACTGCACCTCAGCCTAGGCAATAGAGCAGGACTTCGTCTTTAAAAAAAAAGAAAGAAAGAAAGAAAGAAAATTCATTCAATTCAGAGGAAGGCAAGAAAGAAGGAAAAACTAAACACAAAATGTGAGGCAAATACAGAGTACAAAATAAATTGGTAGAAGAAAACCCAAATATAGCTGTCATTGCAGAAAATTAAGTGGTAAATGTTCCAGTTGAAATATAAAGACTGTCAGACTGGGTTTAAAAAAATACAGTCACATGCTATTTAAAAGAGATAAACTTGAAGCATCAGGATACAGAAAGATTGGAGATAAATGGATAGGAAATGATATAGCAGGCCACAGGAAAGCTGCGGTTGCAATATTAATAATTTTAGACCTGAAGGCAAAAAACACTATGAGAAATAATGAAAGTTACTGCATAACAAGAAACGGCTCAATGTGTGGGAAAAATATAAACATTCTAAAGGTGTATTCGCCTAGCAACATACCCTCAAAATGCACAAAATCAAAAGTAACTACAAGGAGAAAATGACAAATCTACAATCATACTAGGGATATTTTAACACTCCTTTCTTAGTAATTGATAGATCAAGTAGACAAAAGTATCAGTAATAATATGGAAGAATTAAGAAGTGCAGATGAGAAACATGACCTCGGCCGGGCGCGGTAGCTCACACCTGTAATCTCAGCACTTTGGGAGGCTGCGGCAGGCAGATCATGAGGTCAGGAGTTCGAGAACAGCCTGACCAACATGGTGAAACCCCGTCTCTACTAAAAATACAAAAATTAGCTGAGCATGGTGGCATGTGCCTGTAATCCTAGCTACTCAGGAGGCTGAGGCAGGAGAATCGCTTGAACCCAGGAGGCAGAGGTTGCAGTGAGCTGATTGCTCCACTGCACTGCAGCCTGGGTGACAAAGCAAGACTGTCTCAAGAAACAAAAACAAAAACAAAAACAAAAACAAAAAACGACCTCATGGCCTCATGTTCAATAAAGTATGAAGTAAAAAATTGTCTCAGAAGATTACGTTTAGCATGTCACCTTTTTATTAAAGTTAAGAAAAATTAAAAATTAAATATACAGGCCAAGCGCGTTGGCTCATGCCTGTAGTCCCTGCACTTTGGGAAGCCAAGGCGGGCGAATCACGAGGTCAGGAGTTCAAGACCAGCCTGGCCAACATGGTGAAACCCCGTCTCTACTAAAAATACAAAAAATTAGCTGGGTGTAGTGGCAGACACCTGTAATCCCAGCTACTCAGGAGGCTGAGGCAGGAGAATCGCTTGAACCTGGGAGGCAGAGGTTGCAGTGAGCTGAGATTGTGCCACTGCACTCCAGCCCTGGTGACAGAGTGAGACTCCATCTCAAAAGAAAAAAAAAAAAATTAAACTTACAATTTTAGGAACGTACATACATGACATAAGATATATTTTAAAAAGTAAAGGTATGATGAAGACAAGATTCAGTATAATGATTATTTCAGATGGGAAGAGGCGTGGGAACAGAACTGGGGAAACACACAGGTAGATGTAGCTTGTCAGTATTCAAGTTCATGCATTGGATAGTGGTTGATAGGTGTTTTTTCCTTATTAAAAAAAAAAGAACCAAGCATAATATTAATCCAAGCCTGTGCAATTGATTTTATGCACACATACCCACACACACACACATACACACATGCACAGATATATGTCTAGAGATGGACTGCCTAAACTCAATTCTCACTCTGCACTCAATGTCTTTGTACTTTGCCTCCCTCCTTTGTAATATGGAGGTGATAATAATTATGTTTATTACATCATGGTAAACATTAAATGAACTAATACATTTGAAGTCCTTAGCACTGTTTGATGTATGTGATGGGATCCATAAATGTTAGCAATTGTTATTCTTACCTCTGAGAGAGAACAGAACTTTTGGATATCCTGTGCTTCTGTTTCATTTTGCTCTATTTGTACTCGTGCTTGCCTTCTTCGCTTTTCTGAGATAAAGAAGTACTCCTCCCCCTCTTTAAGGCCCACCCCTTCACTCAAATTCTGAATCTCATCCCCTTCCATTATCTCAATGTCCTCATTCCATAAAATGCCCTGCTCTCTCTTGCTTCCTCAGTCTCCTTGGATCCATAAGGATTTGGCCAGGAAAACAGAAACCACTCTAGGTATTTCAAGCAGGGAGAGATATAATACAGGGACTTGGAGGCTCACAAAAGTGTTGGAAGGGTTGGGTGTGGGAGGGGGGCAAAGGCCAGAAAAGCCATTACTAGCTTTCAGAAAAACAGTTTATCCAGAAATCACAGAAAAGTGCCACCAATGATCTCAGTAGTTGAATCACCCAAGTGGATGATTCACAGGAAGATGCCTGGAGGTCTGACAAACTTTATGCCAGTCCTTTGCCATTCTTTGTTCCCACAGAGGCAATAATGACTTCTACTTGTCTTCTGCCTTTTCAATTTTGTGCCAGGGCCTCTCATTGGTGAACTCTAAATGGACACCTTCTAAGGGACTCTGAGAGTTGTAGTTTCCAGGCCTCCAGCCCCTGAGACAGAGGAAAACGTGGAAGGATTGGGGATGAATGCTGCTTGTCAATAAAATAAAATGTAAACAGTATCTGTTACACTCTTCCTCTCTACTGCATTCTTCCATCTGTATTTTAACATGAGCAAATCTTTTACCTCTTCAGCAAACCTTTCTGGATTCCATTTTTCTTCCCAGCTAGCAGCTTAGATATCTCTCTTCTGCTTTACTAGAATTCTTTTTGGAAAGAATGCACATCCATTTTCACTTTCTCACCTCCCAATTTTTCTTCAACTCATTTTCATCTGGCTTCTGTCCCCACAATCTCCCTGTGAATGTGGAACAAGGTTATAAGTGATCTCTTGTGGTTTAATCTACTAAATACTTCTAAGACTTTAAGCTTTTTTCTTTGCAGCAGATATTGGTGACTACTCTCTTCTTCATAAAGTTGTTTCTTCCTTTAGTGTCTGGAAAAACTGGTATACTGGCATAATTTTCTTTTTACAAATTCATAATAGAAATACAGCCACAAATCTCCCTTTTTAAGATAAAACTGCCTCATGCTTAATTAACCGGAAATCCATTATCTTTTTCTTGAAGCTGCTAACTTTATATTATCCAACTATTCTGAAGGCTTACAAAGCCTAAGTTGGGGGAGACCTGGTGTCTGCTTAATCCATTACTGCTATTGCTTCTAGCAGCCCCATGGAATGTTTGTCAGAGACTGGGGCTATAAAGAATGTGCTTTAGTTCTTCCAAGGAGAATGAGGTCAGTCCTTCAGAAGGAAGGGCTAAAGGAGGTTGAGGATTCCATAGCTTTGACTTCCAAGATGGTAGCGCTCCCCTTTCAGTCCTCTCTACAGCCACTTCTCAGCACTTCTATATAGGAAAGACTTAGGAATTGCCAAAAGATTATGGTTGTGTTTGATTATGGCTGCAGTTTTGTGTTGGTAAAACTCTTGCAAGTCACCACTTTCTTGGTGTCAGCCAGCTCTAGAAATATTGAACCAGATTTGTTCTGATATACTTTAGTTCTATGGAAGTCAAACCACAGTTTTCTCTTTCTTCCATGGAATATGATAGCTAGGGATCCCTCGGTTTAATAGGTGTTTTTTTTTTCATAAACCTTAAGAACGCAAACTATCTGATTTGCAATAACTACCCCAGACAATGGAACCACTCACCAACCCTTCTGAAGGAGGCTATCTTTGAGATTTTCTGGAAAATTCTATTTCTTTCTCTTCTGTGCTAGAACTGGAAGCTGTCTTTGCTAAAGGGAACATAAATAAAAAACACCATGTATTATTTCTAACAAAATGAAATACCATACCCTTCAGATTCATTCATTCATTCATTCATTCAGAAAATAGTAATTGAGAATGAGCTATGGGCCAGGCACTATATACTAAGTCCTGGGGCAAGAGTAGTGAATACAATTAAAAAAAAATCCCTCTGCTCTCATAGGGTTTTCATCCTAGCAGAAAGAGACAGACAATCGCCAAATTAAAAAAGGTAGACACTATAGCATGTTAGACAGTAATAAACACTATACAAAAAATAAAAAAGGGGGATAGGAACATATAGGAGAAACTGGAATTTTAAGGGCGGTAAGGGAAGGCCTCGCTGATGAGGTGGCATTTATTGGGATGGAAGTTTAAAAGGTGGGGAGTCACCTGGGCACTCTGGGCTTCTTGTGGAGAGTGACAAGAGCAAAGGGAGAAAAGGAGAAAGGACATAATGAGATTGGTCCTTCTGTCTCAAATGCAGTGGTGGTCATCAGGCTATGGATGTTGGGGTTGGTTTCTTGCCAAGAGCTTGTGGCACCCTTCTCTTTCATCCCAGTTGTTGGACATGTGATGGCTGGGGGAGGGATGGTCTCATCCTTCTTGCCAATGTCTTACTCCTTATTGAGTTCATCTTTAAGGCCTTCTCTCCAAAGTGCCATCCTCTACACTATTATCTTTTCATTCTGTATATTTTCCCTGGCTACTCTTATTTATGGCCATTGCTTCAATTGACATCTATATGTTAAAGATTCCTAAGCCTAAATCTCAGCCCAGTTCTGTTTCCTGAGATCGACACCCATACCTTTCCCTTTACCTGATATTACCACTTAGAGAGCCAAAGACATTTCAAACTCAAGATGTACAGATCTAAATCATCCCCAACCACCCTTACTCTTGTGTTCCTCTCTCAGAGAATGGTCCCATCATCTACTTTGTTGCTTAAGTTAGAAAACTGAGGTTCATTATTGACTCTCATCTTTGACATCTAACCAGTCCCCACAACTGCTCCTAATCCAACCAACCACCTCCAATCCAACCAACCTACCAACTATCAATCAATTCATTCTTACAATTCCTTATTATCAGCCAGGCATAGTAGTTCATGCCTGTAATCCTAGCACTTTGGGAGGTCAAGGCAGGAGGACCGCTTGCTGCCAGGAGTTCAAGACCAGCTTGGGCAACATAGCGAGAGAGCATCTCTACAAATAATAAAAAGTAATTTGTTGGAGGTGGTGACATATGCCTATGGTCCCTGGCTACTCTGGAGCCTAAGGTGAGAGGGTCAATTGAGACCAGGCAATCTAGGTTGCAGTGAGCTGAAATGGTGCCACTGCACTCCAGCCTGGGTAGCAAAGTGAGAACCCATCTAAAAATAAAAAAATTCTTATTATCTCACAGATCTACTTCCCTCCATTCCCACTGCTATTTTTAGAGTTCATGTCCTCAACATGTCTTGCCTAGATTATTTTTATGGCTTCATATAGCATCTCATCCTCCAGCTTTGCCTCTCTCCAATCCATTCTCCAAGAGATAGCTATTTTGATTTTTTTGAAGAATAAATCTGATATATTACCTCCCTACTTTAAACCCTTTGAAGAGTCTCTCTTGCCCTTAGAATAACATATAACCTCCTTAGCCTGGCACACAAGGCTCCCATGATCTACCAACCTCTGTAGCCTCATATAAGCACTATAGCCACACCCATAATCCCAGCTACTTGGTGGAAGGTTCGATTTAAAAAAAAAAAGCTGGGTGCAGTAGTTCATGCTTATATTTTATACTTATATATAATATAAGTTATGCTTATATTTTATACTTATATCTAATATAAGTTATGCTTGTATTTTATACTTCAGTCTTGAATGTCTCACAGTTCCCTGAATGGGCCTACCATACCCAGTCTTGTTATAAAACTATCCTTTCCATCTGAGGCAACTTTTCTTCCCCTTTATTATGTGAACTGTACCAAACTTTCAGGATTTAGCTTCTCTATCCCTACTTTCTGGGAAGATTACTCCAAAATGTTGGCCTGCCATAGTCTCTCACATTCTGGCAGAGGACACAAGGCTCTTGGGTCAGAGACAAGGGAAGGATTACTAGAAATAACAGTAGACAAAGTATCACTGCTTTCCTGCCCTGATTTCCTGAGCTCAGTCTCCATAGATTGAGATAATAAGGGCCAGGTGATACTTGCACATGTTGTGGTTGTATTACAGGAAAGGAATCCCGAGCTTAGAGAACCTGAATCTTTCTTATTGGGTTGCAAGCAAACACTTACCCCAGGGAAAGACATTATCTTTATCATACTGAACAGTAAACAAACTTGCCTTTTCTTCTAGAGGGAAATCCTATTTCTGTCTTCCCAGGCTGTTGGCTATACAAACATTTCTGAAAAGATAGTCTGAGCAAAAGGGCAGTTAATGCTTCTGCTTGCAAGACATGCAGAGTTGTGAGAGACCCATAGAGAACCGTCTCACCCCACTTATTACCGGTTACCATAATTGCTTATTCATTTCATATTTTCTCCAATCATACGGTAAGTTTCTTGAGGAAAGAAGACAGTCTCCTTTCATTGCTGTATCTTTAGGACAGTGACAAGGGCATAGTAAATGTGAAGTAAGTATTTGTGGAATGAATGAATGAGCTCATTCATTCTACTTGTGACACAAGGTTGGGAGTGAAGATCCATGACCAGCTCTTCATATCCGAGGCTAGACTCATACCCAGAAAGTAGTACTGGGGATTCCTTTTATGGGTCATGGATCCCTTTAGTCTCGCTTGGCATGTAGTCAGCAGCACAATTGCAGGAATAGGAAAACAGTGGTAATTATGATGTATCTCCACATTTTCTTCCCTTTCTTCTCTTCCAGAGCATGTAAGCATGTGAGCCTCAGAAGAATTTCTGTGGTATTTATTTGAGTTTAACTCTACCTCTACACAGCGATTGGCAGATATTTTTCGTGTATGAAAAAATTTTAAATAGCCATCAAATAATTTTGATAAAACAATAATGCCCACAAGAATGTAAGTTCAATGAGGATAAGTATTTTCAGAGATATAGGTCCTTAATCTATTTTTGTTGATTGAATTGAAGAATTTAATTTGTTGAGCACTCACTGTATGCCTAAGCATGGGGCTAAGCACTTAATATACTTCATTTAATTTGTACAATGACCACATGAAGCAGGTGCTGTATTATCCCCATTTTGCAGATGAGGAAACCGAGGCTTAGAGAAATTAAGACTTGCCCAAGACTGCACTATTGGTAAGTGCTGGGCTAGTGTTTAAA
This sequence comes from Homo sapiens, assembly GCF_000001405.40. Lineage (NCBI taxonomy): Eukaryota > Metazoa > Chordata > Mammalia > Primates > Hominidae > Homo > Homo sapiens. The sequence goes on along the minus strand of NC_000012.12, from coordinate 103,533,875 downwards.
CCTAGGCAGTGACTCCACACAAAGCATTTCTCTGCCCATGAAAGTGCTATCGTTGAAAGGTTATCATTTATCAAAAAGAAGGAGAATAGCATATAAACCTATGTTATTTATTTTCAGTGGATTATAATCTGGTTCTGTGATTTGAAAATTTGTAGCTTGGTGAATATTGTGTGAATCACCAAAATCAAGTTGCAGACATTTGACCATTTTTGACCAACAAAAATGTCAATTTCATATATTTCAACATAAAATATGTGCCGCAAAAGTTATCTCAGAAAATGTTGCTTTCAAATGTAGCTTCAGAACATTAACTATCTAGAATACAGTGTGAGCTTTGGTTCCCCAGACCATGCCTGGCATGGCAGTTTTACTGTTTACATAGACCCGGGGGTCATCCAGAGGACATTTTTGTGGAAAATTGGGACCAGAGAGAAAATGTGTCTGAGCTGAGACCCATGAGGACCAAAAGCACAATGGACGAGAGCAACCAGAAAGACCACAGTAGCTGTTGAAGATACTGAACTAAAGAGAATCAGATTAGCTGGAAGGTCTTCTGGGGTACTAGCAATATTCAACTTTATACTGCCAGAATGAATTCCTGTCTGGGAAGGGACAATTTAAGAAAATTCAAGTTCCCCAAAACTAATTTGCTGTTTTCAGCAATGACAAATTCCCATAGTATTTGGTAAGTATAGCAATTATTGAGTTAGAGGACATAACCACCATTGTTGCAAAAAGTTAATGCTCTCGACTAAATATTCATTTATATCGTTAGTATTATGAAATGCAGCCGGAGAATGTTTAGAAACTCACTCTGCTGGTGGAATGAGTCTGAAAGGAATCATATTCTGTCAAGGACTGAACCGTAGGGTGAACTTTTGTGTGATTGGCATTGGTTCCAGTCATGCCAGCAGAAACACAATTCCCCGTTGTCTCCGTGATCCGCGCTTCACCTTGCCTGTGGGGCAGGGGCGTTTTGATGTGACCTCTTTGAAGACTCGACTCTGTGTCTGCCCTGTTGTTAGAGGAGGCTGGCAAGACTGACACTTCTGTAATGGTTACGGCGGTCATCCTCATTTTTGTATATTTCATCATACAGTTAGTAGGTCACATATACTAATGGTAATTTAATAAGCATATCATGCAAATGACACAGGACAGTGTTTGATTTTGTCATGGAGGTCATAGATCTGAGAGTCAAAAATATTATACATAATTGTGTCAGAAGTTGAGAATTAAACAAAGTAAAATAGAGCTATTTTTCTTTCTTATTAAATTTTCTTTAGTTTAGAACATGACTTGTGATACATACTGCCAATCAAATACATGTTTTTTTTTCCAGATGGCACAATATTGTTTTACAATTTTCTTGTATAAAATGTTTTAAATACAAAGTAGGTATAAAAGAGAAAGTAAAATGCTCACCATTCAGGGACAACCATAATCAATATTTTGTACATATTTCTAATCAAAGCATATAAATAAGTCCATTTATAAAACACATTGAGATCATACCATACACAGTTTTGGTATCTAGAGTGTTTCTACTTTGTATGTTATAAACGTTTTCCCATCTTTAATACATATTATTTTCTCACCTGGTTTTTCACGGCTGCACGGTATCCATCATGCAGATGGGTGTGAAAAATTATGGAGCTTTTTATACCCAGGGTGTAGGGAGAAGCACCAGGAGTTAGAAGATATAGCTTTAAACTTTTGTTCTTTGAGTGCCTCAGTTTCTTCAACTATAAAATGGAGATATTAACATTTGCCTGGCTGCCTTGCATAAAAGTTAGGTGAGTTTCTTTGAGGCATAGAGCAGAACATGATAGCAAGGAATTTTTATTTAAAGGTGTGTTTATGCGACATGTTAAGGTTTTACAGATAGGCCATTGCAGCAGAGTCTGCCTTATCATTTGGTCTTAAAAACAGAAAAAAGCCAACAAAGATCATAATCTAAGTTATATATAAACTGTAATCCCACAATGCTTCATAATGCAGTTTTTAAAGTTTAGGTTAAAGCAAAACTCTTAAAGAACCAGCATGCCCTTTTAGAAGGGATTTGTCTTCAACCAACAACCTGTGTAACCAACTGAAGCACCAATCTGGAAATATTGCTAGGGCCTTGGTCTTTAAACAAAATCACTGATGGGCTTTGATACTGGATGGGAATTTAGAGAGGTCTCTCAGATTCTAGGAATTGATATATTTTGATGAATGTGAAGTTTTAATATTTACCAGGTTAATATTCTCTTACCCAAAATGTAATGAAAAGGACTTGCTACTCAAACCTCTGAAATCATGAGCTGGGAGGAAATCCAGTGATCTCAATATCTCTGGTTCCAAGACCCAACTCTTTGCTTTCTTTTGACAACAGAAGACCCAGATTAGAAAAACTGTATTCAAGGGAAACAGCCCTTGATTCTGTGCTACTGCTATAGGCAGGCTTCATGGATTATCCTAACATTCTGACAGAAGGGTAGGGCTAGCAAGAAATTGTGCTCTCTTTCTTACCACATGCACAATTTTAGGACCCTTTTTGATCACAACTCAGGATGTGGCAGGTTTTATAAAAAGAAAAAAAGATTAAAAAATGGAAGCTTAAACTCTCTACACCACTGCCCAGCCTAAAAGTTAGCTGGCACATTATTTTTAATGTCATCAAGAAACTCTCTTGTGGGGAATACATATATATCAATTTTCATTGCAGAGAAAGACGATTTTAGGACTGGGTTACAGATCCTTCAAGTTGGAGGAGATGAACTTGATGGATTCTGCCTCATTAGTCTTACAGTGATGTTTCCCCCCTTTTCTTTGAGAAATATGTCCCCTGGAATTGTTGGGCAATGTGGGAAAATATTGTGACAAACATTCCTGTTTATGTGTGTCATGGGGGCGACTGTTTTGTTTGCATCGCTTCTTGCCTCTGCCCCTCCTTTTCATGGTCAGCAGTTCCCTGACAGCTCAGATTCCTCTGCTGACATCTGTTATAATGAGAGCTGTGGCGGGAATAGATTTGCAAAATGATGGGCTCACAATAGGACAGAGCTGTTCCCCAAACTTTCCTTGAGGTAAGCAGATGGGGTCTGAAAATAGAGCATTTGAACCGATTAGGTCTAGGTGAACGAATTTATTCAACACACACTGAAGAGTGATTCTGCACCCAAATTCTTTCCCTATCTCCTTCACCCCTCACCTCCCCCATCTCACCAATAGGAGGGTTTCCGATGGTGTGGGTTTTCCCCCCCCGAACACTTGCCGGGAGACAGGCCCTTCCAGTTCCTAAAGCAGAAGCATGCTGGGTATTTACCCTGTGCCAACCGTCTGAACAACAGAGAAAACCCACCCCTCATGCCTCATAATGAGAAGCTGGGGCAACACATGGGGCTTTCCCACTCGTCACAAATGATGGCTGTTTGTGCTAGTTAACCTTTTCTAAGCCTGGGTCAGCTCCTGCTGGGAGGCAGGGGCGATCTGGAGAGAGTGAAAGCCTGGCAGACCCCAAAGTCTCCAGCACGCCTTGGCCCCCAACACACGCCACCGCCTTTGCAGAATGCCAAACGATCCCACATCACGCTCTTCATAAGTCAGCCGGGCTCCATGTGCAGCTGACAGTTCGGATTCCAGAGGAGAACTGCCTCCAGGAACACTCTGCAGATACTTCCTGATAACTTTTATTTTCTGGCATAGCTTACCTTCTCTTTTCAGAGGAATCTCTAAAAAAGTACGAAATGGAAATTTTCCCATCTTGGGCCTTATTATTTTCAGCAATCTCCACTAGCTGTGTAAAGAGAAGACTTCTTTGTACTTTCAAAGCCTAAAGTCAAGTCAGTAATACACATTTTAATAACTTGTGCCTTAAGCGTATTGACTAAAGCAAAATGAAGACAGGGCGATTAAGAAATACACTCCTAAGCCCCATTCTTTTGGTATCTGGGGAGAATTCTGAAAGTGTCATGGGGGAATGCTATCTAATGAAGTATGGGGGAGGAAAGGCAGCTGAAAGGGAAATTTTGGAAATCTCTTTGGGGGTGAGGGAAACAGAAGTTTAAAAATGATGAAAATTCAAAGCCCAAGTTGGGGGTTGATTTTGTCTCACCATTGAAATAGCCAAACCTCATAAAAGGAATCAGATGTTGCAAATTGCAGGTTGAAATGATCAGTGGAAATGCATTTATCACAGCTGCCAGGTTTCTGAAGAGCAGAACTCATACCCTGTAACACACTCCAGAGAGACCCAAACAGTCTGTAGAGCTCAAATTCTCAAATCCCGCCATCCCTGACTATCTCCTGCTGCCAGCCCAGACCTGTGGATGATTGTGTTAATCCAACACCATCTGCTAATAGGGTGGTATTGTTCAGAATGGTGTGTTTATGTGGCAACGGGTATCCTGAGAAGGGAGGAGAGCCGACGCACTGTTGAAATAGTTCATTAACCACAAAAGCAGTTAGCTGTGAGAAGCTCTAATGCAGAGCTGCTACAGCATTTACAGGAATGGACAAAGTCTAACATTTCAGGCATTACATGCTGAGGAAATCCACCTTTGAGTTATATCCTTGCTTATTTAAAAGCAATCCTATGGGCTCCATTAGAATTTACTATTTGCAGCTATTAATAACGGTAAAGAGAGGAGTAAAATAAGTGAACACAAAGGTTGAGATCTTGTGCTACTGTTCATTGTGATGATTTGACACCAGATGCCGATACGTGGATAGGATTCACCCCTATTTTTAAGTCATGCTCAGGCACCTGGAGGATGGGCATTTATTGGTTTTCATGGTATAGTTTGCAATGGCGTTTTTTTTCGTTGTTGTTTTTTCCTTTGGTGCACACTCTTATACTACTTTGGAAACATTGAATGGTAGAAACAACATGGGTTCAGGGACCAAAAAGTTTGAATCTCTGCCCTACCACTCACCGCCTCTGTGATTTTGAACATGTTTCTGAAATTCTCTGAGCCTTGGTTTCCTCATTGTCTAAAACATGGACAATACTTGCCCCAAACAGTTATTAGAGGATTAGGTAGAAGAATGTCTGTGAAAGCATCCAGTGTAGCATTTGGCACAAAGTTGGTGTCTTCATTTGGTGTTGCTATAAAGGAATACTGGAAACTGGGTAATTTTTATAAGGAAAAAAACTCAAATTTATTTGGCTCGTGATTTTGATGTCTGGAAAAGTTCTAGATTGGGCATCTGGTGAGGGCCTCAGGTGGCTTCTATTCATGGCAGAAGGCGAAGGGGAGCTGGCATGCAGAGAGAGCACAGGGTGAGGGAGGAGGCAAGAGAGAGGAGGGGTTGCTGCCTGGCTCTTTTTAACAGCCAGCTCTCTGGAGAACTAACAGAGCTAGAACTCCCTCACCACACACTGAGTGGGCACTAATCTATTCATGAGGGGTCCCCCTCCATGACCAAAATCCTCCCAATAGGCCCCACCTCCAACATTAGGGATCAAATTTCAACATGAGACTTAGAGGGACAAACATCCAACTATAGCATCAGGCAAAGGAATTTTCCCTTGACTGTAGTCTCTTTCATGCCAATTCACAGCTCAAGTACTACTTGTAAGCTATATGACACTGGTTGGACCTAATTGAAATTTGTCTGTTGCTTTCTCAATTTTTTTCTTATATCTATGTCTTCATCTTCTCTTCCTGACTTCTTTCATGAGCAGAATCTATATCTATGTCTATATCTATCCCTATGTTTGGCATTTGTTAAATGTTCCATTTCTTCTACCATTCATTCATTGATTCATTCATCCCATGAAATCTATTACATGCCTATAGTAAGCCAGTATTGCAAAAGAAGTATAACTAAAGTCTATATTTTTTGGGAGCTGACAATTTGGGGATAGAAAATATGATAGCTGCCTTCAAAATCTGAATGGCTATTGTGAAAATTATGAGTAATTAATGGGGCAAGGACCCCGTTTTACTTATCCCATTGTCTAAACCCAGAGCTCAGTCCAGACATGCCTTCATTGTATAAATTTAAAAGTTAAAGAACAGAGATGATATTTGCTTAGTGGGTAGAAGTAGGAGCAGTTGATAACAAACACTGGATTTCATATCAGCATAAACAAATTCTAACATTGTGAAGGCATGTGGTCTCTCTTGAGGAGGGGTGAAATCCTAGCCATGGGTGGTTCAGGTTCTGGCCCCCTGAGAGATGTGGAGGAGAGGCTGCAAGCCTAACTGGGAATTTATGGTCCCTTCAGCGACATCTGCATAGCTATGTGTTTGTAGGCCTGAAATACTGATTGTATCAGGAAGGAAGGAACAGGAAGTACCAGAAAGGAAGAGAAAAACCTACTCATGATAGCATGAACAATAAGAGGATTTATTAGCTCATCAACAATATGTCAGAATGAGGGAAACTCCAAGTTGGTTTCTGTAGAAGCTCTATAATGTTGACAAGCACCTAGTGGGCACTAATCTATTCATGAGGGGTCCATCTCCATGACCCAAACTCCTTCCATTAGGCCCCACCGCCAACATTAGGGATCAAATTTCAACATGAGATTTGGAGGGGACAAATGACAAGATTCCTTCCATCTTGTCATTCTGTAGTCTTTAGCATTTTTCCCTCAGAGTAACCCCCTCATGCTTACAAGATGGCTGCCACAGATCCAGCTCTCAAGCACAGACATGTTCATGTCCAGTGGCAGAAAAGAAACCATTTCTTTCTGAAATTTTTTTGGTAAGGAAATCTTTCTCAGAAGCCTTTCAGCAGACTTGCTTCCCATCTCGTTGCCCAAATTACAATGTATACCAAATTTAACCAATCCCTGACAAGAAGAAGAGGACCAGCCCATAGGCTGCCAGAAGTCAATTGGGTTCTCTGAGTAAGAAAGAAGAAAAGTAGCTGCTGTTGAATGGGAACCACTAACGCCAAATACAGACAGCCTGTTGCAATGAAGAAAGCACAAGTTTTGGTTCTGTTCTACTGTTTGGTAGCTGCGTGATCTTGAGTGTACTAGTCTGCTCAGGCTGCCATAACAAAATACTGTACATTGGGAAGCTTCAACAATAGAAATTTATTTTCTCAAAGCTGTGGAGGCTAGCAGTCCCAGATTGAAATGCCAGCTGATTCAGTTCTTGCTGAGGGCTCTTTTTCTTGCCTTGTTAACAGCTTTCTTTTCCCCGTGTCTTCACATGGGCTTTTTCTGTGCACATGGAGAGGGAGCATGTCAGGATTGAGCTTTCTGGTGCTTAATGATTTCCTTGCTTCAAACATAGTCACATTGGGGGTTAGGGCTTGAACATATGAATTTTGGGGAGATACAATTCAGTCCATAGTATTGGGAAAATTACTTAACCTCTCTAAGCCTTTCTTTCCTATCTCTGCAAATGGGACTAATCATATACACCTCCTAGTGTTCTCCTGGGGATACAATGAAATAACGACACATATGCTGAAACTTACCCCAAACCCTTGAGTTACATTAGTTTACATTTTGTTCTTTTCACTCTATCAACTAAAACCAGACAACTCGTGCAATGATAGAAACTTTGCCAAATCACATGGCTTTCCATAGTGCATATTGATTTTAAGAATTGAGTTCTGGTTTCTGACAACCAGAGTAGCTTAAATATGCTTAGAAAAAGCAAATAATGCTTTATTTGCCTGAAGATTATATTATTTCTTCTCAAAGTTAATGTGGTAATTTTATTACAAAAATATTATTAAGGATTCCCTATCATTCTTTCTTGAGGATTAAAGGGAATAAAATTGAAAGCTCGGAATAGTTGAAAGATAAAACACATGTGGGTGATTGGTTTCTTGCAACTAGCAGAGATGCTTAAAAGAGCAGCCTCTGAAGGCAGATTTTGTTTTGTTTTGTTTTTTTTGAGACAGAACTTCACTCTTTTGCCCAGGCTGGAGTGCAGTGGTGCAATCTTGGCTCACTGCAACCTCCGCCTTCGGTTTCAAGCAATTCTCCTGCCTCAGCCTCCAAGTAGCTGGGATTACAGGTGCCCACCACCACGCCCAGCTAATTTTTGTATTTTTAGTAGAGATGGGGTTTCACCTTGTTGGCCAGGCTGGTCTTGAATTCCTGACCTTGTGATTCATCTGCCTTGGCCTCTCAAAGTGCTGGGATTACAGGCGTGAGCCACCGCGCCTGGCCTGGCAGATTGTTTTTACTGGATGCATCATATTGACAAAATTATTTGACTGCTGTAGGTGTCAGTTTTCTCATTTGTAAAATTGTAATAATACTACTTTAATTATAATAATATTGATACTTATAATATTTTGCTAATGGGGTTACTACAATTAATTATAATAATACTGTTAATAATAATATTTTACCTCAGGGGTTGCTATGATGATAACTTGGGTTAATATTATACATGAAGTGCTTGGATCAGTGCCAAGCTTGATCCATCATCACCATCATCAACATCACATCATCCACAAATAACACTCTATGAAACAACCTGTAGCCAAATCTTTGCATTCATTGAGATGGATTCCTAAAGGAGCTAAATTATGGTGTCACAATGCATTTGTCACTCAGCTTCTTTAAGATTCCAGAATTTCATAGCCAGGTGTGGTGGCTCATGTCTGTAATCCTACTACTTTGGGAGGCACAGGCAAGAGGATCACTTGAGTCCAGGAGTTCAAGACCAGCCTGGGCAACATAGTGAGACTTCCCCCCGCCCAATCTCTATCAAAAATAAAACAAAATTAGCTGGGTCTGGTGGCACATGCCTGTAGTCCCAGTTACTTGGAAGGCTGAGGCAGGGGGATCACGTGAGCCCAGGAGGTTGAGGCTGCAGTGAGCCGAGATTGTGCCACTGCACTGCAGCCTGGGTGACAGAGCAAGATCCTGTCTCAAACAAAACAAAACAAAACAAACAAAAAACAAACAAAAAAATCTCCCCAGACCTGCCCCCCTGCCCCCCCCCCAAAAAAACTAAAAAGAACAACTTCCAATTTAGTTGGGCCAGCCATGTTTTGTGACAACATTGCTTGGAGTCAGGAGAAGATAACTCTGATCAAAACCAGCTGCAGGTCCTGTGATGCTGAACTTTTCTTGTCACTGTGATATCACAGGCATGCCTGAAAGTGCTTCCTGGAGGTGTCCTGTAACTGTCTTGGCACTTATGTGCAGTCAATCTGTTGATGGACCTCAGAAAACTACCTATGTTCTGCCCCTTAGCAGCTATTCATCATGGGCTACCTTGCCAGGGAATGACCCAGGGCATTGTGACAGATCAGTTTACTTAATGGATTACACATTTCAAATAACTTGAAGTTGATTTGGTCCAGCCTGACTGTGTTGCTGGGCTGATCATCATTCTGATAAATGACAAGGTTGCTGCGTTTGTTCCCTGGTGATATTTTAGAGGGAGGACTTGCCCAGGGTTTAGCTGTGCTTGGTGCTAATGGAGAAGGCACGTGGAGGCTTGGGAAGCAGGTCTCTCTGGTTTTGGAACACAAAGGACACACACAGAAAACCTGACCAGGCCCTTTTTTTTGCCACCTCTGTGTGCCTCAAGGCAGCGTGGCTGGAAACGATGGGAATCTGTTCTTGCCAACTCTTTGATTCCTCCTTATAGGACCAAGCTCTCTTCCCTGGCAGAAGGATGAAATTGGGGCAGCTGGAAAGACTCAAATAACTGAGCTTGTCTCCCCTTTAATCTTTCTTTGTAGGTGAACTAGAGGCCAGAGAACAAACAGGTGATAAAAGAGCAAGAAATCCTTGCAAAAGGATAGGCAGAATGCATCTTAGGGGCTGTGAAAAGAAGCTAAAGAAGGTCAGATTCTGTTACACCTTAAACCCACTTAAGCTGAGCAAGGAGAAGAATTGAATTAAACTGTCAGAAGGGAAATTTTTCCAGGAGCAAGGGTTGGATAATGACTATGCTTTACCCAAAGTGTACAGCACTTGGCATGTCCCCACATGTCCCCAACATGCCTATTCAGTGAGTGAATGATGGCGACAGGAAGGGCTCACAGGCCTCCATCCTGATCTTAGCTCCAACACTTATCTCTATGGTCTTGGGCAAGTTCCCTACACATTCTGAATCTGTTTTCTTACTTTTAAAGGGGAACTAATAATACCTCTTTTATGGGGTTGTTGAAAGGTTTAAGATATATATATATATATGAAAGTGATCCTCATATTCCAAAAGCTCTACAACACCTGTTTTAAGTGATATGAAAATAAAACAATGCTGTAATTGCTTAATGATAGCTTCTAAACACCGAGTGTCTATATATAGACACTACATATATATACATATATAGAGTATATATATGTATATATGAACTGTATATATATACTGTATACATGAACACTATATATACATATATAGAGACATTTGATGTTTAGAAGCTATCATTAAGCAACTACAGCATTGTTTTATTTTAATATCACTTAAAACAGGTGTTATAAAACTTTTGGAATATGAGGATCCCTTTCTAATGTTAATGTAATTTGCAGATACCCTTTAAACGAGGATACTATTATTGATAGAGAAGACATATAATGGCCAAAAGCTATAAAAAATCAGTAACATTTTTAGAATGAGTTTTTATTTGATGAATTGAAACAGCATGTATACACATAGGCTGTCTAAAGAAATGATGAGACATTTATTCCCTCTCCAGACAAGGTACAGTGATTATATAAACTATTATGAGCTCCCACAATAGCTCCATAGACCGCCAAGTGACTGGGACCTACTGGTCCAAAAGGATTAAATTCTAACTATAGATGAGCATCTTTAAAAGAGAGGGCTCATTTATCTTAGCTATTGATATTAAGCTAAGTTAGATGTAGCAGATGGCCTTGCTGCACAGAGATGGCTCTTCAGACTGACATCATTCAATCTTGGGATTGTTTTTCCCTCCTTGGGACTTCTAGGTTTGTGCTTACTAGCCACAGAGCCTGCTAGACACTGTCTCCTTCCATAATCCTGTAACAATGGGACTTGTTTCCAGGCTGACCTGTTGAGTCTAGCAGAGTAGCCTCTGACTGTGGAAGTTTGGCTCCCCTGTGTAATTTCTTCTGCCATCAAAACCATTGTGGACTTGCATCTAAGTAGAGTCTGAGATGAGGACTTGTTTGCAGGCAATATATTTTGGGAAGTAATTTCAAGGTGCAGGGAGTGAAAGCCCATCCAAGGGTGTGTTATTAGCTGGTTACTGTTGAGGGCAATAGGAACACAATCCTGTTGGTGACTCTCTGAAGAGCTGTGCAGAATATACCTCGAAATAGTCTCCTGAGACATGAAAGAGGGGGGCATTCTAAAAATCAGCTCCCATATCCCAATGGTCGAGGAGTGCCCTATGGAATGTTATCTCCCATTTCCTTCCAGGTTTGCACGTGTGTCAGGATGGCTGGCTGGGGCTGTGCTGGAGAGCCATGAGAGATGAGGGTGCTGTTGAGGTGCAATGTTGCCAAATGGCTCCCGGGCATAGCTGGTGTTACAGAGAGGGCCGGGACAAAAAGCCCAGCTGTATTAGTCCATTCACATGTTGCTAATAAAGACATACCCAAGACTGGGTAATTTGTAAAGGAAAGAGCTTTAATGGACTCACAGTTCCACATGGCTGGGGAGACCTCACAATCATGGTGGAAGATAAAGGAAGAACAACCGATGCCTTACCTGGTGGCAGGCAAGAGAGAATGAGAGCCAAGCAAAAGGGGAAACCCTTTATATAGCCATCAGATCTCGTGAGACTTATTCACTACCATGAGAAAAGTATGGGGGAAACAGCCCCCATGATTCAATTATCTCCACCTGACCCTGCCCTTGACATGTGGGGATTATTGCAATTCAAGGTGAGATTTGGGTGGGGACACAGCCAAACCATATCACCAGCCAAGGGAACATGAGGTGCACAAAAGGTGCCAACCAGGAGACAGCACAACTGAGGGGAGACAGAATTAAGGATCAGGTCTGGTTATCCATTAATGTCTTTTGAGCACCACTCTGTGCTGTTAATATATCGACTTAAGCACATTTAAATTTTAGAGTTTATTTGAGCAGACAGCAATTCATAAATCAGGCAGCACCAAACTGCAACTGGTTGGGGCTCCACTGAGTGGGAGAGGGGAAAATGTTTATGAGGTGTTAGTGGAAGCAAGACAAAGACGATATTTCATTGACTAAAGTAGAAAGTCCCTAGTTAGAGGTTAGTGGGTAGTTTCTCTTTTTTAAAAATTAAATTAAATTTTAAGTTCTAGGATACATGTGCAGGATGTGCAGGTTTGTTACATAGGTAAACATGAGCCATGGTGGTTTGCTGCACCTATCAACCCATCACCTAGGTATTAAGCCCCACATGCATTAGCTATTTATTCTGATGCTCTCCCTCCCACCACTCACCCCAACAGGCCCCAGTGTGTGTTGTTCACCTCCCTATGTCCATGTATTCTCCTTGTTCAGCTCCCACTTATAAGTGAGAACATGTGGTGTTTGGTTTTCTGTTCCTGTGGTAGTTTGCTGAGGATAATGGCTTCAAGCTCCATCCATGTTCCTGCAAAGGACATGATCTCGCTTTTTTAAATGGCTGCATAGTATTCGATGGCACCTCTTAATCCAGTCTATCATTCATGGCCATTTGGATTGATTCCATGTCTTTGCTGCTGTGAATAGTGATGCAATGATTGGTTAAGTTTGTTTTGTTTTCCTAGGCTATGACTATTCCACTCTGGGTTCAGTTTTAGTTGGAACTCAAGGTGCTGGAGCCATCTCAGACTAATGGTCCCTGAATTAATTATTTCCACAGTGCCATACGTTGCGTTAGCTGCTGGAGCTGAAAAGTTTAATGCAGCACAGTGCATGCCATATCCTACAACCTATAGTACATAGAGCATGATGACATGGCAAAATAAAGGTGTTTACTGTCTAGGAGGGAGACAAGCACTATAGTAGATGTCAGCATAAAAGCCTCTCACAACTTGGAAGGGAATGACTAATTCCTTCTGGAGTTTTGGGGGAAGGCTTCACAATGAAGGCAATAAATAATTAATTTGGGTCTTGAAGTATGAATAGGAGTCCATCATGTAGTAACAGGGAGGCAGGACATTCACACAAGAGAGAGACAGATGAGTGTCTGGACTGGGCATGCCCATGAAGTCTTCACAGTTCCATTTTTTTCCTTAATAGCTTCTGGCTCAGGC